>NC_000011.10:4302424-4605454 GCF_000001405.40 Homo sapiens | reverse complement strand
CATCTGTATGACCTTCCTGAGGGAGCCCATGAGCATTGACTGTGGCCACAGCTTCTGCCACAGCTGTCTCTCTGGACTCTGGGAGATCCCAGGAGAATCCCAGAACTGGGGTTACACCTGTCCCCTCTGTCGAGCTCCTGTCCAGCCAAGGAACCTGCGGCCTAATTGGCAGCTGGCCAATGTTGTAGAAAAAGTCCGTCTGCTAAGGCTACATCCAGGAATGGGGCTGAAGGGTGACCTGTGTGAGCGCCATGGGGAAAAGCTGAAGATGTTCTGCAAAGAGGATGTCTTGATAATGTGTGAGGCCTGCAGCCAGTCCCCAGAGCATGAGGCCCACAGTGTTGTGCCAATGGAGGATGTTGCCTGGGAGTACAAGGTGAGAGATGGAAGCTGGCCACTCCAGTCTAACCCCGGCCCCAAGTTGGCTGTTTCTAGATCAAGGGCTTGACCACCAGCACCACAGACTGAGAGCTAACTCCTTTGGTTCCTGACACCCAGAGATCCCTGGAATCTGATACAGAGAGCTATACCTTTCCTTGTATTCATGACCTTCCTTGATTTCCTGCTCTCCCACTTCCTCTACACCTACATCCTAACAGGGCTCAATTCCTAACCCAAGGCTGATTTCAGTAATGAGAATGTGAAGGAAAACAGTTTGGGTTTTAACTGAGATTCTGGATGCCTTGGATGAGTTTAGGCATGAGGCTCTTATATAGATGGTCAAGGCTACACCTGACCTGCAAACTCCTCCTAGCAGTGCTGCAAGTAGTCATTTGGCATTGAATGGATCACTTCCCTCCTTCATTTTATAGACAAAAGTGAGGCTTAGAAAGTTGAAAACATGGCAATTTATTTTAGAGGTGGAAAGAACTATGGGTGAGTCACAAGATTGAGAGAGGTCATCTGATATAGTCTTCTCAGGTCCTTTCTGACTTCAGGTCCAGTTAGTGAAAGGAAGATCAGAGGCTGTGACTCAAGTCTTCTTGCACTTTCTCCTCTCCCAAGTTTGTTTGTTTGACAAGTCATCTCTGACAAACCTGGGACTCCTTTTTTGTAGCTAACCTCATCAACTTCCAGCTTCTGGGCTTCTCTTTACTCTTTCATCAGATGCCCATAATGACATCTTTATCGGAACCATTATCTCAGTGATTCTGTGATCCAGTGATCCAGCATTGGTCTCAACTCTCTTTTTTGGAGTTGAAATAGGAAGGTGAGAGTGTAAGACAAATCCCCTGAATTAGCTTTTTTCCTATATGGGAGGGATTTCTAAAATATGAAAAGTATTTACTAACTCATTCTGTTTTTGAGACTATTAGAAAAGGGAGCTAGTATAACATAGGGGTAAAGGGCTGGATGAAATCCCAGCCCAACCATTTATTACCTGAATGACTTTGGGTAGGTCACCCTCTAAGCCTCAGTTTTCTTGTCTATAAAATAAGGTTAATACCAGCCTCAGAGGATTGTAAGTATCACATGCATATTTAGAGCTGAAAATATACCTGACACTTGATATATTTTAACAAAATAGTTGCTATTTTGTTAAAATAGCAGAATTAAATGGTGTTTCTGCACAGTTTATGCTTTTCAGTAGAAATCCCTTGCATTACTATTCTAGGAAAGTGCTTCTTACCCTTAATAAGCATATGAACCACCTGGGAGATCCATCTAAAATTGAGATTCTCATTTGGTAGGTCTAAAGTAAGGCCAAGATTCTGCATTTCTAACAAGCTCCTAGGTGATGTGGATGCTGCTGATCCACTTGAACCACATTTGGAGTAACAAGGTTCTGGCAGACAGTAAGATAAAAATAAATAAGATAAGGATAAAAATTGGCATGGAAAGGAAAGTCCAAGGTACTTTTGTGGAGAGGTTGTAAATGGACCTTTTCTTCCAGTTTACAGACATTTAGAGACTGTGGGAGTTGAAATGATTCTCAGCCCAGAGAGCTACCTCGGATGTCATCTGGGCAGAGTCTGCTTCCTCTGTGGCATTCCCTTTCCCCACAGCCTTCACTGTGGCCGGTTGCCTGAAGGACTCTGGTTCTCCCATAGCCTCCCAGTGCTAGGAAGCCTAGGCTGCCGGAGGTGGCCTCATGAGGGTTTTGTCTCTTGCAGTGGGAACTTCATGAGGCCCTCGAACATCTGAAGAAAGAGCAAGAAGAGGCCTGGAAGCTTGAAGTTGGTGAAAGGAAACGAACTGCCACCTGGAAGGCAGGTTGCCTCGTGGGGAAAGGAGTTTGTGTCAGTCGTCCTGTGTGGTCCTGGAGCTGGCCTAGGGTAGCATTCTCATCACTGTGAGGCAGAATGTGAGGCTTGAAATCACAGAGCCTAGGGTTCTAATCCCTGCTTTCTCTGTCCCAGGCCTTAGGTAGGCCACGTCACCTCTTAATTCCAGTTTCTCCATGGGGATGTAGGGATAACCTCTGGTCTTGTATCCTCCTATATGAGAAAGGAAAAGCACATG
Source organism: Homo sapiens (assembly GCF_000001405.40). Taxonomy (NCBI): domain Eukaryota; kingdom Metazoa; phylum Chordata; class Mammalia; order Primates; family Hominidae; genus Homo; species Homo sapiens. The sequence continues at coordinate 4,602,991 of NC_000011.10, read as the reverse complement.
CTCACGTGTGTCAGCTCACAGTGGCATGGCTTATATCATGCTTGTAAAGCAGAGTTTCTCTTTCATTTTCCCAAGTTAGAGAATATTTGCTAAGAGTCTGGTTATTAAAATATTGTAAAATCACCTCTGAAATAAATTTGAGGCCAGTAAGTATCAAACTACTAGAACTTTTGATCAACAGAAAGTAACACTGAACCAATCTAAAACAGCATGTTGAACAGATATAATATCAACATGAAAATGAACCACCTAACAGTGTAGTTAAGTTACACTGCCTTAGAGACTTAAATGTAACACATCTTGTCATTATTCTGAAAATGGAAAATAGTCTAGAGCATGTAGTATTAAGATAATATCCTGGACCCTACTGGAGTCAATAAGAGTGACAATAGAGACCTAGAAGCATGTGGTGGAGCTGGGAGAACAGGAAGCTAGGAAAAATAGTATCCTTTATCTTTGCCCCTGCATAGCCTGTCACGTGGTTGGTACCATTGCAGAGTATGTGTGTATGCATATGTCAGTATGCTCGATACTGGGTGACTGAAAGTATCAGTGCTGATTTCCATCTTGGCTCCACAGATACAGGTGGAAACCCGAAAACAGAGTATTGTATGGGAGTTTGAAAAATACCAGCGATTACTAGAGAAAAAGCAGCCACCACATCGGCAGCTGGGGGCAGAGGTAGCAGCAGCTCTGGCCAGCCTACAGCGGGAGGCAGCGGAGACCATGCAGAAACTGGAGTTGAACCATAGCGAGCTCATCCAGCAGAGCCAGGTCCTGTGGAGGATGATTGCAGAGTTGAAAGAGAGGTCGCAGAGGCCTGTCCGCTGGATGTTGCAGGTGAGTAGTAGGTTTTCCTGGTAACCCTGAGTGACAGCTGAAGATAGACTGAGACTCCAGGAGAGAGCATCAGTTACCCTTCAGTAGGGACTGCCAGCCCTCTGCCAGCTGGTCATGGATCCTGTGTTTCCCCAGCTAATACCTGCTGTTTCCCTATCCCTGGCTGGTGGATGACCTGGTCTGTTGTAGCATCATAGGTGGGGCAGTGCTCAGGCAGCTCTGGCGTCATTCCAGGCCCTCTCCTCTAGCCCGAGAGTCTTGAGATGGAGCCTGAAATTGGCCAGTTCAGCCAAAGCTCAGCCTGCTCTTCCATCCTTCCATAGGCTTCTCCTTACCTCTGCATGGCATCTCTCCATTCTTGGTATCTGTCTCCCTTCCCCTAGAGAAACTCCCTGCCAGTTCGATGTCTGTTCCCTCTGAGGAATAGCACTTACTCAGATGCTGCATTTTTTTTTCTCCTTCCAGGATATTCAGGAAGTGTTAAACAGGTATGTTCTCACCCTTGGAGCCTCTAAGCAGCCCTGTAGGGGATAGTGAGGCCTAACTAGAGCCAGAAGTAGGGACGGAGCACAGACTCGGTGCACACAGAAAAGCAGGTGCTGGTCCACAGTCTCGTCCCACTTACATGGTAATGGCTAAGGAATCTTTGTTGATCTTTCCTTTTTCTTCTTTGTACTTGATCAAATGTATATCAAGTGAAGCTGTAAAATATGTGGTTTCAAGTAGATTGCTCAAAGAGGATAAAAGACTGCCCATGACTCCTTCATGTCCGACAGAAAATGTGTGCACTTCTTCCTCTCCCAGAATCAAATATACATCCAACCCTTCCCATAGCATGGGCATGCAGGTGTTCTCACCTCTGCACACAAACAGCTTGAGGCTCAGCCAAATAACCGTAACCATCATGTCTCTGCTTTGCTGGGGTTCACTATGTCCCTGGCCAAGCCCCTCTTCCCTGTACTAAGATAAGGCCCATGTGACAAAGCCGGGACTCCTGGCCCTGAGGTTCACCCTCCTCTACCAGGAGCAAATCTTGGAGCTTGCAGCAGCCAGAACCAATCTCCCTGGAGTTGAAGACAGATTGCCGTGTGCTGGGGCTAAGAGAGATCCTGAAGACTTATGCAGGTAATGGATCCTGGGGGAGACTGTAGTGGACAGTGGGAGGGACCCCTCCCAGAGATAGAAAATGGTTCAGTGCCCTCTGGGTGCTCCATCCAGCCTCACCCCTTCATCATTGAGAAATCTGTGGCTGAATTTATCAGAGGGCTCTCACCCATGTCCCCTGGCCCTATATCACTGTTACCAACCAGGACCTTTTCTTCTAGCTGATGTGCGCTTGGATCCAGATACTGCTTACTCCCGTCTCATCGTGTCTGAGGACAGAAAACGTGTGCACTATGGAGACACCAACCAGAAACTGCCAGACAATCCTGAGAGATTTTACCGCTATAATATCGTCCTGGGAAGCCAGTGCATCTCCTCAGGCCGGCACTACTGGGAGGTGGAGGTGGGAGACAGGTCTGAGTGGGGCCTGGGAGTATGTAAGCAAAATGTAGACCGGAAGGAGGTGGTCTACTTATCCCCCCACTATGGATTCTGGGTGATAAGGCTGAGGAAGGGAAATGAGTACCGAGCAGGCACCGATGAGTACCCAATCCTGTCCTTGCCGGTCCCTCCTCGCCGGGTGGGAATCTTCGTGGATTATGAGGCCCATGACATTTCTTTCTACAATGTGACTGACTGTGGCTCCCACATCTTCACTTTCCCCCGCTATCCCTTCCCTGGGCGCCTCCTGCCCTATTTTAGTCCTTGCTACAGCATTGGAACCAACAACACTGCTCCTCTGGCCATCTGCTCCCTGGATGGGGAGGACTAAGAAAGCTACCACCCTAACCAGAGAGGCTTGGAATTGGGCCTGGCCCCCATGGGGCTTGGAGGACCGAGCCACTGACAGGTATCCCCTGAAACTGAGCTGAGCCCAGTATCCAAGGATTCCTCTGTCTGATCCTTTGGTCTTTGCTACCAGGCTGAAGTCTGTCATGAAACCACTTATTTTAAAAAGCAGAGGCCCAGTCAAATGAGCATTGCATCCCATGAGGGAAGCACGACAGGGCTGATGGTGAGGATCAGAGCAGTTCTAAGGTGACTCGTTGGGGTAAGGATCAGGACTTTGTCCATGTAGTAGCCAACCACCCTCTTCCCTGATTCCCGTCCGGTGTCACAGTTCAGTCAGTGAGGATGATGAAGTAGATACAGTCTTCAGGACACCATTAGATGGGCTTTCCCAATAGGCCAAAAAAATGCTGCGCATACCCAGAGCTGGTTGTTGTGCTGAGGCCAGTCAGAGGATGCTTCCCCTGAGGTTTGCTATAACTAAGCAACCTTTATGTGACTCTCACCTTCTGACCTCCTGGCAAGAGAAATTCAGTGCAGCAGGGGGACACAGACCTGCCCAAGCCACCCCACTGCCGTTCCCTCTCTGAGCACAAGCTGGGCAAATCACTGTCCCTTGGACTCCAGGAGACCAGTGTCCTAGTCTTGCCTTTTTTCTCTAAGTGGCAGGATCAGAAAACCTGCGAGCTTTAGTTTGTATTTTCACTTTATGAATGAGGAAACTGAAATGGCCTTAAGGGAGCAAGTTATTTCTTTTTTTTTGACACGGAGTCTCACTCTGTTGCCCAGGCTGGAGTGCAGTGGCACGATCTCGGCTCACTGCAGGCTCTGCCTCCTGGGTTCACGCCATTCTCCTGCCTCAGCTTCCCGAGTAGCTGGGACTACAGGCGCCCACCACGACGCCTGGCTCATTTTTTTGTATTTTTAGTAGAGACGGAGTTTCACCATGTTAGCTAGGATGGTCTCGATCTCCTGACCTCATGATCCGCCCTCCTCAGCCTCCCACAGTGCTGGGATTAGAGGCATGAGCCACTGCGCCCGGCCCCTGGAGCAAGTTATTTCTTACAAAGCTGCTGAAGGTAAGATTATCAAAATTATAAAGCATTTTTCACACTCAAGTGAAACAAGGTTGACAAACTCACTTCGCAGGTCACATGCCTATACATCACTTATTATATTTGGGTCTGAAACTTCTCACATGTTTGGGAGGTTTTATGTGTCCTCATTGGGAAAATGGGTGTAATTCAGCATAAAACCTCATATGATTGTCCTGCCTCATGGAGCTGTTGTATAGATCCCAGATCCATCCCATGATTTGTTCCTGTCTGAGGCATAGAGGCAGGCAAGCCGTGGATTTTGCACATGGTGACTTTCCCACTGTGCCATGATACAGTCTGCATCTTATAGCAGTGCCTTTGTCTCAGGGCCTCTGCTGGCAGTCTAGACCTTTTGGGCAGAAAGGAGCTTCAAATGGCTGTGATAAGGAATATTAAAAATTGTGTTTCTACTTTAATTGTATTGGCTGTTCATGTATGTAGGAGTTAAAATAGGCCAAACTGGAGAAATAAACGCATTCTGTCCACCATGCTTCCAGACTGCTTCTTGAGAATCAGTAGTAGAAGGGGAGAAGTTTCCATCAGCTGCCTGGAGGGGAATGAGCTAGTGAGGCACAGACCCTGGTGCTGGCCAAGGGTTGAGCCTGCCTCAATTAGAGGAGCATCTTTGTCAGGGGATTCCCTGGGGGTAACTGAGAAGTAGGTCCCTAGGAAGGACTTCAGTTCTGTCTGTGGACAATTGGGACAAAAGGGTTAAGGGAAAATCAATGTTGTTCTTTGGCTATTAAGACAAATCTTGGAAGGTTCCTAGAAACGGAGGATTGTTAGCTGATAAATTCATTCGAACTTAGAATGAAGGAAGGAATGAAATGGCCTCATTTGTAATGTACTCTTTTTGGTTGGTTTGATTGTTTTTTACATTTATAAGCCTGTTTGGGTACTCTGATTACTTGTTAGAAGACTCGTAAGGTTAAACAATCCACATTATTACAGATTGTCTGATTTTTACGACCAGACAAGAAGATTGAAGCTCTAAGTGCCTGAAAACCCTTTTCTACAGAGTAGTTGTTTACACTTCCCTTCTGAGAACCATATGAAAACAAGGACCTTATTTGTCTGTTCACCACTGTACCCCTAGTCTAGTACTCTGTGTGTGTGTGTGTGTATTAAATATTTAAGTGAGGGAACTTTCATTCACATGACTAGAATCAAAACAAAAATAACCTGCTTTTATCTAAAAGGGGCAGTAAAAACTAGAGGATACCTAATTATACTTCTGTTCAAATATGAATTTAATGGATAATTTCTTTTACTGTACCTTTCATATGTGGTCTAGTAGGGCAGAAGGTAGGTGGCCATGTGGAGGTGGAGTGCCTGCACTGCTCCCTGCAATGCCTAGGGTGGCATCCCCAGTTTGGTGCAAGCCTTCACTGCAAGGCAGGGACAAGCTTTGCCTACTCTTGTTTTGCAGAGAAACTGACGGATGCAATACCTGAATGTTAAGGGAGAAGGCTGCAAAGAGGGTAAAATGCCTGGGTACTGCAAAGAAAGAAAAAAGGTAGACATAGGGGCAAAGCCTTGGGTTCAAAACTACCTACAGATAGGCAGTCTTCATTTTTTTCAATCAGGATTGGTTGTAATCTCTTAAAATCCAAACATTAAGGATCTACTGTGCATCCCAGGCACTAGTTAAGAGAGCACACGTGGCTTCATGTGATGGACCAGGGGCCATATCTGAATGTATGGTGAGAAGCACAGGTTTTTCCATTCGGGGTAGCCATGGAAAGGAATCAGCACACTTTGGGAAGTATGTGGTTCAGTAAATACTTGAGTACTAGCAGTAGGTTCCATCTACTTTTAGAATAATCCAATGAGAATGAAACGCAAACCTGGTAAGGCAAGCTTCCTGATGGAAATGCTGGGAAGAAATTAGTGTTTGGGGTGCAGGCTGGACTATAACTTTGTTGCTTTACATCAGATTCTTTAATGCATCTAATATGCTTTCATTTAATGGACCTAGCCAATTTTTCATGTTACTTATGGAGAAAGAATAATGTGACATTTCAAAATGAAAATCTTATCAAATGTGTTTAACAATCTTATAATCTTATAATCTTGTTTTTTTATGTTATAACCTCATAATCTTGTTTTGTTTTTACGTTAGGGGGTTGTGAGGGAAAAAAGTTTCACTTTCCTGCCCTTTGGGACCTCTGTGCATCATTATCAGATTTTTAAGAGGCTGATTTCTACTCTGCTGGTATTCAAAAATTGAATACATTCTTGGCAGGTAAACAAGTCTAATATTAGTAGAAAGTATAGATGTTAAGTTACTAAGGAGCTTGTCCATTTGAAAGAGTTGTCATATGAGTACTGGGCAGTATAGGACTACTCCCTTAAAATTATGGAATTAAAAATGTATTGGGTATATTTTTAAGTTCATACAATATGTCAGAGTTTGTGTTATCTGCTTTCCATGTTTTATTTAATTTTTAATACTCTGAATTAATGTTGTTTTTCAGTAGACAGGAAGTGTTAAGACTCAGATATAGTAGCTTGCTGTTAACAGTTTCCTCTCGCACTTTAATTTTAACACTAGTAGGAAATTATCTTTTTATTAAGATTTTCAAATGTACATATCTCTTATATATAAGATCTTTTTCTTTTAACGTATACTGATTACTCAGTTCAAGATTTTCTGAAGGGGAAAAACAAAACCAAAAATCATGGAAGCATCCAGTGACCTGGAGAAGAGTGATTACATTTCAACTTCCTTTTTTTTTTTTTTTTTTTATTATACTTTAAGTTTTAGGGTACATGTGCACAATGTGCAGGTTTGTTACATATGTATACATGTGCCATGTTGGTGTGCTGCACCCATCAACTCGTCATTTAACATTAGGTATATCTCCTAATGCCATCCCTCCCCCTTCCCCCCACCCCACAACAGGCCCTGGTGTGTGATGTTCCCCTTCCTGTGTCCATGTGTTCTCATTGTTCAGTTCCCACCTATGAGTAAGAACATGCGGTGTTTGGTTTTCTGTCCTCGTGATAGTTTGCTGAGAATGATGGTTTCCAGCTTCATCCATGTCCCTACAAAGGACATGAACTCATCATTTTTTTATGGCTACGTAGTATTCCATGGTGTCTATGTGCCACATTTTCTTAATCCAGTCTATCATTGTTGGACATTTGGGTTGGTTCCAAGTCTTTGCTATTGTCAACTTCTTTATCTACATTGTTTTCTATTAGCCTCTTCATCACAGAGCACACCCCCTGAGAGGTGCCCACAAGAAGAAAGACCTGTGTATATTTGATCCCTTTCTTTTATGCCTTAAGGTTAAGTTACACGGACTGGGACTAGGAAGCAACAAGAAAGATTTCCAAAACCAAACTTATATTAACTTAGCTTCTGTTGCTTAAAAACAAAAAGCTGGTAATTGGTTCACTAACTCCAACTAGCTTAACAATAGGAGATACATTTAAAAGTTAAGTGGTATTTTACAGAACATAACAATATACCTGGGTGTCCAAAGTGATTTGGAATCAGAGAACCAAGGACTTATTCTCTTCATCCGTTCTTGGTGATTGGCTTTTGATGCATGGGCCAATCCCAATTTTCTCCTTCCAGTTTATGTGTTGTAGAATTACCACCATCTCTGATCCCAAGTTTATATCTCCCCAGATGAACAGTAGACCATACAGCTTGGGAAGGACCCTGGTCTAGGTGTGGGCATTAGGACCCAAATGGAGTGAGATCACTATTGGGCCAGAGGGCAGGGTCATATATTAATAGCTTCTTCCATGTAATCACTTGGAGGAAAGAACAGTTCTGAGAATATCAGTCAGGTTAAGGGGAAGATACCAAACAGTTGGTCTCTTCAGCAGAGGGGATGGTAGGATATTAGGTAGGAAATATAGGTCAGAAGCTATAGAAGGAAAAATTACAGAGCTGTATTCTATACCAAACTTACTCTGATTCAGACACTATCATATTAACCCATTAAAAATGTCAGAAAATTAGAAACATTTCATTCATATTATTGGTAGAAATTTAAAAGTTACACAAAGATATCCTTTATAGCTTCATCTCAGATTTCCTTATAGTACCAGGTAAACCAATCCAGCTCCACAGATCTCTGAGGCATCTTTGAAGTTGGCTAGAATGCTCTGGATCTGAACAGATATTGTGTTCATGAACCCAGGTTGGAGTGGTCAAAGAGGAAGTGCATCAGATAACTCCATATTCCCTCCAGCAATTGTTTGGTCCTCATGCCATAGATGATGGGATTTAAAGTGGCTGGGATGATCACGTACAGGTCAGCTAGCAGCACTTGGGTGTGCAAGGGCACTATATCCTGCCCCAACCAGGCCGCATAGATGGATGCCATCCCAGGTAGATAGTACAAAGCCATAACCCCCACATGGGAGCCACATGTGCTTAATGCTTTCAACTGAGCAGTCTTTGAGGAGAGATCAAATACTGCCCTGAGAATTAAGATATAGGAGGCAGCAATGAAGGCCACATCAGAGCCCACCATAAGAGAGGAACCAATCAGACTGTAGAGACTGCTGGGCACGGGGTCAGCACATGCTAACCTGGCCAAAGCTATGTGCTTACAGTAGGAGTGGACAACCACATTGGAGCCACAGAAAGGTAGATGATTCATCATCCAACTCAGTGGAGTCATGAATGTGACAGCTCTGATGGTGACGGCCATACTCATTCCCAGCATCACTTGAGGCGTGAGAATTCTCTTGTAGTGTAGAGGCTTGCAGATGGCTACATAGCGGTCAAAAGCCATGGTCAGCAGCAGCCCCGTCTCCACAGCTGTGGCTAAGTGGACAAAAAACATCTGAGTGAAACAAGCACTAAAGCTGATGGAGCTGTCTCCCGAGCAGAAGATGCTCACCATCTTGGGTACCACGGAGGAGGCCATAACAATGTCCACAGCAGCCAGAACACACAGAAAGCAATACATGGGCTCATGCCGAGTGGAATCCATCCAGATTGCAGTCACGATGAGGGTGTTTCCTAACAGGGCTGTGATGTACATGGCACTCAGTGAGATAGCCAGCCAAAGATGTGAAGATTGCAGTCCTGGGATACCCACAAGGAGGAAGGAGGCAGGGGTTTCCATTGTGTGGTTGTAAGCTGGACCCAGCATCACAGGTGAGACTTCTTGCCTATTAATGTATAGATGATGTAAGAGAATGGTGCAGTCCTATAAGATTAGTTCCTCTTTGTGGTGCTGGGAAAACCTAGGGATATTCTCAGCTTGGTGGTATGGCAGGATCAGAAAAATGACTTCTAATACTGTGCTACTTTTCATCCTCCTTACAAGTTTCTATTCATTGTTGAAGGATCAGCTCGTGAATTCCTTCCTTAGGGACTTGTGTTCTGCTCTCTTCCTCACCCAACCCCATGCCCAGGTTAAGTTAATTACCTCTTTTGCAGTTTCCTGAAATCTCCTGTAGGGACTAAATCGACAATTCCAGTACTGTATGAGTTTATGGTATTCACTCAAGTGCCTTATAGGAAGATTGTGATCCATAGCTGTGGTCACAAGTCACTTGAGTGAAGATATATATACTCATTACAGTAAACAATTTCCACAGAAAGAACGATTAACAGAGGAAAGAATGACTTATCTCTGTGTGCTGTTACTAAATGTTGAAACCAGAACTTCTTGAAAACAAACATCACATTTTATATGCTCAGCATATTGCATAGACAAAACATAAATTCAGCATTCTTGTGATTCATGAAGTACGTTAGTAAGTTCAGTAAAATAAAACCATTAGAGAATAACATTATCACATTTTACAGGTGATTATAAATTATCTATAAATAAATATAATCCTTACCTTCTCTAAATTTACCCTGGATCCTATTCACTTTGGTTCAGTTAATAGATTAAATTACTACAAGGAAAATCTTAGGGTTACCTTATAGATGACCCCCCCTCCCCAATAAGTTGTTATGGTTCTTTAATACAACTAACTCCCTCTTCCTGATAACCAAGATGTTCCAAACAAGAAAGCTTTATCCTTTAGAAAGTTAAGCACTTTATTATTAACACAGTATGTGCCAGTACTATGTTAAAAGTGTAGTATTCATAATCTGAGTGTATTTCTCCATTTGTAATATAAGACAAACATCCATTCCATACAACACAGTTTGTATAACTTAGATTAAATATTCTAGCCAAGATCATGTAGTACGTGTGTGGTAAGTTTTGGGTTTAAGCTATGACTCCCAGGTGTCCATCCAGCCCAACATAAATAGTCAACAAGACAACTATGGATAAAACAAGGTTAGGGGTTTCACTTGGCCACGTTTGATGAGACAAAGATAGCTACTGCTGTGCACAGCCAGCAGCTGAGCTCTACCACTTGTTCATCTCTGTTTATTGATGTATTCACCCTCCATTGCCTCATTCAGGTGTTACCATATCATATAATATGTAACAATCTAAGTGGGGAAACCTGAATATAAAGAAGTCAGCATTAACTACCATTCTATTCCTGTGTGATAGCTGTTTAGTTACTCTCTCCTTAGGATGATTGGTTTCCATGATTTCATATTCATATGGTGTTTGGTCATAGGCACATTTTCCCTGCCATCTGAGAAGACTCCTTACAAGGGGAGGCTCCTTCCTCTGATGTTATCACCTAGCTTTTGGAGACATTGGTTAATCTTCTTCATGGAACCCCTAGATTCTATTTCATCAGAATAGAGCGTACAAATCCTGCATACTTTTGTGTACCCTACTCAAAATATGTTATTGGTCCCACATCATCAAAGGGCAGGATAGCAAAGTGGCAAAAAGCATCGGTTCTAGATTCATACTCCTAGACTGAAAACCCTACTCTATCGCTTGCTAGCCATTTTGCATCAGTCAAATTATGTAACTCTCCAAGCCTCAACTTCTTCACCCATTAGAGTTAATAATACTTCACAGAGATATTTTGAGATTTAAGTGATAAGCTATGTAAAAGTGCTTAGTGTAATGCTTGGTACATAGGTGTTCAATAAAATATAGCTATAATATAGTAAAACAGAAGACGGTTTTCCCTGCCTGATTCTATACTTCTAGATTGCTCCAAATAACATCCTTAAATGGGTGTATGTGATTTGAAGACCACATTTACAAAGTAAAAAGCAGCTCATCCTGCATTGCCTGAAGAATTTCTCTTGTCCTCCCATGAGTTGCCACTGAAGATGTCTCACCCAGTGGCTGTGCACAACAAGTTTCTCCTCATTGGACTATGATAAGAGCCCACTATCTGTTCCATTATAGGTCAATTCTCAAGTTTAGGATTTTTTGTTTGCTTTGTTGCTATTTTTTTTTCTTCATCACACTTGTGAAAAAGTTTTCCTTAGTTTTTCCTACAACCCATCTCTAATAAGAAAGCCAAGCATAGCTCACATTTCTGCTGCCATAAAACAACTCTTGCCAAACTGAATTCAGATTAAGGATAGAGTGGAGGTGGGTATGAAAAATATTTTTTCCAGGCTAAATTAGTGCTTCAAATATTTTTTCTATTGTTCTCAGATAATTTTCTTTCCTTAGGACGTGGGCATATGCCTTTGTCTCAGACCTGGACTTAGAATCTCAAGTGTAGACCAGACCATATTAAATACAATTGATCTCCTTCCTAAAACCCTCATCACCCTAGTATTGTATCTCAAGGGCTCAGCCTAATGAGTCACCACAGCAACTGTGTGATTTGTTTTGACATAACAGTAGTCATATATCGCTCAAGAACTGTTTCTTAGGTGTTCACGCAATCTTAAATGAAAGGTGCTCATTTGCCAAGCCTCAAGACCAGCCTGCTTTAACTATCGCTTCCTGTGCCTCTCCTGAAAAAAAGGACTTTCATCGTGAGAAGTTACCATATCCTTACCCTTGGATACTGTCTCAAGCTACCTCTTTTTACCTCTTGTCAGGGTTCTGGCTCCTCTCTGAGTAGTGGAATAAATCAGATTAATGGAATTCTGTGCCTTGATCCCATCTGCTGTGGTACACATTTTCTCTCTTAGCCAAGCATTAGGTGAGCATTCGTCAGGTTCTCAATCCTAATCCTGGGACATACATTTGCTCCTTCAGTTCACCTCCTACAGAGCCTAGCACTGATGGGCTCCATAGTTAGGTACCACCAGCAGCTGTGGTAAAGTCCTCAGGAGTTTTATTTAAAAAATCAAGTTTTGGAGACATGATTACAGACTGTGATCTATATGAAACAAACCAAAAATAAAATCCCTGAGCTTAAGAAATACTATATCATGGCACAGATTGAATAAATTAGTGATATCCACATCATAATCAGATTATAAAAACCTTGCTGTGTAGCTACTGGGTGAGACATCTTCAGTGATAGATCATGAGAAGACAAGGGAAAGCTTTTGAAGTAGAACGGTAGTGAAGAGTGAAAGAAAAAATCAGGGTATGCTTGAGATTGCCGCATGTGTTCTGGATGCAACAAACTCAGACTTGTGCATTATTGCATAAAGGGCTGCATAAAGCTTGAGAATCCAAACAGCCTCTTCCCCACTCACCTCTGATCCAGAATGTTCCTCCCCTGGCTGCCCTGTTTAAATTCACCTTTCTTCAAGAGGCAGCCTCAGCTGATGCTGAGGCCTCAGCCCTGGAAGCTCTAATTGGGCATACCTTTCATGCCCTTGAGAGTGTTTTTCTTTTTAATCTCCATTTACGTTTCTTCTCAATTAGCGTTGCTGGAGATTTACATTGTCAGTCTTTGCAAAGAACAGGACACTCGGTTTGGTTAGTTGTTTCTTTCTACAAATATTTATTTCAATCAGCCTATTGATACTGAACATTGTTTGGCTAAGATTAACGTTGATCTCCATCAAGCATCTGTTGCCAGTCCAGTAACTCTTTTTCCTTTTGTTTTACTTGACATCTCCAAAACATTTAACACAACTGCCTGCTCCCTGATTTTTCATTAACTTTTTAAAACACTATGAATATAATGGGAAATGCACAAATCTCAGATAGATAGCCTGATAAATATTTATTATGTGAACACATGAACACACCTACATAGGCACTACTGAGGTTAAGATACAGACACCAGTGCCCTCTGGTTGTTAATGTTTACTGTTTTCAGAAAGCTCTGGTAAGTTATCCTAAGATCTATTTTCAGCCCTGCACCTGCCTTTGCCTTCAATACTGTGGGGATATTCACATGCAGACCTGGAGAGCCAATTACTTAAAACTAGCACAGAAAAGTCCCTTAATTTCAACAACTCATGATTCACAAATCATAAGATATGGGAGAATGTTTCATTTCTATTAAAAGAGTGAGGAATACATAATTCAAAATGAAAATGTCTTAAAGGTAAAAGAACTAAGGCATATGCATTTGAATCAAGCCTTTCTGTTTATGATAACCCTTTCTTCCTACCTGGATACTTCCCCTCTTCAGCCAAACATGCACCCAATCAGCCCTACTACTGGGTTTTTTTCCTCATAACTGTTCTTAGTCCCATAAAACTGTCTCTCCACCATGCCAATATCATACCTACCCCTTCCTCTCTGCTTTCAATTAATTATATGTCCCATTCTCTCTCCCACCTTTCCTATCCAAATATCATTTTCATACATTCTTGGTATCAGTAATACCCACCACACCTAGACAGCCCTGTATAGGAAGAGTAAAGGCTTATATTTTCTATTCTGGGGTGATCTGGCCTTCAGACTCCATCAGCCCAACACTAATGCCCAAGTCAGTTACCCACAGTCTGAGAGTTTTCTCTGTTTAACTTTCTCCAATGAGTCCATGCCTCATAGTCCACATTTCTTTCACGCAAAAGAAGAGGGGTTAATACAGGATACCTTCGGAGGAGCAGGAAGTGCAAACACAATCAAATACGAACAAACAATGGAGAGTCATATTGTCCTTTCCAAAGACTTCTCATTGGGGCCCTCTTTTCCCTCTGGATACTCAATCATCCTGCCTTGTCCCTGGACACCCACCTTCCTTTGGCCTCTACCCAGCAACCAAACATTGCTACTCCTCAAGAGACTGGTTTATCTTTGTGCTCTGGCCCCTGGGGATTTCCAGATAGCAGGAGGAGGCAGATGCTTACTGGCTGAAGAGTCTGTTTCTTCAAGTTTTCAGAGGATACCTAAAAGTTAGACTAAGAGTATAAAGTGTATCCTGAAAGGAAAACAAACAAACAAACAAAAAACCATGATAGGTAGGATTTGTGAAAGTTCACTAAGTGCCAGGCATCATAACAAATGCTCTTTTCAAAGATTATCTCAGTCAGTTTTCAAAACCTCCTGAAGTAGCTGCCATCATCACATCAACATCTTATAGATGAAAGCTGAGGCTCATAAAAGTCACAAAGCAAGTAAGCCAGAAAGTCAAGAGCTAAATTCTAATAACCGTATTTCACTTCACTTTATGGTAGAACTATTCACACTGACAGTGTACTTCATATCTCAAAGTCGAGTTCACATTTCCTCAGTTCTGCCTGGGGACTCGGGCCAGGTTTCACTGGTTAGATGTTTCCCATGACGCTGTTATAGCATCCTGTTGAACGGAGAAGGGAAAGAGGATGTAGGGGAGGGCAAGGAAGATGAGTTTTTCAACTGGAGATAGGGCATGCACCTGAGCACAAAAGTATGAGAAGGGACATATTCTCCAAATAGAGGATAAACCAGAGGCAGTAGAGTCAGGGGACTTGAAAGGGATTGAAAATACAAGAGGCTAGAGGGGTGCATGGGGCCATGTTTTAAAGTTCATGTCTTCTGCCTGAGCATCATCTGTGGAAAGGAATAAAGTTGGCAGAAAAGAGTCAACAGGCACAAGCTATAAAGTTTCTAGTGTTTTTCTTTTTAATGGCGAAGGGTAGATAACTATTTGGAAGTATGAAAAACTAAGAAATAGAGTTGCATGCTCTCAGTTCCCCAGATCCTAAGTGGACACATAGCTGTTCATGAAGAGAATGGTGAGCGGTCTTTGTTGTCTTTCATTTTAAGAGTTGGTGAGGCAGGAGCAGGAAGAGGCTTTGTGCCTTCCTCAGCCTAACCTAGCACATTCCTAAAGAGCAGGGAAACATAAGTTCAATCAAATGTGTATTCTCTACCAAAACTTGTCTCTGATTCAGATACAAGTTGATTGAATCCACTGAGAAAGCCCTCAGAAAATCAGAAACATTTCATTCACATTCCTGCTAGTAATTGAAAAGTTATGCAAGGATATCCTTTACACCTTCATCTTAGAATTCCTGTAGCACCAGGTAAACTAAGCTCTGCAGATCTCTAAGGCATCTTTGAAATTGGCTGGATCTGAACAGATATTGTGTTCATGAACCCAGGTTGGAATGGTCAAAGAGGACATGCATCAGATAACTCCATATTCTCTCCCGCAGTTGTTTGGTCCTCATGCCATAGATGATGGGATTTAAGGTGGCTGGGATGATCACGTACAGGTCAGCTAGCAGGACTTGGGTGTGCAAGGGCACTACATCCTGCCCCAACCAGGCCGCATAGATGGATGCCATCCCAGGTAGATAGTACAAAGCCATAACCCCCACATGGGAGCCACATGTGCTTAATGCTTTCAACTGAGCAGTCTTTGAGGAGAGACCAAATACTGCCTTGAGAATTAAGATATAGGAGGCAGCAATGAAGGCCACATCAGAGCCCACCATAAGAGAGGAACCAATCAGACTGTAGAGACTGCTGGGCACGGGGTCAGCACATGCTAACCTGGCCAAAGCTATGTGCTCACAGTAGGAGTGGACAACCACATTGGAGCCACAGAAAGGTAGATGACTCACCATCCAACTCAGTGGAGTTATGGCTATGATAGCTCTGATGGTGATGGCCATACTCATTCCCAGCATCACTTGAGGCGTGAGAATTCTCTTGTAGTGTAGAGGCTTGCAGATGGCTACATAGCGGTCAAAAGCCATGGTCAGCAGCAGCCCCGTCTCCACAGCTGTGGCTAAGTGGACAAAAAACATCTGAGTGAAACAAGCACTAAAGCTGATTGAGCTGTCTCCTGAGCAGAAGATGCTCACCATCTTGGGTACCACCGAGGAGGCCATAACAATGTCCACAGCAGCCAGAACACACAGAAAGCAATACATGGGCTCATGCCGAGTGGAATCCATCCAGATTGCAGTCACGATGATGGTGTTTCCTAACAGGGCTATGATGTACATGGCACTCAGTGAGATAGCCAGCCAAAGATGTGAAGATTGCAGTCCTGGGATACCCACAAGGAGGAAGGAGGCAGGGGTTTCCATTGTGTGGTTATAAGCTGGACCCAGCATCACAAGTGAGACTTTTTTCCTGTTAATGCACAAATGATGTATGAGAAGAATGCAATCCCGTAAGATTTGTTGACACATGTGGTGCTGGGAAAACCTAAGGATATTCTCAGCTTGGTGGTAATCTCAGGATCAAAAATGTGGCATCTGACAAAATTATCCTGTACCACTTTTATCCTCCTTAATATTCTTCCCTTCCAAATTTGTATTCATTGTTCATGGATCAGCTCATGGCTTACCTCCTTTGGAAAGCCTTTTCTGCTTTCTTCCTTCCCCATTCCATACCCTTTCATCTGAGCTTTCATACAATCTCCCATCGTGACCTCAGAGACTAAATTGATCATTGTAATGCTCTCCCTAGACTTTATTGTGTGCATTAAGGTGTATGTCTCTTGTTTATGATCTTATACAAAGGGTGTAATCCATAACTGAGGTCACAAGTCTATTAAAAAGAAGTCTATTAATATATGTTTATTATGGTTAAGTTTCCACAGAATGAAGGATAAACAGAGAAATGAATCTGTCTTTCATCTCTGTACGCTCAGTTACTAGTTGTTATATGAACAAAAACTTCCTGAGGTCAAACATATCGTATTTTTTATCCTTGGTACAGTGCCTATAAAAAAATATGAAAGAAGTATCCTTGTGGTAAAAGAAATACATGAATGAGTTGGGAAAAATAAGATCATTAGAGAACAACATAATCAGCTTCCATAGGAGATAATAAAGTACCTGGAAATATAATCCTTACCTTCTCTAAACTTTGCCCTGAATATCCTATTTACTTAGGTTCAATTAATAGATTAAAATACTACAAAGAAAACCTTGGGACTACCTTATAGATGAACTTTACCCAGTAAGCTTTTATGATTTTTCAATGCAGCTATTTTTTCATGATAAACTACCAAGACATTCCAGGCAACAAGGAAGCTTTATCCTTTAGAAAGTTAGGCACTTTATTATGAACATAGTATGTGCTAGTACTATGTTAAAAAGTGTAGTATTCATAGTCTGAGTGTATTCCTTCATTTGTAAAATAGATCAAACATCCATTCCATACAACACAGTTTGTATAACTTAAATGAGATTAAATATTCTAGCCAAGATCATGTAGTAAGTGTGTGGTAAGTTTTGGGTTTAAGCTATGACTCCCAGGTGTCCATCCAGCCCAATATGGATAGTCAAGAAGACAACTGTGGATAAAACAAGATTAGGGGTTTCACTTGGCCAGGTTTGATGAGACAAAGATAGCTACTGCTGTGCACAGCCAGCAGCTGAGCTCTACCGCTTGTTGATCTCTGTTTATTGCTGCATTCACCATCCATTGCCTCTTTCAGGTGTTACCATATCATATAATGTGAATAATCTGGCTGGAGAACCCAAAATAGAAGTAGTCAGCCTAAACTGCCATTACAGTCCTGCGTGGTAGCCCTTTAGTTACTTTCTCCTTAGGATGATTGGTTTCAATGATTTCATATGATGTTTGGTCACGGACACATTTTCCCAGCCATGTGAGAATACTCCTTGCAAGGGGCGCTGCCTCTTCTGGTGGTAACATTCAGCTTTGGGAGACATTGGCTGATCTTCTTCATGGAACCCCTAGGTTTTTTTCTTCAGAATACAGCCTACAAATCCTGCATACTTTCATGTACCACACTCAAAATGTGGTACTGTTCCTACATCATCAAGAGGCAGGATAGCGAAGAGTCGAAAAGTATTGGTTCTAGATTCATACCCATAGACTTAAAAATCCACTCTATCACTTGCTAGCCGCTTTGCCTTAGTCAAATTATGTAAACGCACCAAGCCCCAGTTTCTTCATCCATAAAAAGGAGATAATAGTACATACATCATAGAGATATTTTGAGACTTAAGTGATAAGCTTTGTAAAAATGCTTAGCATGATGCATGGTGCTTAGGTGCTCAATAAAATGTAGCTAATATAAAATGAAACTGTTTTCCCTGCATAAATCCCATACTTTTAGATTGCTGCAAGTAGCATCCTTAAATGGGTGTGTGTGACTTGAAGACCACTATTAAAAAGTAAAAAGCCACTCAACCCACATTGCCTGAGCTTTTCTCCTGTCGTCCCATAATCTACCACTGAAGATGTCTCAACCACAGGCTATACGCAGCAAGATTCTTCTAATTGGACTATGATGAGGAGCCCACTATCTGTCCCATTATAGATCAGTTCTCAAGTTTAGAATTTTTGTTGTCTGCTAGCTTGCTATTTTTTTTTGTTTCTTCATCATACCTGTGACAACCGTCTCCCTTACTTTTGCCTACAACCCATCTTTAATAAGAAAGCCTAAGAATGGTTCCACTTCTGCTGTCATATAACAACTCTTGCCAAACTGAATTCAGATTAAGGAGTGGAGGCAAGTATGACAAATATTTCTTTTTCAGGCTAAATTGCTACTTCAACTCTTTTTCCTATTGCCATTAGATCATTTTGCTTCCAGAGAAATGGACATGTAGGTTGGTCACAGACCTGAACTCCAGATGCCAAGAATGGACTAGAATATGTTAAGGACACGTGATCTCTTTTCTCAAACCCTCATGGTTCTAATTTGTATCTCTCAAGGCCTCAGCCTAGTAGTTCACCACATCAATTGTGTGATTTGTGTTGACGTAACAGTAGTCATATATAGCCCAAGAACTGTCTTAGGTGTTCAGGCACTCTTAAATGATGTGTGCTTATTTGCCAAGCCTCAAGACTAGCTTGCTTTGTCTATTTCTTCCTGTGCCTCTCCTGAATAAAGGGTTTCCATAGTAAGAAGCTGCCATATCCCTACCCTTGTATACTGTCTCTAGTTTCCCCTTTTTAAGTTCTCATCGGGGCATCACTTCTACCTGAGTGATGAAATAGATCAGATTAATGGAATTCTATGCTCAGAATCCCATCTACTGCAGTAGACATTTTCTCTGTTAGCCAAGCACTAGAGGAACATTTACCAGGTTCTTAATCCTAACCAAAAGACATATATTTGCCCCTTCAATTAACCTCCTAGAAAGCCTAGCACTGATTGACTCCACACCCAGGTGCCAACAACAGCTGTGATAGGAGTCCTCAGTTGTTTTCTAAAAAGCCAAAATTCTTGGACATGATTACAAACTGTGGTCTGTATAAAAGAAATAAACCTACAACAAGAAGAAAATCCCTGAGTTTAAGAAATGCTATATCATGGAACAGATTGAATAGAGTAGTGAGCTCCACATCACAGTCAGTTTATAGGAGCTCACTGTAAACTGCTGGGACACTGGGCGAGACATCTTAAGTGATGGATCACAAGAAGATTAGGGAAAGCTTTTGAAGTAGAATGGTAGTAAAGAGTGAAAGAAAATTCAGGATATGCTTGAAACTGCCGCATGTGTTCTGAATGCCACAAACTTAGGCTTGTGCATTATTGCATAAAGGGCTGCAGAAAGCTTGAGGATCCAAACAGCCTCTTCCCCACTCACCTCTGATCCAGGATATTCCTACCCTGGCTGCCCTGTGTAAATTCACCTTTCTTCAGGAGGCAGCCTCAGCTGATGCTTGCCTCATCCCTCCTCTCACCAGCCCTGGAAACTAACTGGGCATACCTTTCATGCCTTCGAGAGTGGTGGGTTTTTTTTTAATTCTTCATTTACTTTTCTTCTTAATTAGCACTGCTAGAGATTTAATTGTTAGTAATCTTTTCAAAGAACAGGATATTTGATTTTGTTGGCTGTTTCTTTTTAAAATATTTATTTTACTCAATGTATTGCTACTGAAAATTTCTTGGCTAAGATCAAATGTCATCTCCATCAAGGATCTGTTGCCAGTGACTCTTTTTCTTCCTGTTTTACCAAAACATCTCACACAACTGCCTGTTCCTTCACTTTCTGGTTTTGTTTTTGAGCCATTATGGACATGCTGGAAAATGCACAAATCTCAAATGTTCAGTTAGATGAATAATTACAATGTGAACACATGAACACACCTATGTAGGAACAAATCAAGATATACATACTATTGCTCTCAGGCTGGTAAGGCATACTGTTTTCAGAATGCTCTGTCCAAGTTCTCCTAAGACATATTTCTAGCACTGCACCTGCCTTTGTTTTTAATCCTGTGGAAACATTCACGTGCAGATCTGGAGGGCCAATCACCGAAAAGTAGCTTTAAAAAGTTCGACCGGACATGGTGGCTCAGCCTGTAATCCCAGCACTTTGGGAGGCCGAGGTGGTAGGATTGTCTGAGCTCAGGAGTTCAGCCTGGACAACATGGCAAAACCCCGTCTCTACTAAAAATACAAAAAATTAGCTGGGCATGGTGGCGAGCACCTGTAGTCCCAGCTACTCAGGAGGCTGAGGCATGAAAATTGCTTGAATCTGGAAGGTGGAGGCTGCAGTGAGCCAAGATCATGCCACTGCACTCCAGCCTGTATGACAGAATGGAGACACCATCTCAAAAAAAAAAAAAAAAAAAAAATGAAAAATAAATAAATATAAAAATAAAAAGTTTCTTAATGTCAATAACTCATGATTCACAAAGCACAAGACCTGTGAGGATTTTTCATTTCTATTAAAAGAGTGGGAAGTACATAATTCAAGTTGAAATTGTCTTAAAGGTAAAAGAACTAATGCATAACTCATTTGAGTAGAGCCTTTCCCTTTATGACAACCCTGTGCCTTTTCCTGAGTACCTCCACTGTCCAACCAAGCATACTCCCAGTCACCCCTATTGCTTGGATTATTTTCTTATAACTTCTCTTGGTCCCTGAAAACTGTTACTCCACCAGCTCAAAATTGGACTTACCCTTTCCTGTCTCTGCTTTGAAGCAAAGTAACCATATTTCCGTTCCCTCTCCACCTCCCTCATCCAAACATCATTTCCATAAGGTCTTGATAGCAGATATACCACCAGACCTAGACAGCCCTATATGGGAGGCATGAGGCCTTATAACTTTCATTCTGGGGTGACCCAGCCTTGATGTCAGGTCATCAGCCCAACATTCGATCTCTATCAGCCCAACACCTGATTCCCAGGTCAGTTACCTACATCCTTGGAATCTTCTCTATTCAACTTTCCCTGATGGGTTGATGCCTGGTAGTCTACATTTCTTTTACTCAGAAGAAGAGGGATTTGTACAGGACTCTTCAAGAGGAGCAGGAAAAAATGACACAAAATCAATGAACAATGGATAGTCATGGGGAGAAGTATTTTCTTTTCCAAAGAATTCCCATTGGGAGCTCCCTTTTCCCTCTGGATACTCTATCATCCTGCCTTGTCCCTGGACACCCACCTTACCTTGGCCTCTGCCCAGCAGCCAAACACTGCAACTCCTCCAGAGACTGCTTTTTGTGTGTGTGCTCTGGCCCCTGGGGCTTTCCAGATTGCAGGAGGAGGCAGATGCTTAGTGGCTGGAGAGTCCTTGTTTCTTCAAGTCCTCAGAGGATACCTAAAAGTTAGACCAAGAGTATAGAGTACAAACTGAAGGAAAAAAGAAGATCCAATATTGGTAGGATTTGTGAAAGGCCACTATGTGCCAGGCATCCTAATAAATGCTTTTCAAAAATTAGTCAGTTTTCAGAATCTCCTGAAGTAACTGTCATCATTGCATTGACATCTTATAGATGAAGCCGAGGTTCATAAAGGTCACAAAGTTAGTAAGCAAGTGAGTTTAAGATCTAAATTCTGACAACCATAAGTCACTTTATTTTATCGTAGAACTATTCACACTAACAGTGTACTTAATATTTCAAAGTCCAGTTCACTCTTCCTCGTTCTGCCTGGGGACTCAAGGTAGGCTTTGCTAGTTAAATGTTTCCCATGACACTACTATCATGTCCTATTGAATGGAGAAGGGAAATAGGATGTTGGGGAGAGCAAGGAAGATGAGCTTTTCAAATTGGAGATAAGAAATGTGCCTGAGCACAAAGGTATGATAAGGGAAATGTTCTCCAAATAGATAATAAACCAGAGGTGGTAGAGTCAGGGGCCTTCAAAAGGAATGAAAATACAAGAGGCTAGAGGGGTGTATGGGGCCATGTTTTAAAGGTCATGACTTCTGCCTGGGCATCATCTTTGGGAAGAAATAAAGTTGAGAGAAAGAAGTCAACAGGCAGAAGATATAAAGTTTATTGTATTTTTAATGGCAAAGAATATATAAATATTTGGAAATATAAAAAATCGGGAGACAATGCTGCATATTCCCAGTTCCCCCAATCCTCAATGGAGACATAGGTATTTATGAAGATAATGGTGAGAGGCCATTTGTTGTCTTATTTTGAGGGGTGATGAGCAAGGAGTGGGAAGAGGCTTTGTGCCTTCTTCAGCCTAAACTAGCACATTCTTAAAGACCAGGTGGACTTCAGTTTAACTTCACATCTGATAGAAGACCCATTCTTCAAGCCTGCAAAATGACTAGTCCTACCAACACCTTAGTATTTTGAACTCCAAAACCTGTGCATCCTGTTTCCTGTAGGGTCATTCAGAGAGCAGGCCATAACATAAACATCAACTAGCATACTGAACATTGATAAGTGAACAGTCAAATGCAGAAGACAATTAAGATATGATTTAAGTAGCCCCAGCATGAGATGAGTCAGCTAAACTGGGATACTCTCTGCTAAGATTCAACCTGTTCCTACGGAAGCATTCAGAGCAGTAGTGGATCCTCACAAACAGATGGTGGCCTTAAACTCACTTTTTCATTCCCAGTCCCATGGCAGAAGACTTCCAAATAGAAATATTCCAAAAAGGACAAAGACCTAAGGTAACAGAATAATGATACAAGAGAAGGTATTCTACGTGGAAGCAAGAGCTTTCAACATCTTTGATTGTCCCTCCTTTGTCATTATTTGCCCATAGTCCTTGCCATTCAGCCTTTACAACCTGCATCATATAGAAGAATGCCTAGGATGACGTAAAACCAATCATTGAACAAAGCTGCCATAGCCTGTAAGAGAACAGAAAAAGCAGAGAAAAATAGGTAAGAGTTGTATATCTCAAAAATTGAGCAGAAATGTTTGATTTTGTGTCCAGCTAAAATTGCCTTCTTGTGTTCAAGATAATACGGCTAAAGAAACCCAAGAAATATTGACAAGGTCTTCAAACTTCAGAAAACAGTTCAATTCCTTCATCTCTCCCTTTTCAAATCTCCACACTGTACTCCAACACAAAAGAGGCATTTAGAAATACATAAAGATCTATCCTCAGGAACACACATGTCATCTCAGTCTATTGACTTGGCTATTTACATTAGTTGATGCAGAATCTTGAGGTCCTGAAAGTCCCCCGCCCCAAATATTACTAAGATTCCCCAGGAGGTACCTGTAGTAGTTATCACAAATGAAACCCCGTGTTCCATTTCTGGCATTCGTGCCCCAGTGTAAGCCCCTCTTCCTGAGTGGTGCTGGACCTAATGGTTCACTTCTACTGAATAGAATTCTGCAAAAGCGGTGAGATTTCACTGTCCAAATTAGTTATAAACACACAGTGCTTTCCATCTTACCCTGTCTTACTGTCTTTCTCACCCTTTAAAAGGTAACACAGTATTGATGATTAATGTCGATGGCTGAACTTGGCAAAGAGTGTGCAAAAAAGAAAAAAGACTAATCTTCTTATAAGAACTGACCCAAAAATACTAAATAAAATATTAGCAAATATTGGAGTGGCTTAGAATAGGGACTTCTCAAATGTTAATATGTATACTTTTTACATCAGTGTTGTAGGCATCAGGGGTATGTTAAGCTCCAGACTGAAGCCAAGAAAGAGAATTTAGATGCTGAATTTCTAGCTGATAAAGTGACATATAGGTCTATATTCGGTATCTCTAATGACTCCAACCTATTTGGATCCATTTTGTAGTCTTTTTTGTAATGGAAATTTGCACTTAAAATGGACTAGGACACACATTAGGCAGCTGAAGAAAGTATAGCATAAAAGGAAGAGATGATATAGTCGACAAGTGGCTAGATTTTAGGGTATAGTGGAAATCTTTGCCTGCAGACGTTATAACCTCAGAAGTTACGTTGAGGGGAACTAGGGATTAAGTCTGAAATTCATTAGGCCAAAGCTTTGTTCCTATTTGCCACCTCAGCATAAAGGCAAATGTCCGGCTTGTGTGTGTATGTGTGTTTGTGTGTGCATACACGCATGCGTGCAAGTATTGATACACAAGTCCCATGTCAATCACACAGTCCTTTTTGCTTAAGCTAATTTTCACTAGGAAGAACCCTGCCATATTTTCCAAGGGAATAAATTCATTTTGGGCCATCAAGAGCCAGCCATAATACCACCTAATGAAAAAATCTACAAGATTCTAGTTATTTCTTCACAAAAGTATCTCTTTTTTTATTACAGAGAATGCAACAGAATTGTTCAAACAGCAGAATATCCTTAGAGATGGATCAGCTTAATGAGTCTCTTGAGATTGAGGTTCAGGTCAAGACACATCAATTACTTAAGGTCTTTGGCCTCCTGCCAGGAGAATTTATCACTTCCAGCTCTCTACGTGTGTCCTTCTCTACAATTTCCATTGCTAAAAAGTTAACCAATAAATACAAGCACATTTTAAGTGAGCTTTAAATGTATTTTCCAAATTTGTCTGATATTTTCGTTCTAATAGTTTTGTTTCTGTTATTTTATGCCTGAATCTTTTAAAAACCAAAATTGAGAAGGTGAATATATTTTTTGTCTGTTTATATTGCTTCTTACAGACTTTTATTTATTTTTGGTCCTCATTTTTAAATTATGTTTAATTTTATTCTACCTGTTTCATAATGTCTTAACAAACAGGAACTATGATAAGAAGCATGGGAGCAACAATGGGAGAGTCCATTCTATCATCAGGAAAAGTCTGACCATTTATTCCCTTCACCCATTGTAACGTATATGGATGTGTTTTGGTCAAGGAATAAGCCAAGGCAGATATCCAGGCCTGCATGATTCAGCAAGTTTGTTGCACAGGTGCACACTTCTACTTGTTATATAGATTGTTTGTGTAAGTTCATACTTGGCTCTGAGCCACTATTGTCTGTAAAAGGTATAATTGCCTTGCTAACACTATACAGGGACTTTTGGGGCTTGGCTCAACTCAACATGGCTCTAGTGCAGGCGCTGGTGCCCAGAGAAAGAGAGCCAAAGCTGTCCATTTTGCAGATGGACAGAGGGGACCCACAACACAGCTCACACTGGTGCCCAGAGAGAGAAAAAGTTAAGCTGCTGACCCTGAAGCCAAGGGTGAGCCGGCTATGCAGCTGCAGGCATGGGGGCGGCAGGAGCCACAGAGCCAGAGCACACAGTTGAGATAAAGGTGGACAGTGTGAGAAAGTTGTTAATAAGAACTGCTGCTGAATGAAGTCATCTTTCACCTGCATATGGACCCCCGAGTGTTCTTTCTGTTCATCCACCCACTCCCCTCGGACTTCAGCATGGGCTGGACCTGAACCCTAGGATCTGACACCCATCTCAAGTCCTCTCAGAAGACTAATCAGATATAAACTTTCCCCAGCTGTAAACTGTGTAGCTCCACACAGATCCCCCCCTTGAAGCACTCATTACCTCATAAGCTGGGAGCTATCAGCTGCTGATAGTTCACACCTACATTTCTTTCAGGAATTACCTTCAGCCAAAGGGAACTCTATTACCCTAAATTAGCCACCCTCCGTTTGCAATGATTGTATTTAATGACTAGTTGATGGTGAGTTTAAAGGCCTGACTCCCTTGCCTAACTCAGGACAAGTGTGTAGGACCATCTCTACTCCAGAGTTTCTCGTAAATCAGCTGGGAAGTCTGATGAAACTCCGTTGTAATTCACCTTCTCCCTCTGCAAAATTCTGCTTCCTTTGCACCTGTTGAGACATTGTTTGTGAGCTTACTTTCTGATAAACTTTCAGCATGGAAAGGTCTCAAAGTCAGTTTCTAAGGAACCCAACTTAAGACAGTTGATAGCAGGAATGGCCCCAGAAAGTAGACTCTCAAGTGTGATTATAAGCTGGCAGGCTGGAAATGAGGACCCAGAAAACTGTTTTCTAAGTTGTCCTGAACACAATTAGGACAAGAGAATCCTTACCATGCTAAACCATATGCTTCCCTTTTCTTCTTCTTTTGCTAGTTTAAAAGATACTTTTTGATAGGAAAAATTCACTGAAAGTTAACTAATATTGGTTCTGTGACTTTATTCTGAGTTGGTTCTAGATCTGATCATAGAATCTAGGGAGTGATGTATATTTCACAATGTAGAGTTCATTTTCTTTACTGTCAAGTTTAAGATTCTAGCCCATGTCTGGCAATGGCAACTTTTTTTTCTTGTGAATCCTGATGTTAAATTTTGGAAGGTGAATTATGATACTGTAGTTACAGGTGAACACACTCAGGAGTCTCCCAATTTAAAAAATCAGCACCAGCTCTCAGCTGCCACTTTGCTTCTGGTTTAGTGGGTTCAGGAGCCTCCGTGGCTCCAGCCAATCCAGGCTTCAAGAATTCTGACCAATGGCGTTCCCTCACCTTCTATTTAAGTTAAACTTCAACTCCTCTTAGGCTTTATAAGCCCCTGACTGAAATGAGGTGGGTGGGGTCTGGGTAGTTTGGGTGGAAACTGGGAGACTTCTAAGTTAGTTTCTCCTTTCTCTCTGTGTCTTTCTTTCAGCTTTTTCTGTTTCTGCTTACTTTAAGAGATAAGAAATTCTTTGCTGATTTGCTGTGAGAAAAAACAAAACGAATAAGGCACCTAGGTTTAGTTCTGTTTCCTTCCATCTTTCTCATAATCTCACGACTTGCCCGGGAAGTGAAGACTCGAACAACAAGCTCAACATTCCTCGCTTTCTCTAATGAAATAGTGAAAATCAGCACTGAACTGAGATGCTTTGGGCTAGTGGAATACTAGAAAATACTTCTCAGTTCCGGTAAACCTCATCTTTTCTCTCACCACTTCCTTTCTGTGGTTATTGTGGGGCCATTGGAATAACCCCAGACTAGGCATAGTTCCTAAAGAAGGGCCTCACTAAGAGGCTGGGATGGGAGCATTAACCCTGCTTTCCCTAGGAAGGCTGTTTCTAATTCGTGGGCTTAACGTCCCTTATAGCAGAAGGCTTAGAAGAAGGACCTTTTTGGCTGGACGCGGTGGCTCATGCCTGTAATCCCAGCACTATGGGAGGCCAAGGCAGGCAGATCACCTGAGGTCGGGAGCTCGAGTGCCAGCCTGATCCAACATGGAGAAAACCCATCTCGGCTAAAAATACAAAATTAGTCGAGCACGGTGGCGCATGCCTTGTAATCCCAGCTACTTGGGAAGCTGAGCCAGGAAAATCGCTCGAACCTTGGGGGAAGAGGCTGCGGTCAGCAGAGATTGTGCCGTTGCACTCCAGCCTGGGCAACAAGGGTGAAACTCCGTGTTTGTTTTTTTTTTTTTTTTCTCTGTGTGGCTTTTTTGTTGTCTTTTTTTTGGGGGGGGAGGGGAAACCCTCTGGTTGGCTCAAGCTTCACTTATAAGTCGGGCACAATCTCCTCTTAAGAACTGGCCTTACCATTATTGATAGGGAAGGTTGTGGGCTACTTTCCTGCCAACTCAAAATATTCCCCATCAGAGGGAAGCTGCTTATACATACATACCCCATTCTCTTGATGCCTTTACTTCATAGCTTTCTTTTCTGAAGCCATCCAAACATTCTCTCAGGAAGGACTCAATGTTACTTCACTTTCTAGGATGCTTGCCTTGGCTGAGGCTTTTTTCCCCCTAACAAAGTCTTTTTTCAGAACATAAGAGTTCCATTATTCTGACCTAAGTTTTCTTCTCTCCCTTCTCTCTCAATTGACCTTTTTGGTGGCTTAAGCCTTGGAAGACCCTTTAGTGTTCATTTAGGTTCTGATTCCATTTGTCTTGATGGAAATTGAGAGACCACAAGACTAGGGAGTGACTTTTACTGGGAAACGGACATATCACTAGTGTTGTCATAGCCACTGTGCATTGCTTCCTCTTCCTTTGCTGTTCAAGCTTACAAATCCAGGCCAGGCATGGTGGCTCACACCTGTAGTCCCAGCACTTTGGGAGGCCCAGGTGGGTGGATCACGAGGTCAAGAGATCAAGACCATCCTGGCCAACATGGTGAAACACCGTCTCTACTAAAAACACGAACTAGCTGGGCATGGTGGTGCATGCCTTGTAGTCCCAGCTACTCGGCAGGCTGAGGCAGGAGAATCCCTTGAGCCTGGGAGGCAGAGGTTGCACCAAGCCAAGATTACACTACTGCACTCCAGTCTGGCAACAGAGCAATACTCCGTCTCAAAAAAAAAAAAAAAAAAAAAGCCAGGTGTGGTGGGCGCTTGTTATCCCAGCTACTCAGAATGCTGAGGAAGGAGAATCACTTCAATCTAGGAGGCAGAGGTTGCAGTGAGCTGAGATGGTGCTATTGCACTCCAGCCTGGGTGACAAGAGCAAAACTCCATCTCAAAACAAAACAAAGCTTGCAACTCGATTCTTACTTTGTCCTTATAGGTATACACGGTCCCTCTTACTACATACTTTCTTAGGTTCCTAAGTGTTTTCTTGGGTTCCTGGATGTTTTGGTCCTTGAGATTACTCTTAGTTTGTTCAGGATCCCTTATGACCTCAATTCTAGACTAGAATTGATCCTCACACTGTTATCTTGCTTTTTTCATGGGACCATAGATCCACAAGTTCTTTTCCATACTTAATGTAGAACCTACGGATTTCTCAACCTCGTTTTCTAATAGGGATCTCTGATGTTCCTCAGCCTACAGTTGAGGGGTCTCCACTTAACTTCAATGTTCTCTGCTCTGAGCAACAATACCTCTGAAATGTACATGGCTAGGGGATGGAATTGGACCAGTAAATGGGATTGTGATACTGACCCTAGAAGTTATTTTCCTTCCCTCATCCTCCAAGACATTTCTGCCCTCAGAATGGAAGAACCCTGATAGAGGCAGAAGTCATGAAGTACCCTGAGACCCTTGTTGATGGGTAAAACCTAAGTGTACACAACTATATAGGGTAGAATGACAGACACATAGAGACTCAGAAGGGTGGGGATAGGATGGATGAGAAATTAATGGGAACAATGTACGTCATTCAGGTGATGACCACTAAAGGCCCAGACCTCACCACTATCCATGTAACAAAACTGTATAACCCTTAAACATATACAAAAAAATCTAAGTGCCCTTCCTGTAAGGACTCATAGTTGCCTATTGCTTAAAGGGCTTTCAAGGCATTTTCCTAGGGGTTTCATGAATTAGCTACTTCTGCCTGACTGAGGGCAGAGTTATGCCTTTAATTTAGGAGCTCACAGATGCCTTTCATCACATACTGAGACTGTCAAACCAGCAAAGCTAGCCACCCTCACCTGTGGCTGCCTTTCTTTTGAAGAGCTTATCTTGATTCAGGGTAAAAAAGACTCCTGTGCTTCAGATTGTGATGGCTCATTGATAGGAAACATCCAAAAATATCCTTATAAACTTCTACAGAGCCTTTAACTTAGATAAGGATGTGTTCATACACCAGGCCAACCACCCACTAACAGTGCCGTCTAGTGTGGTGATGGGTGATAACGGCCACACCTTGGCAGAAGATGACAAAAGACCTTGCTTTAGGGTACTGTAAGTGTCTGGCTTCAAGGATGACCTTCAAGGAATGCAGCAGTGCCCTGGGAGTAAGGAAGTACTACCCAACCTTAATATGCACTTTCAACAGCTGCTGTCCAAGTATAAGAGCGACCAGGGGTCTCTTTGGTACCCTTTTATAAAGGCACTAATTCCATTTACAAGAAATCTACCAATTACCTCCTGAAGGCCTCACCTCCTAACACTTACCTGGTCTCAACTTAAGAATTTTGAGGGTGTACACACATTCAAACCATAGCAGTATATAAAAAGCATAAGCTTAACAAACACTACCTAATAAATCACAAGAATTGTTAATGTCTGTTTTTTCACCCCACTTAAAAATCAAAGTTCCAAGTTGGATTAAACACTCATACATAATGACGTCTATAAACTCAAAGTTGGAAAAAATCATACGAGTGGGGGAAAGGAGTCACTATTACATCAGATAAAGCAGACACTAAACCAACAATAAAGGGAATTACATAATGATAAAGGGTTCCATTCCACAAGACTTAACTATCATAAGTACATATGCACCCAACATTGCAGCACCCAGATCCATAAAACAAGTACTTCCAGACCTGTGGGAAAACTTTGCCACCCAATAGTGAGGGACTTTAACACCCCACTGGTAGTGTTAGACAGATCAAGTCAGAAAACTAACAAATCCTGGACTTAAATTTGATACTTAACCAATTTGACTTAATAGACATTTACAGAATACTCCACTCATCAACCACAAAACATACATTCATCTCATCAGCAAAGGGAGAACATAATCTAAGATCAACCACATGCTCAGCCATAAAGCAAGTCTTAATCCAAAAACATATCGGGGTTAGGTGTCCTGAAAACTTCAAAACTGCCAGGATGGGCAGAAATGGAAGAAGCCAAGATGTTTTTGGTGAATGGTAAATTGAATTTCTGTAGCACATAGTTATCTTCCTTTATGTGCCGCCTCCTAGAGCTCTTTCATTTCGTCATAGCTTCACTTGCCCTTCAAAGACCTTGCTATCTGGAACGTGTTTCCAGTGGAATCTCTATTTCCTGGATCTCAGCCCCTCTACCTGTGGGAGCAATGAAACACCAGCTTCTATGTGACTTAATGGATCTTATCACGCTTTCTTTCTGGTTAGCAGGTCAGGTTTGTGTTGAGACATAACTATTAGGTCATGTCTTTTTCATATCTATGGGGAATGTCTTACCCTGTGGTTTCTAGCTGGATCTCCTAGAGACTTTTTGGTGCCCCAGCCATTAATGAGCATAACAATGCCATAGAATTTGAATGGCTTTAGAGCTACTTTGGTAACAGTAATTGTCTTTCCCCTTCTGGCCACATTGATTTTTTTGGTCTCTTGTGGTGTGAAATGCAGTGGCTACTTCAAAATTTCTAAATTTCTGGGATCTTCACAGTATCTACTCGATTTTGGTGCTTCGCTTCTGTAGATGTGCTCATGCACTACTCCAATCCATATGCCTCTATTGCATTCCAACTTGTTACAGGCCTTCAGTTATTTTCTCCTTTCCTGCCATTGACCAGCAGTAAAGCAGTTTGCCACTGACCATTGTATATGTATGTAGCAGCCATCCTTTTTTTTTTTTTTTTGCTCGTACTCTGATCCATCTGTGAAACAGTCATTTTCTTACTGTTTATTCTTCATGCTCTGTAGTGTATGAGC
Source organism: Homo sapiens (assembly GCF_000001405.40). Classification (NCBI taxonomy): domain Eukaryota; kingdom Metazoa; phylum Chordata; class Mammalia; order Primates; family Hominidae; genus Homo; species Homo sapiens. The sequence continues at coordinate 4,571,620 of NC_000011.10, read as the reverse complement.
CTTAAAGCTACCAACATGCAACACTGCAAGTGTTCAATAGCCACAAGTGACTGGGCCATTGAATTGGACCGCACTGATTACAAAACACTTCCATCAGAATATTCCATCCTAGCACTGCTCCAGGTCTTTGCAGGGAAAAACTGTATGGATCGTGTTCTACTTCATGTGGATGTGAACTACTTGAAGTCCCTGCCCTGATGTAGAAAAACATTTGCCAAATCAATGACTGCAGTATGGTGATTATTAAATCAGATGCTGATTCAGGTGTTACTGTGCTGTGGCAGAGATACCATATCTGGCAGAGCAGCTTAATTGGGGCTAACATTTGGTTGAATTTGAGGTACTTTTTCTCTAGGATCTTTGTGTTTTGAGTGCTATACTGGTGAACTATATGGGGATATGAGAGTCATTAACTGCAACCTTGAAACCATTTTAAGTGTCACTTTTTGTATCCCTTCTGTTACATAACACTGTTTACTGTCTTGTCCAGAGAAAGGGAAGTTTCAAAGGCTTCTATCTGGCTTTCCCCACTGATACCACTTGCCTCATAGGCCAAAGTTATAAGTAGACATATCTATTCTGAGTATACATTTGGGGAAAATGATCACCAGGTGCATTCCAGAATCAGGATCAGCTATGAGCTGGCTATTCATTATACTCCACTGTGAACTAAAATCTATTACCTGGCCTCCTATTCCCCCACTGACTAGGGAGCCATAATGAATTTTGGGTTGCTGGTTATCAGTGTTCTCTAAAGCTTATGTCAAACATTCTCCAAATGGTTGGTTATTCTTTTTTCCAGTGTAAAACTACCTGAACGAATAGCCATAGATCCCCCTAGGGGAAGGAGTAGGGGAATCACTATCAAACTAGTAGCAAGCTGTTGACACCTTCCGCAAAGGAAGACACGTGCAATCAATGTGTCCTAAGCCTAAACACAAGGGAAAGGGTTATAAATATTGTAATGTAATAGACTATAAAATGGTCATGGCCTAGCTCTTATTTTTTTTTTTTTTAGTACTCAGGTCTTAAGTTTGTCAGTAGTTACCTTCCACAAAGTCTAGAAAGCCCAGGAATCTAGTGGTTAATATTCCCCTTATATATCCAACCCACCCACCACCCCCAGAAATCCAAAATCTCAATGCCTGGGAATTGCAAAGGTCTGTATTCCTACCAGAGAAGTGCTGCTATCCAAGCATCTTTGTATTTAATAAGATGTTTGAGAATTGCATCATTGGAACTGCCTGACCTAGGATTACTATTTTCAAAGTCTACTAGCAAATGCTTTCTTTCAAAGCCTAAGTACTTTTCAGCCATGTGATCTGTTTCTACATTTTCTAATAAGATTAAGTTTACTGCTGATAAGGAAACAATTTTACCTGACAACCAAGGTTAGCAGTTGATGGAATAAGAGATAAACCAAATTAATTCCTAACATAACGAAAGTCTGTATGAACTCCAAGCCTCCATGTTAGGTACCTCCCCCAACACCCTTATAACATGCTTATAGATGTTTTCCGACTATTGAGTAAGGCCCTCCAATAACTCATATTACTAAGTTAAGACACACATGAAATGTATAAAGGAGCTGACTTACTTGAAACAAATGGGAGTTCCCTAAGCCCCCTCTCACAGGATGTGTGACAGGGGTGTGGCTAATGTTTGGCTGAGACCCCTTACTGTGACGGGTGTGCACACTGAGACCCTTACAGGAGGGGAAGCATGCAGATGGGCAGATGCAGGAGCCAGTGTGAGTGCCCCTGGGCTCTAGCCCCATGGTAGCATCCAGGGGTGTGGGTGCCTGTGACTCCCAAAGCCCAAGTGGGCATGTGTTATAGTGGGCTCTTTTAGCTTTGCCATCCCCAGACAGCTTAAGTGTTAAACAGCTCAGTTGAACCTCTGCCTTTTCACAGGCTAATGTGACAGCTTTCTGTATTCCAAGCTCTTGTCTGGTATCCAGGAAAAATCGGGTCACACACAAAGGATGAACTCAGGGGTTTTACTGACTGGTGGAGGTGGCTCTCAGTGGGATGGATGGGGAGCTGGGAAGTATAGAGTGGGAAGATGATCTTCCCCTGGAGTTTGGCCATCCTCTCCAAACTGTCCCCAGTTGAACTCCTCTTAGACGTTGCCGCCCTCCCGACGCCCTCGGTTTAGGGTTTACAAGGGTACAGGGTCCTACCCTCCTCCTGCCGCCCTCCTGCTGCCCTCAGTTTAGGGTTTACAAGGGTACAGGGTCCTGCCCTCCTTCCGCCGCCACCCTCCCCGCCTTGGGTTTAGGGTTTACAAGGGTACAGCGTCCTGCCCTCCTCCCGTCGGCCTCGGTTTAGGGTTTACAAGGGTGGTCCAGGGTCCTGCCGTCCTCCCGCCGCCCTTGGTTTGGGGTTTACAAGGGTACAGAGTCCTGTCCTCCCACCGCCCTCGGCTTAGGGTTTACAAGGGTTACAGGGTCCTGCCCTCTTTCCGCCGCTCTCCCACCGCCCTCGGTTTAGGGTTTACAAGAGTACAGGATAGTTAGGTATGGTGGACCAAATGGCAACTTTTGGGAACAAAAACAGGAATGCCTGTTCCCATTTAGGGCTGTGGGTTTCCAGGCTTGAGGGTGGGGCTTTGCCAGGGAACTGCCCTCTTCTACCCAGTATTTCCCTGTCTCTTGTCCGTATCAAAACTGGTCTGAGATCGATCATATCTGGACTCAGGAGCCTATGACACACATATTGGACCTATATAACTGAAATAACAAACTGGAATACCATTGCAGTGATCTACGTCAAGGTGTAACATACACATTTTTGTCTCATCCTTGTCAACCATTCACATCCCTGCAGGGGTGAAGGATCTGAGGACTAAACTGACTGTTTAATCTTGCCAAAGTTCCTATCTAAGGGGTCTGGGGCCTCATGCCCTATAAACCATAAATTCTCATCAGATGGGTTTTACTTAACTGTTACATATTGTGACTTTCCAATCTCTCTGGCATAACGTTACATGACAAAGAAAATCAAAATACTTCACCCCAAAGTTTCTTTGGCATACTTTGAAATGGCCCTGCAAAGCCAACATCTGGGGAGGTAAATCTGCATCTGTAAAGAATCTAATAAAGCTAGATCCTTTTTCTTCCAGGCCCTCCCAATCCTGAAGAGATTAACTGAGTCTAGCACCTTTTAAAGGTCTGAATAAGAAACACTTGTCATCTATTGTCTAAGGGCAGCCACTATGAGACTTCAAAATAACCTTGGTCTCCACAATGTTTTAACCTGAACATTTCCTTTATTGATTCCAGTTCTTTTAGATAAACCAGAAAATTTTTCGTCCACAAGAAAATGTAAGTTTCCCTACAGCTTGGAAGCCCCCCACCCACCCCATGTACTTCTTAAATGTATTTGATGTCTCATGTCTCACAAATGTATAAAATCAGGCTGTGCCCTAACCACCTTGGAACATGTTCTGAGGACCTCCTGAGGGATGTGTCATGGGCCACCGTCACTCATTTTTTGGCTCAGAATAAATATCTTTTAGAGTTTGACTCTTCTCAACAGACAGTTGTGGGGCTTCTCATTGAGATCGAGGATAGTGGACTTGCTCAACTTCCTGTCCTCCCTATAAAACTGAGTAAACTTCATGCCAGGTTAAGGCCTTACTGAGTCTTATGGACATACTAATTCAAACTTGTGAACACTGCTGATTATGGCTTAGCTGTTCTAATGATTTTTCTGATGGACTCAATTCAGCTGCTTCTGAAGTACTTGTTTCTCAAATGTCTGTTTTGTCCCGTTGCATTTAGGATAGAACACATAGTCAGGTGGTATCAGGTAATGCACGGGCACCACAGACTTCCCAGCACCAACGAGAAGGGTAAATGAGTGCTACGATGAAAAGGCCAAGACACCAAAAATGAATAGCAAACCTGGCCGGGCACGGTGGCTCAAGCCTGTAATCCCAGCACTTTAGGAGGTCGAGAGTTCGAGACCACCCTGACCAACAGAGAAACCCCATCTCTACTAAAAATACAAAATTAGCTGGGTATTGTGGCACATGCCTGTAATCCCAGCTACTCAGGAGGCTGAAGCAGGAGAATCACTTGAATTTAGGAGGCAGAGGCTGCAGTGAGTTGAGATTGTGCCATTGCATTCCAGCCTGGGCAACAAGAGCAAAACCGTCTTAAAAAAATAATAAAATAAAAATGAATAGCAAACCTTCCCTCCCTGCAAAATGAAACCTATGGCCCCTAGGGAGAAGCAGATCTAAGAAGAATTCTTCATGAATAAGTAACCAGTGCTGAGAATATGAAAAAATGGTGGGAGCACTATTGCCTAAAGTCACTCTCTACCTGCTTTTCATGGCTTTCATGAGCACAGGGCTTCCCTGCTGCCCTGAATGTATTTCTGGGGACATACGAACCAGGGCTCTGAGTTCATGCAAGTGTTAACTAGGCACTGTTTGTTCCAAGGCAATGCAGGCGACTAACAAGGCCCAAACTCTCAGTTTGCTTTCTATTGCATCTTCCCATAGCTGTGCTTGAATATCTCCTGTTTCTGGCCAAGGCTACACCTCAAAAACTTACCATTACTCTTCAGCCCAGCCTTCTTCGAAGTCTAATTTGTGTTTTTGTACAGGTGGTACTTCTCAGACTGACCTTGGTAAAAAGGAGCTAGCAGTTACGCTAGTTTGCCACAAACCTCACACCTAGAAAGTTTTGGGGATGCTTAGAACTCAGTCTTTAAAAGCTGCTCTTAACCCTGTATGTTCAACTTTGATTCTAATAGGCCCTTCTAAGATTCGTCCATGTTTGTGGCATTTGTGTAATGGATTCTGTATTACAGACGAATACTGACTTTTTTTTTTTTTTTTTGAGGTAAATGAATCTACTTGTAAAACGCTAAGCTTTTAGCCAAAGTTATTCAATAGGACTCAAGGCATAGAGGTTGCAGTCTGAGTAGGAAGCTATGTTTCACTGGAGAAGAAAATTTCTCAACCCTGGTAAGGTCATGGTTGGGACAGACTCCTGTAACAGTGAACAGATTTATCAAGAAAACAAGTTTATTAATGTGTCCTGTCGTGCATATCACAAGGCCAAAACTTCAAAAGATAACCCTAGGCTTAGACCTTTAGGCTTATGTAGCATCTCCAGCATGCCCCCCTACTCCCCCCCTCCCCCGCCCCCCACCGCAAAAAAATAAAAAAATATACTTGTAGAGAAACAACAAAACAAAGTGACCTTTAGGCTTCCAAAGGCAGGAAACTGGAATGGTAAATACCTGAGAAGAAACTATAATGGAGTAAGGTTTGTAGACTGATAGCCTATTTTTAGGCAGAAAGTGGGGAGGAAAGAGCTCTCCTGTTTGCTGCTTAATTGCTTTAGTTCAAACTTCTTATGTTGAGGCATATTTTGGGGTAACATAATCTGGTTTCCTTCAATCTCATGTATGAATTAAAAGTTCAGCACTGTCACTAAGGATGGGAAAAGACCATTAGCTATAACTGTCCTAATCTCGAAGCCTTAGTTTTGGGCTGACATTTTCCTTTTAGGTAAGAGCCATAAAATAATGAACATCTGCCAAGAGTGGCTCTGGAGTAGGGGGTAGAGTAGCCTTAGGGAACACAGTGGGGCCTCCACACAAACTATCCACACAACTAGAAATTCAGCTGAGTGACCGAAAGACTGAATTTCCTGAGTTAAGATAAATGTGAAAACTTGAGTATTTCTCGAAGAACCCAGAACTATCCAGTTTTGTCCCAGCAAAGGTCAAGCACTTAGTCACATTTCTTATATCCTCCCACTTGTTCTGAGTCCAAGAATTGGGAAGGGGAGAAAGGAGCAGTTCAGAATAAAAGCCTTAAAGCCAGAAGTATTGAGTTCTGTATCCATAACTAGGATTAACATAAAAATAAGCTCCTAATGGAGAAAATCAAGCTGGATTGTAACTGTCAATCTACTAGTCCAGAGAAGTTAACAGCTTATTCCTATAGCTGTGCTTTCATGCCCTTTAAGTGTATTAACCGCATGTAATGCCTATAAACTTCAAGGGACCTGCTCTGCATTTAGGCTGTACCTTGAACTCAAAATGCTATAGGAGATGACTAACACCAAGTCATTCAGATTTATATCTGCACTAGAGCTGACCTCCCTAGAGTGAAAAAGGGAAAGCATTGAGAAATTGAGTGTTGTGATGGTTACATGGCGTTTTTCTTTTTTTTTTTTAATTCTGGGATACATGTACAGAATGTTACGTAGGTATACATATGCCATGGTGGCTTGCTGCACCCATCAACCTGCACCTATCAACCCATCTAGGTTTTATGCCTTCCATGCATTGGGTATTCATCCTACTGCTCTCCCTCCCCTAGCCCCCTACCCCTCGACAGGCCCCAGTATGTGATATTCCTCTCCCTGTGTCCATGTGTTCTCATTGTTCAACTCCCATGCATGAGAACATGAGGCGTTTGGTTTTCTGTTCCTGTTAGTTTGCTGAGAATGATGGTTTCCAGCTTCATCCATGTCCCTGCAAAGGACATGAACTCATTTTTTATGGCTGCATAGTATTCCATGGTGTACATGTGCCAAATTTTCTTTATCCAGTCCATCATTGATGGGCATTTGGGTGGTTTCCAAGTCTTTGCTATTGTGAACAGGTCCGCAATAAACATACATATGCGTGTGTCTTTCTAGTAGAATGACTTTATCATCCTTTGGGTATATACCCAGTAATGGGATTGCTGGGTCAAATGGTATTTCTGGTTCTAGATGCTTGAGGAATTGCCACACTGTCTTCCATGATGGTTGAACTAATCTACACTCCCACCAACAGTGTAAAAGCATTCCTACTTCTCCACATCCTCTCCAGCATCTGTTGTTTCCTGACTTTTTAAAAATCGCCAGTCTAACTGGTGTGCGATTGTATCTCATTGTGGTTTTGATTTGCGTTTCTCTAACGACCAGTAATGAGCTATTTTTCGTGTTTGGCCTCATAAATGTCTTCTCAGAAGTGTCTGTTCATATCGTTTGCCCACTTCTTCATGGGGTTGGGTTTTTTCTTGTAAATTTAAGTTCCCTGTAGATTCTGGATATTAGTCCTTTGTCAGATGGTAGATTGCAAAAATTTTCTCCCATTCTGTAGTTTGCCTGTTCACTCTGATAGTTTCTTTTGCTGTGCAGAAGCCCTTCTAGTTAAATTAATCCCATTTGTCAATTTTGGCTTTTGTTGCCATTGCTTTTGGTGTTCTTGTCATGAAGTCTTTGCCTATGCTTATGTCCTGAATGGTATTGCCTAGGTTTTCTTCTAAAGTTTTTAATCCATCTTGAGTTAATTTTTGTATGAGGTGTAAGGAAGGAGTACAGTTTCAGTTTTCTGCATATGGCTAGCCAGTTTTCCCAGCACCACTTATTAAATAGGGAATCCTTTCCCCATTGCTTGTTTTTGTCAGGTTTGTTTGAAGGTCAGATGGTTGTAGATGTGTGGTGGTATTTGAGTCCTCTGTTCTGTTACATTGGCCTATACATCTGTTTTGGTACCAGTACCATGCTGTTTTGGTTATTGTAGCTTTGCAGTATAGTTTGAAGTCAGGTAGCATGATGCCTCCAGCTGTGTGTGGTGTGTGGTGTGTGGTGTTTCTTAGGATTGTCGTGGTGATATGGGCTCTTTTTTGGTTCCATATGAAATTTAAAGTTTTTTCTAATTCTGTGAAGAAAGTCAATGGTAGCTTGATGGGAATAGCATTGAATCTATAAATTACTTTGGGCAGTATAGCCATTTTTATGATACTGATTCTTCTTATCCATGAGCATGGAATGTGTTTCCATTTATTTGTACCCTCTCATTTCATTGAGCATTGGTTTGTAGTTCTCCTTGAAGAGGTCCTTCACATCCCTTGTAAGTTGGATTCCTAGGTATTTTATTCTCTTTGTAGCAATTGTGAATGGGAGTTCATTCATGATTTGGCTCTCTGCTTGTCTATTATTGGTGTATAGGAATGCTTGTGATTTTTGCACATTGATTTTGTATCCTGAGACTTTGCTGAAGTTGCTTACCAGCTTAAGGAGTTTTGAGGCTGAGACTATGGGGTTTTCTAAATTCACAATCATGTCATCTGCAAACAGACAATTTGACTTCTTTTCTATTTGAATACCGTTTTTCTTCCTCTTGCCTGATTGCCCTAGCCAGAACTTCCAATACTATGTTGAATAGGAGTGATGAGAGACAGCATCCTTGTCTTGTGCCAGTTTTCAAAGGGGGATGCTTCCAGCTTTTGCTCATTCAGTATTATATTGGCTATGGGTTGTTATAGCTCTTATCTTGAGATATGTTTCATCAATACTTAGTTCGAGAGATTTTAGCATGAAGGATGTTGAATTTTTTCAAGGGCCTTTTCCACATCTATTGAGATAATCATCTGGTTTTTGTCATTGGTTCTGTTTATTTGATGAATTATGTTTATTGATTTGCATAAATCAATGTTGAACCACCCTTGCATCCCAGGGATGAAGCCAACTTGATCGTGGTGGATAAGCTTTTTTGATGTGCTGCTGGATTCAGTTTGCCAATATTTTATTGAGGATTTTTGCATCAATGTTCATCAGGGATACTGGCCCGAAATTTTCTTTTTGTTGTGTTTCTGCCAGGTTTTTGGCATCAGGATGATGCTGTCCTCATAAAATGAGTTAGGGAGGAGTCCTTTTTTTTCTACTTGGAGTAGTTTCAGAAGGAATGGTACCAGCTTCTCTTTGTACCTCTGGAAGAATTCGGCTGTGAATACATCTGGTCCTGGGCTTTTTTTGGTTGGTAGACTATTAATTACTGTCTCAATTTCAGAACTTGTTAATTGGTCTACTCAGGGATTTGACTTCTTGCTGTTTTAGTCTTGGGAGGGTGTAAGTGTCCAGGAATTTATCCATTTCTCTAGATTTTCTAGTTTGCATAGAGGTGTTTATAGTATTCTCTGATGGTAGTTTGTATTCCTGTGGGATCAGTGGTGATATTCCCTTTATCGTGTATTGTCTATTTGATTCTTCTCTTTATTAAAGTCTAGCTAGTGTTCTATTTTGTTAATCTCTTTAGTAAATCAGGAGCTGGTTTTTTTTTTTTTTTTTTTGAAGTGTTTTTAGTGTCTCTACTTCAGTTCTGCTCTGACCTTAGTTATTTCTTGTCTGCTAGCATTTGAGTTTGTTTGCTCTTGCTTCTGAAGTTCTTTTAATTTTGATGTTAGGATCTCAATTTCAGATCTTTCCAGCTTTCTGATGTGGGTATTTAGTGCTATAAATGTCCCTCTTAACACTGCTTTAGCTGTGTCCCACAGATCCTGGTATGTTGTCTTTGTTCTCATTGATTTCAAAAAACTTTATTTCTGCCTTAATTTCATTATTTACCCAGTAGTCATTCAGGAACAGGTTGTTCAATTTCCATGCAGTTGTGTGGTTTTGAGTTTTTTAATCCTGAGTTCTAATTTGATTCCACTGTGGTCTGAGACTTACGATTTCCATTCTTTTGCATTTGCTGAGGAGTGTTTTACTTCCAATTATGTGGTCAATTTTAGAATAAGTGCTGTGTGTTGCTGAGAATCATGTATATTGATTTGTGGCAGAGGATTCTGTAGATGTCTATTAGGTCCACTTGGTCCAAAGCTGAGTTCAGGTCCTGAATATCTTCATTTTCTGTTTCGTTGATCAGTCTAATATTGATAGTGGGGTATTGAAGTCTCCCATTATTGTGTGGGAGTCTAAGTCTCTTTGTAGGTCTCTAAGAACTTGTTTTATGAATCTACGTGCTCTTGAATTGGGTGCATATATATTTAGGAGAGTTAGCTGCTCTTGTTGGACTGATGACATAAATGTAAACTTTATGTAATGCCCTTATCTTTTTTGATCTTTGTTGGTTTAAAGTCTGTTTTATCAGAGACTAGGATTGCAACCCCTGCTTTTTTGTTTTCCATTTGCTTGGTAAATATTCCTCCATCCCTTTCTCTTGAACGAATGTGTGTCTTTGCATATGAACTAGGTCTCCTGAATACAGCACACCGATAGGTCTTGACTATCCAATTTGCCAGTCTGTATCTTTTAATTGGGGCATTTAGCCCATTTAAATTTAAGGTTAATATTGTTCTGTGTGAATTTGATCCTGTTATCATAATGCTAGCTGGTTATTTTGCATGTTAGTTGCAGTTTCTTCATAGTGTCATTGGTCTTTATATTTTGGTGTACTTTTGCAGTGGCTGGTGCTGGTTTTTCCTTTCCATATTTAGTGCTTCCTTCAGGAGCTCTTGTAAGGCAGGCCTGGTGGTGACAAAATCCTTCAGCATTTGCTTGTCTGTAAAGGATTTTATATCTCAGCTTATGAAGCTTAGTTTGGCTGGATATGAAATTCTAGGTCAAATTCTTTTAAGAGTGTTGAATATTGGGCCCCACTCTTCCAGCTTGCAGAGTTTCTGCAGAGAGATCTGCTGTTAGTCTGATCGGCTTCCCTTTGTAGGTAACCTGACCTTTCTCTCTGGCTGCCCTTAATAGTTTTTCCTTCATTTTAACCTTGGAGAGTCTGATGCTTATGTATCTTGAGGTTGTTCTTCTCGAGTATCTTAGTGGTGGCCTCTGTATTTTCTGAATTTCAATGTTGGCCTGTCTTGCTAGGTTGGGGAAATTCTCCTGGATAATATCCTGAAGTGTGTTTCCCAACTTGGTTCCATTCTCCCTGTCACTTTCATGTACCCCAGTCAAACATAGGTTTGGTCTTTTGACATAGTCCCATATTTCTTGGAGGCTTTGTTCATTCCTTTTCATTCTTTTTTCCCTAATCTTGTCTTCACACCTTATTTTTCAGTAAGGTGATCTTCAGTCTCATATCTTTTCTTCTGCTTAATTTGATTTGGCTACTGATGTTTGTGTATGCTTCACAAAGTTCTCATGCTGTTTTTTCAGCTCCCCCAGGTCATTTATGTTCTTCGCTAAACTGGTTCTTCTAGTTAGCAATTCCTGTAACCTTTTATCAAGATTCTTGGCCTCATTGCACTGGGTTAAAACATGCTCCTTTAGCTCAGAAGAGTTTATTACCCACCTTCTGAAGCCTGCTTCTGTCAATTTGTCAATCTCATTCTCAGTCCAGTTTTGTGCCCTTGCTGGAGAGGAGTTGTGATCATTTGGAGAAGAAGCACTCTGGTTTTTGGAATTTTCAACATTTTTGTGCTGACTTTTCCTCATCTTCAAGAATTTATCTACCTTTGATCTTTGAGGCTGATGACTTGGATGGGGTTTTTTGCATGGGGGTCTGTCTTGATGACGTTATTGCTTTCTGTTTATTAGTTTTTCTTCTAACAGGCCCTTCTTCTGCAGGTCTGCTGCAGTTTGCTGGAGGTCCACTCCAGACCCTGTTTGCCTGGGTATTACCAGTAGAGTCTACAGAACAGCAAACATTGCTGTCTGCTCCTTTCTCTGGAAGCTTCATCCCAGAGGGGCACTGGCCTAATGCCAGTCAGAGCTCTCCTGTATGAGGTGTCTGTGTCAACCCTTGTTGGGAGGCCTCTCCTAGTCAGGAGGCATGGGGGTCAGGGACCCACTTGAGAAGGCAGTCTGTCCCTTAACAGATCTGGTGCGCTGTGCTGTGAGAATCCCTTGTCAGAATCAGCTGCTCTCTTCAGAGCTGGCAGGCAGGAAAGATTAGGTCCACTGATCTGCACCCACAGCCGCCCCTCCCTCCAGGTGCTGTCCCAGGGAGATGAGAGTTTTGTGTATAAGCCCCTGACTGGGCTGTTTTCCTTCAGAGATGCCCTGCCCATTGAGGGGGAATCTAGAGAAGCATTCTGGCCACAGCAGCTTTGCCATGCTGTGATGAATTCTGCCCAACCCAAACCTCCCAGTCTCCTTAGCACTCAGGGGAAAATTGCCTACTAAGGCCTCAGTAATAGCGGATGCCCCTCCCCCTACCAAGCTCTATCATCCCAGGCCGACTCCACACTGCTGTGCTGGCAGTGAGAATTTCAAGCCAGTGGTTCTTAGCTTGCTGGGCTACATGGGAGTTGGGACCTGCTAAACGAGACCGCTTGGCTCCCTGGCTTCAGCCCCCTTTCCAGGAGAATGAACGATTGTCTCACTGGGGTTCCAGACACCACTGGGGTTCGAAAAAAAACTCCTGCAGAGCTAGCTCGACATCTGTCCAAACAGTCACCCAGTTTTGTGCTTAAAACCCAGGGCCCTGGTGGTATAGGCACAAAAGGGAGTCTCCTGATCTGTGCATTGCAAAAACTGGAAAAAATGTAGTACCCGGGCCAGGTAGCACAGTCCCTCATAGCTTCCCTTGGCTGGGGGAGGGAGGTCCCCCAACTCCTTGCACTTCCCAGGTGAAGCAATGCCTCATGCTGCTGCTTCCCACTCTGTGGGTTGTACCCACTATCAAACCAGTCTCAATGAGATGAACTGGGTAACTCAGTTGGAAATGCGGAAATCACCTGCCTTCTGCATTGGTCTTGCTGGGAGCTGCAGACCAGAGCTGTTCCTATTTGGCCATCTTGGCCCCTCCCTCCTTCATTCCTTCCTAAATGGCTTTGAAAGAAGTCTTTGAAAAGAGATCTCAAGGGACTCTACTCATAACAGGTATTCTTCCCAACAACAGACTGCTGTGGGCATAAAGTTGAAGATTTTCCTGTGGGACTTGCCATAATTGTGTTAGAATGGATCTTTCCAAAAAAAAGATAGAATTAGATATCTCAGAGGTTTATTGAAGGAGGCTGGAGGGGAAAATGGCCATAAAGGAAGATGGAGAAGAGGGATCTCAAGAGGCTTAGAAAAGCCATGAGGTCACAATCCAAGTATCATCTTTGGGAGGACGGAAGGAAAATAAGGAGGGTCTTAGGTTTCTGTGCATCTCTAAGTCTTGGCAAGGTTAATGGAGACCTTGAACCAAAGGCACCTATAAGGAGTCCAGCATCTCACAGGATTAGAACTGTCTTAATAGCTCTGTGCTCATTCATTGGTCAGAAACAACCAAAGGGAAGTGAAGTCTAGACAATGCCATGTATTTCTAGAGCACAGTGACTGAGGCCATCAAATATGCTCACTGCATTCAAATCTGAAAGGCATGTTTTCATGGCCACCACAGTCTGTTCTTGTACTGCATGGATCTCCTTCAAACAGATGTGGGGAGCATCTTCATAGCTCCAGTGGGCCTCCCTTGCTGAAGGGGAAACTTAGAAGATTAGTAGAACAAACTACAGCCCTTGTCTCTGAAGTTTTAGGCCACTACTCTTCCCTGCCATTCCTTCGCTGCTCAATTCTTCTCACTTTCCACTATTGCCATTGCAAATCTTGGTGGCTTACCTAATAGGGTGGCCCCAATCCTTTATTCTTGAGGGGACTGACACGTTAATCATACCCTTATCTGGGGAATGATCCACATGTATGCCCATAGTCACAATGGGTCAAGGAAGCACCAGAAAATGTCCAAATGGATCATCTGGCTTCACATATTTTACATATCTCTTCCTTCATACATTGTATAAAGGCAACCCTCTCTTCCCGCTAATCAAGATCAATTACTTTTGCCAGTATGGCAACTTCTCCTCACCTGTTGGTCCCAGGTCATAGTAGTCCAAGGTATCCTGATGGCAGCTGTAAGTTGTAGCTCAATGGGACCTTGCCCATAGTGAACCCGTTTTGGGAATCAGAATCTCCAACCCTGCAGAGCCAAGACTTCCAGAGATGGGAAGTAAGTCTCCTAGTGGACTATTAGAAATGACTACATAAGGATATTCCTGTTTTTACCCCCTTGGCTTCTGGTATATGGTATTTCTCCTATTGGAGACTCAGCACCATATTGATCTAATTAAACACACATAATGTATTCTGAAGGCTAACATTCTGCTTCCGTGAAGTGTTTTCTGAGATGCTGCTTTAGTTGGGTTCTTAGAAGGTAGCCTCAATATTCTGAGGCCAGCTGCTTCTGGTAGTCGAGATAATGTCATACTACTAATAAAATCCCATGGTCAGCAGCCCTATTCTATCCTGCATATCCTTTGCTGTGAAACATGTCTACTCCTTTGATCTTGTGCCATGTGGGGTCCCTTGCCTATAGACAAGGGATTTTGGAAGGCTTCAAAGCAGTACTAATAGCCAAGGCTCTGTGGACAAGAAAGGCAAAAACCCATGCCCAAAACAAACATAACTGGAAGTAGAAACCACTGGCCCTTCCAGAATAAAGAGGCTCAATGTAGTTCTGAACTGCCACTGAGTGGCCTCCTTGAGGAGCAATACATCTGGGCTTCAGTGTTGATCTGACAGATTGAATATCCAGAGGTGGTGGCAGCAGCTAGTCAAAGTTGGCCAATGGGAGCCTGCATGGTTGGAACCATACATAGGATCTTCTGCTGCCACTGATGCCACTTCTGTAACCCATAATTCCAGTTCTGAACTGAACAATGAAAGCTAGATAATTTCAACTGGCAGAATCAGTTCATCCACTTGATTGTTTAGTGTCTCTTCTGGTAGATGTCTTTTACAGATACAAGAATCTTCACAATTTGTGCCTAACTCCCATATACTTATATTTATGCCCCTCTCCCAGTCCTTCTTGCTTCTAATCATCTGGTCCCTAAGCCCCTGACCAGACAGAAGGCCATTGACCACTGCCCAGGGACTTAGAGAAATTCTCATCTTGGGCCACTTTTTCTTCCACAGGAAGTGGATAACCAGGTATAACAAGTTTCACTAATTGAAGACTACTTCTCCACTCTGTTGAAACTGCCCCTGGATATGCCTGTAATGCACGTGCCATGCATCTTAGACCATGGCTTGCCAACTCATTTGTAAACAGGCTCTAGCTTTTTTCCTTTAGTTGGTCATATGGCACTACTCCATAGGGCCACAGATGGGATGTGAGGAAGGAGGACTAGTGCAAATATTGCGGGTACCTTGAGTCTGGGCTGCCTGCTCATGCAACTTACTTATGCTCTCTGGTTTTGTCAGGCTTGGTCCCAGATTAACCACTTCCATCTCATAGACCTGGACAGGTATAGTGGAAGTCTGTGGTATAGTAGGTCAGACAAACCCAGTTCACAAGAGGCTGCTTTGAATACATGATCACTTGGTACCCCATGACCATAGCCCGGTAAAATACCAGGAGCTATTTCTCAAAAGATCTACAATTGTTTTGCTCTAGATAAGACTAATTTCAAAATACCAGGGATCTCTATAGTGATAATTCCATAAGCTTCATCCTGCATCTCTTCATAGCACTGGTACCTCCAACACTAGTCTGTCAGTTCCTAAGGCTTAAGTGGCAGTGATGCTTTCACCAAAGCCTGGACCTGCTGTAGCACTCATTCCTGCTTTGGGCCCTCTTAAAGTTGGAAGCTTTTTATGACTTTTTATGTATGGGCCAGGGCAGGATTCCTAGGTGACAAATGTTATCTCCAGAATCCAAAGAGGCTTACGATTCATTGTGCCCTCCTCTTTGGGATAGAGAATGCAAGATGAAGTCTGCTTCTTTACTCTGGAGACATTCAATGTAACTCTGATCATTGGACCTAATTAAATACTATTGACATCATGGGTCCTAAAAATTCTTTGGATTTATCTCTACCTTCTGGAGCATGTGTCTTACTAAGGCCTTTACTGTACAAAGCACCTCGTGTGTGTTTGGCACAATCAATGTGATACCATTGGATCACTGCGATGTTCTCTGGGATGTTCAGGCAGTCCCTGTCTTTTAGGACTATATTATGACACATGACAGTAGAGTTAATGTGCCCCTGAGGCAAACTGTATGAGTCCTGTTTTCTATCCCATATGAATATGAACTTCCTGATCCTCTTATAACTGGAATAGAAAACAATAAAACTGCCAAGTTTTGTATCACGCATTTAAAGTCTTCTATTTTGGTGGGGAGGGCATTTTCAGAACAAATTCTATATGGTAGTTATTCAAAAAACCTGGCATAGTAATTTAACTTTTTGTTAAGTGACTAGAAAAATAACCAGTGAGTTGGGTCTGTGGAACCAGGATACATGGAGACTGTTTAAAGTAGGGACTCTATTCTAGGTATTAGTCTATGCAGTAAATAAAGGAACAATGACTATACTTCCAATTTCTAGATATCAATGTCAACTCAAACTGTTCAGTAATCCTTAATGTCTAGTTCTTTCCCCAAAGTACAATTGCCTGAGTAAATTATCATAGGTAACTTTGAGAAGGAACTATGATAATCATGGTATATAATGAGGACTTTTCTACAAGGATTCAGGTACCTCTTCAATGAGTTCTAGATCTAGAAACTGACACAAGTTTGGGAACTAGGCAAGAAATTGTGACTTCATTAGTGACCATCTGATCCTCCATTTTTGCCTTGTTCATAAGTGGTGAGCAGAGCCTTGCTGGTTGCATATTTAATTTGGTCCTTGGGGGGCAATGCTTAGCAATCTCCAACTCTCTGGGTCAAGCCCGCTTAGTGTCTCCTCTGACCTTGCCAGCTCTTGTAGAACGGCAGCCTTTTGACTTCTCAGGGTTAGATGTTACTACCTGGCCTCACTATAGCCCCCTTATCCCCGTAGGTATTGATAAGGCTATGTCTGACTACCTCTGTTCCCATGTGTTCTGGCCTGAAGAAAGCCATCACTGCACTAAATAGTGTTGGTGTCCTTGTCATCAGATCATTTATGATGGCCTTGGTGAATATTGTCCTCTGGATTGTCTCATTGGACATAATCTCCTGGATCTTCTGCCCTTATATATCTATTATAATATATTCCCATCCCTCTTCTTCCTCTACCTTCTTCCAGGGCAATCTAAGTATTTTTGTTTTGCTGAGCACTGGTCGTCACTACTTCTCAGGCTTACAAGAGCCACCCTAGTGAAACAGAGTTCCCCGGCCCCCATTGCAGAACATGTGACAGGGGCGTGGCTCATCTGTTCGACAGCCATGCACACTTAACACCTTACAGGAGGGGGGAGCATGCAGTTGGGCAGGTGCAGGACCTGGTGCTCCAGCCCCACAGCAGCATGCCAGGGGCAGGAACCTATGACTCCTGAAGCTCAAGTGGACGTGTAACAGTATGTTATTTTATCCTTGCCATCTGCAGATGGCTGAAGCATTAAACAGCTCAGTGGACCCTCTGCCTTTTTGCAAGGGCAGAGGGCCAGTGTGACAGCTTTCTGTATCCTGAGCTCTTGTCTGGGGTCCAGGAAAAATCAGGTTACACGTGAACTTGAAGGACAAATGTGGGGGTTTTGAATGGTGGATGTGGCTCTCAGCCAGATGGGTGGGGAGCCGGAAAGGGGATGGAGTGGGAAGATAATCTTCCCCTGGGGTTTGGCCATCCAGTGGCCAATCTCCTCTCTGACCACCCCCAGCCAAACTGAGTTCATATGTTCCTTTTCTCCTTGCCATGCTGTTCTGTTCTTCTGCTCTTCTGTTCATTTCCTTGTCTGCTCATCTGCTCATATGTTTCTGGAGCCTGGGGTCTGGGGCTTATATGGGTACAGGATTAGGGGGGCATGGCAGGCCAAAAGGCAACTTTGGGGCATGGAAATGGGAATGCCTGTTCCCATTTAGGGCCACAGTTTTCCAGGCTTGAGAGTGGGGCCTTTGCTGAGGAACTGCCCTGTTCCACCCAATATTTCCCTGTCTCTTGTCGGTATCATTTCCCCCTCTGAAGAGGCACATCTAACTGCTATTAGAATATGGATAACGACCAGTCTTAACTACTTCCTGCTGACAGGGTGGTGGTTAAGGGAAAACAGCACTCAGATTTCTCCCAGAGTTTTATTTAAAGGGTCCTCAGCAAAAGGAAGCCATCGTCTGAGGCTCCAGTTGCCTGACCATTTGGAATTTGGCCACCAGGCAAGAGAAATTTGTATAAGGTTAAGTATGCATAGGTTAAATGTGTATTATACAAGGAAAGAATCTAGTGCCAAAGATTATGGAACTAAAAAGTGAAATATACTAACATTGTGCCCTGAGCTGTTTCACCCTGGTGAAAGAAATTAAACCTCATACAGGAGTGGCTAAACTTTAGAAGAAGTAACTGTTCTTGCCACATCTGTAGCAATTAATAGGTGCACCTTGGGAATTCTGGGGTTTGTGGGCTTGCTTGGTGGCCACAGAAGCTGCTTCTGCTTTTGTGTCTCCCCATCTTTATTGTAAAAGACTGAGGTAGCCGCTTTCCAGAGGTCCTCTAAAGTACCGTCTGGTCCCAGGGCCCATTTCTGCAATGTCCTCCTGATATCAGGGGCTGCCTGAGTAATAAACTTATCCTTCATAATTAGTTGTTCCTTGACTGGATGAGGAGATAGAGAGGTGTGCTTTACCAAGGGCCCTTTTAGCCTTTCCAAGAAGGCAGTTGAGACTTCTATTAAATCCCTGGTCTATCATGGATAGCTTTCTATAATTGAGGCTTGGTCCTAGTTCTACATAAGCCCCTCATTATATGCACCTGAAAGTGTCTCCTCTTCCAGACTCCCATCTCGTCATTGGAATCCCATCGAGGGTCTTTTGCTGATACTGCCTTTCTTCCAGTTGGATAGAGTTTTCCTCCCTCCCTGATGCTATATGTGATACAAAGCTTATCCCCAAATTTTTCTGCCACATGCAGAGCAGCTTGCTTCTCAGTGTTCATCAGGGTTTGATTTCAAAGTAACATTTTTTTCAGAAGAGCCTAAATACTTGGGTTAAATTCTAAAAAGCCTCCATAAATATATTATACATATATATATCATATATGAGATATATGTATCATATATAAGAGAAGATATGAGAGAGAGGATATATATATGATATATATCAGGGTTATCTGAAAACTTACCAAGATCCCCTTAATTTGCTTTAAGTTCTGTAGAGAGAAGAGGACCTGGACCTTAATAGGGCCAAATTCACCAGGCATCTGTTGAAAGGGCAAGAGTGAGACTGGGGCTTGTCTAAGCTGAGAATTTCTAGGAGGGGGCAGGAGAGAATGATGCTGGAAAAGGAGGTTGACGTGGACCTGGAGGAGCAGGGCTGGAGGGAGTTGGCTTTTCTGCTGGGGGTGCCTCTGGAATTTATTTTTTTAGTTCCCTGGGATTACCCCTTACAGCCTTTCCTGAGATGGCAAACAAGAAGGCTGGATTAATCCTACACTACTGGCAAAGCTCTGGGTTGCCCTGCAAGGAATAGAAAACCTGTACACATGGGGCCTCAGACCATGTGTCTTCACGCCTATGTAAAAGGTCCAACTTCCCAATGGTATTGAAATAAATGACTCCTTCCTGAGGCCAAGCCAGTCCTTTATAATTTGGCCAAACCTTTGTGCAGAGGGCTATGAGGCATTTTTCCTCCAGATACTGAGGGTTAAAGCAGTCCCAATGGTTCAGGATACACTCCAGAGGAGTATAAGCTGGGGGTGGTAAAGAGAGCTGGTTGCCCATTATGAAAGAAAGGGAAATAGAGGCATTCATTTCCCTTATTTCAGCAAAAACTTGGGGTGTGAGGAAGACATTCCCTTTTTATTGTCCCCAAGTCCCAGTGACCCTAGACAGATGCCACCCATTGGGTGCCATTGTGACCTGCACCTGTGAAGTGGGGGGCACCTAGAGAATAGGGATTATCCACCATTGCCTATGCCTTTATTTTCCCTACTGTCAGCAACCTTTGAGTTTCCTGAGTCTTATCTATGCCATAGAGCATGGCCTCCTTCCACGAAGCAGGGGTTTAGTCAGCAGGAATGTTCTGCCTATTTACATTGTGCCTGTCACCTAGCTTTGGATTCCTCAGATCTGGTTTTCCTTTCTAGGTCCTGAAGCCTGGAATTGAGTCTGGGACAAAATATTTCAGGGGCTGCATGTATCTAAGTCTCAAATGGGCCCTGCCAGATTTGCAGCTATTAGCCAGCAGGGGTCACTCCTTCATTTTTTCTATCATAAGCAGAGTGCTGGGAAAAGGCACCCTCTCACTTAGAGAAGGGGGAAAAAAAAAGAAAATGGGGAAGGGAAAAAAACCACAGCTTAAGGGACAAAAGGGGGAGGTCCTGGGTGAAGAACCTCCATGCAGGGCCCCAGCGGCAGCTGCAGTTTTCTCCCGCTCTTTGTAGGCATTAGGCATGGCTTGTGTGTACTGCAGACACACCGAGGCACCTGAGCTGGAAGGGAAGGCGCCATGCACCACGTGTACCTGTACCTGCGGCTGTTGGGGTAGGGGTGGGGATGGCACCTCTATGAACAGACCACATGGTTCTGAGCTGCACCTTTTGATGGCTAAGCCAAATGCCATCATTTAATATCATTGCCACAGTCTGTAGCAAAACCGTTAACATTATAAAAGAGATAGGAGCCATTTCAAACCGTGAAAGAAGAGACACCATAACAAAGTCTGGGGGTCTTGGCCAATGGAGTTCAGTGTTGGAATCTTCCAGCAAAAGATGCCTTCAGTTGCCTCAGGGCTTTACTCCAGTCCCATGTGATGGCTAGACCTCTATGAAGGGAAATAGAGCCAATATTCCCTTTACCTCCAGGAAACAGTTGGCAGAGTCTTGGAAGAGACAGAACTGACAGTTCTGCATTTTAACTTGCTTTTTTTGTATCCCAGACAAGCCCCCAGATGAGTTACCTGATCCCCATCGCAGGACATGTGACAAGGGTGTGGCTCATCTGTTTGGCTGTGTGTTCTTAAACCCCTTATGAGAAGGCGAACACATAGACGGGCAGGTGTAGGAGCCAGGGCAAGCACTGTGGGCTCCAGCCCTACAGCAGTGTCTGAGATGGGAGCCTGTGACTCCTGAACCCCAAGTAAGCATGTGTTATGGTGTGCTCAGTGGGATGGGTGGGGAGCTGGAAAGGGGATGGAATGGGAAGATGATCTTCTCCTGCAGTTTGACCATTCAGTGGTCAATCTCCTCTCTGACCACCCCCAGCCAAACTGCTTTCAGCGTTCAGATGCTGCTTCTCTCCTCTCTGCTGTTCTGCCATTCTTCTGTTCATCTCCTCATCTGCTTGTGGGGTCTGGGGTTTATAAGGGTACAGGATAGGGGGGTATGGCAGGCCAAAAGGCAACTTTTGGGTACAAAAATAGGAATGTGTGTTCCCATTTAGGGCCGTGGGTTTCCAGGCTTTGAGGGTGGGGCCTTTGCCAGGGAACATATGTTAGTTAACTCTAAAAACCATTCTGTTGTATAGTTACTTCCTCCTCTATCAGGCCCTGCCTATTCTCAGCAAGAAATATGCTGTCTTTACCCCACATACCATCCTGGCAGCCAGAAGAGGTGAGAGCAGCTCCTGAGGGAATACCTGTTGCTGCACCAAAGTGTTACCTTTTACTGCAGAAAAGTGGGTCACCTCTGAAAGCCCAAAGCATTCAGGGTATTGCAGCTTCAACATCCTCAAGGGCATCCCTTCCCATGCCATGTTTCAGTGTCTCATGTTTTCCTAAATGTGGCCCTGACTTTAGAATAACACTCTTTGCTGAGCTCTCAAACATTTCTGGAGCTCTGTACTTGTAACAGTTGTCTTTAGTCTGCTTCTCAACTGTATCATTGCAGGGGGCTTTCTCTGGTTGCTTACAAAGAGACCCTTAAGTTCTCACGCCTAGCCATTAGCTGTTTAATAGCCCTCAATTGCATTATTCTGCAGGGGCATCAATGTAACTTAGAAGAGATCTAGACCAATGGAACAGAACAGAGCCCTCAGAAATAATGCCACATATCTACAACCATCTGATCTTTGACAAACCTGACAAAAACAAGCAATGGGGAAAGGATTCCCTATTTAATGGTGCTGGGAAAACTGGCTAGCCATATGTAGAAAGCTGAAACTGGATCCCTTCCTTACACCTTATACAAAAATTAATTCAAGATGGATTAAAGACTTACACGTTAGACCTAAAACCATAAAAACCCTAGAAGAAAACCTAGGCAATACCACTCAGAACATAGGCATGGACAAGGACTTCATGTCTAAACCACCAAAAGCAGTGGCAACAAAAGACAAAATTGACAAATGGGATCTAATGAAATTAAAGAGCTTCTGCACAGCAAAAGAAACTACCATCAGAGTGAACAGGCAACCTACAGAATGGGAGAACATTTTTGCAATCTACTCATCTGACAAAGGGCTAATATCCAGAATCCACAATGAACTTAAACAAATCTACAAGAAAAAAACAGTCCCATCAAAAAGTGGGCGAAGGATATGAATAGACACTTCTCAAAAGAAGCGTCTTCTGAAAAGGAAGACAATTATGCAGCCAAAAACACATGAAAAAATGCTCATCACTGGCCATCAGAGAAATGCAAATCAAAACCACAATGTGAGATACCATCTCACACCAGTTAGAATGGCAATCATTAAAAAGTCAGGAAACAGGTGCTGGAGAAGATGTGGAGAAATAGGAACACTTTTACACTGTTGGTGGGACTGTAAACTAGTTCAACCATTGTGGAAGTCAGTGTGGCGATTCCTCAGGGATCTAGAACTAGAAATACCATTGGACCCAGCAATCCCATTACTGGGTATATACCCAAAGGATTATAAATCATACTGCTATAAAGACACATGCACACGTATGTTTATTGTGGCACTATTCACAATAGCGAAGACTTGGAACCAAGCCAAATGTCCAACAGTGATAGACTGGATTAAGAAAATGTGGCACATGTACACCATGGAATACTATGCAGCCATAAAAAATGATGAGTTCATGTCCTTTGTAGGGACATGGATGAAGCTGGAAACCATCATTCTCAGCAAACTATTGCAAGGACAAAAACCAAACACCGCATGTTCTCACTCTTAGGTGGGAATTGAACAATGAGAACACATGGACACAGGAAGGGGAACGTCACACACCGGGGCCTGTTGTGGGGTGGGGGGGAGGGATAGCTTTAGGAGATATACCTAATGTTAAATGATGCGTTGATGGGTGCAGCACACCAACATGGCACATGTATACATATGTAACCTGCACGTTGTGCACATGTACCCTAAAACTTGAAGTATAATAATAAAAAAATCCTCTACTATCTTAGGTCTAATCCCATCTTAGTATCTTACTGAAGGATATGCTTGTGAAGGAGAATGCGGGAGGGAGCTGGAGGAAGTTGAGAGAACTAATGGAAAATGCCAGCCTGACATCTGTAAAGGATTGAGAGAGGATGCTAAGGAAAGATCTATAAACTTTGGCCTTGCTGAAACTTTTAGAAAGTTCCATGTGAGAGTCATGGAGTCATAGTTCCCTGTCAGAAGTGTGCAGTTCCAAATGGGCCTATTCTATGTCCCTATTATGCTGGATCACTGGGAACAGTTTCTGGGAAATGTGGCCTCGGTAGGAGCATGGGGATAGTAGATGGCAGCAGTTAATGCTGTCAGTCAACTGCATTCACTGTAGAAGATCTGGAAGGTACACTTAAAGGTTGCCACAATAATTTCATGGCTTCTTGTATGTTTCATAAGTTGTTTCACCTTTTTATGCTTAGGTGGCCAACTTAATGTCCCTTGGCTACATTTAGATTTCACAACTTCAATATTACAATAAATGAAAGCTAGAATTATATGAACATGCTATTCTATAATCTGACACAGACTGCACAACTTTAGGAAAACGAAGACAAGATTCATTCACATGATAGGCTGAATTCCAAGAAATTCCATAAGTTGGGTCCCAACTCATATCTAATTTCTTCTAGTATACTTTCAGCAAGGTTTCTGTACCTCTCCTGAGGTTAACCTTATTAGATGACATTTTAAAATCACACTAGAGATAATTCTGGGTCATTGTGATTTGCCCTTTCACCCCTGCTCCATAGAGAGCTGGTGAGCACAACTTTGCACTGATTCCAAAAATCTTCCTCTGGTTCCCAACCATGGTGGGATAGGTAAAGCAGAAGACTTATCTTATGATTGCTTTTCCATTCATAGGAAGAATACTCAATTCCTCTAAACTCGGATGAAAGTTTAGGGAAAGCTACTCATTACGGTGTGATAGGATGGAAGTTAGAGATGCATGTAATTGGATCCCTAAATGATCACACATTCCAGATGTCCCATTAGCGGAGTGGTTTCCATTCCATTCTCTGGACTAGCCAAAGAGAAACTAGAAAAGTTTCTCTGGTTTCATGCAGTGCTCTTTCCTTTGCACTTGACTACTCCTTTGGTCAGTTTGGTTTCTACCTAAAGCCTAGTGTATTCAACATTTTCTTGACTTTATGGAGTTGTAGAATTAGTGAGCAGACCTAGATTTACGTTTTGTCCTTCCTCTGGAAACAGCACTGAAAGAAACTGCTTTTTGATCTGTATACTTCTGACTTTAGAAATAATGGGTGTAGCTAATGTCTAAGTGCATGACAACTCAGACCTCCAGGAAAGGCCTTTCAGCACCCTTCCTCAGTTAAGGAAAATGTGGAACAGAGAGGCTTGGAAGCCTTTGAGCTTTAAAAACAAACTTGGCTGAATTCCTGGTTTCACTATTGCTCTCTGAGTGACCTTGGGCAATTCTATCACTTCTGGGAACCTCAATTTCTTCATTTGCAAAATAGAGTAATTCTTACCTTAGTGTGGTTGGGAGGACTATGTCAGTAATCCTGTCAATAGTAACTAAATGCTTTATCCATGTTAGCTCAATGACTAGAACATAGTTAATATTTAATCTGGAGGACAAAGTCAGTGTCTCTATAAACTATATAACTTGCAACTTGTTGCTGATTCATTTTAAGGATGTAGCACACTATCGGCAGGAATCCTACAGATGGGATTAGGGTTTGGGGAGTGTTTCTGTGGGAAAGGGAAGACTTATTTCCACAGAGTCCTCATATGCATCAAGCCTGCAGAGAATACAACAAAGGCAATATTGAGACATGGTAACCTTGTCTCATTTTCCTTCATTGACCTGACAATTTTTTTTCAGGCCACATTCTCTTTCATAAGTATCCCCAAATCTTCTGGGCACATACAAGTGAGTCTTCTAGAACACATTTTTACAGGCAGTTTGAACAGCATCTCAATTAAGAGAGGCTTAACTCAGGAAGGTGTCACCTTGCAGCTAAGGAAACTTCAATTAAATGACTTAGTTTTTTAAATTTACCTTTTAAAGGATATACAGAAAACAAAGAATAGAAAGTATTAATACATAACTTTACAATGTATTACAAATTCCAACCAAATGTGGAGCTAGGCAGCTTAAGTAACTGTATGTAGTTCATAAAGCAAGGGTGTTCTGTCCTATTTCCTCATAAAATATAAACAATAATACCTCATGTCAGGATATTTTCAAGAATTACATGAACAATGCTAAATATTAGCAGCTTGTCGTTATCACGGTTGGTTTACCTTCTTTGTAGCTCAAATATCCTTTAGTTGTAAGTTTTGTATTTTCCACCTTTTAGGACTTAGAGTTGTATACTTTCTTAGAATTCCTTTGGAACTACAAAAGTTGGAGAGCACAGTGCCTAATACTTCAAACTGCTTGTAAAGTTCCTAATGGGAAGCAGCCTACCATATTTAAACACCTTCTCCATGAGCTTATTTGAGAGAGAAGAAAATAGTAATCATCTAATCTTCATTTCTATCCTTGGTATTTGGAGAAGGCTCTCTCGGATCTGCTTGGTGCGAACAGCATAGACAATGGGATTGAGGATTGGAGGAATGAGGAGATAGAAGTTGGCCAGCAGAGTGTGGACTGGAGGAGGCACACACTGACCAAATCGGTGAATCAGGGAAGAAACAGCAATGGGAACATAAAAGATCAGGATGGCACAGAGGTGAGAAGCGCATGTCCCCAGGGTTTTAAGCCTAGCCTCAGGAGTGGCTAACCCCATCACGGCCCTGAAAATCATCACATAGGATGCAGCAATAGCCACTGAGTCCAGGATCAACACCAGAAAGCCGATGCTCAGCCCATAGACATTATTGACCCTGCTGTCGCCACATGTCAAGGCAACTACAGCCATGTGCTCACAGTAGGAGTGGGAGATAACATGGGTTTTATAAAGGGGCAGCCGCAGGCGGATCATCAGAGGCAGAGGTCCAATGTAGAGAACACCCCGGAGGAGAGAAACAAGCCCCAAACGACCCACCACTGTATAAGTGAGCACCATGCTATGACGTAGTGGGTTGCAGATGGCCACGTAGCGATCAAAAGCCATGGCAAGGAAGATGCCTGACTCAACAGTGGCAAAGCAGTGGATAAGGAACATTTGGCCCAAGCAGGCGTCCAGGCCAATGTCACAAGCACCGAACCAGAAGATTCCCAGAAGTTTGGGTATAGTGGAAGTAGACAGAACCAGGTCAATGGCAGCCAACATGCACAAGAAAAAGTACATGGGCTGGTGCAGGCTGCGTTCTATCTTTACCACAGCCAGGATGGTCACATTCCCCACCACAGCCACCAGGTACATGGAGCCAAAGGGGATGGAGAGCCAGACGTGTAGGGACTCCAGCCCTGGGATGCCAGTGAGCCAGAAGGAGCTGGGTACTGAGCAGACATTATGAAAAGTGAGCATGGCTATTTATATGTGAACCTTCTCACTTGTACCACTAAACGCAGCAGGATGTTTTTCCTGGAAATAAAAGACAATATTTTACTCTAAGTTCCTATAATAATAGGGTCACTGACTAGATGTTAGATAAGTCATCTTTAGAAGAAATTCTAGAACGTCAGTGTCACATTATACTAAAATGTTCGCAAAATCTTAGAAAGTACAAGCCAAAACACTCATTTGAATGAAATACATCTTTTTGCAGTATGACCTTCGAGGAGTGATATTCTTGCATCAGTGAATGAACTGACCTAAAGCAAATAACTATCTGGTCATTTACCACTGCAGGTAGGCTATGAGGTGGTGCTTGAGATCATGTTGGAAGGTTTTAGAGTGTACAGCTACTTGAAAGAAAAGGAGATGCACTGAAGTGTCAGAGGGTCAGAGACACCTGGGACTATCTAGGCTCTATGGTAAACCAAAGCTTAAGCCTGGGACCAGAATTGACTACTGGATGAGCTGAAATGTCTAATTTGCAGGCCAAAATCACAAGGCAGAGACTTGGGGTGGTAAAGATGACACCTTCCAGAGGGTATAGAAACAAAGTGATTTCTGAAAGATGAAAGCTGACCAAAGCTCAGTTTATGCGTATTTGATACCCAAAGGCAAAGCCTGGCAAGGGCCTCCTCCCTTCATGAAGACTGAATATGAAGAAAAGGCTCCAGAAACAGAGGGTTATCAGCAGGGAGGAAGAAGACATTCAGTGCAGAGTAGCATGAAGCCTAAGACAAATGTTTGGCCATGAAACACCCTTACTTGAAGTCCAGAGCAACTCACTAAAAAGATGTCAATTTAAAGCAAATACATGAAAACAATGTGTTGTCTGATTTTTTTTTTTTAAATCTTTGTCTAAAAGACTATACCAGAATGTGTTCCTTATATATCAGAGGAATACGAAAGGTGAGGAGCGTGTAAGAAGTTTAATGCAGTACATCTTAAGCCTAGTTAGGTTGATTACAGAATAGTCAGCAATCTGGGCTTAGGACTTTTCTAGATCTGTCTTCAGATCTTGGCAGTGAGAGCTTAGGTGAACTGCTTTATCCCATTAGTGAAATACAACTAACTACACTTTGCAACAAACTTAAAGCCATGGCCTAGAGAAGTTGTCATGACTAAATGAAAATGCAGGGCCTGACAGTAACACTAAGCATTAGTTCTTTATTCTGTTGAGACTAACATGCAAAGCCAAAAATGTTCAAACTTCAAAAGACTCTGGAATGTCTATCTCCAGGAAGCTGTGGTGCTTGGGAGGGTGACTGCTGTAAGTCTGACATTATCCCATAAAACCTCTCCATAAGCTGGGCTCACCTTCAGATTCTCAAAGATTATGACAAGTAGACATAATGTTGGCAATAACTGCAAAATAGGGAAAATAAAAAGGCTGAGTCATTGGGGCTGGGAAGGAAAGGAGTACACAGGAAGTGGCCTGTGAAGTCATCAGGTAGAATGGAGTGATGGATTTAGTTGGAAGGAGGTGGCTTGGCTTCCTTAACCTATATTCTGGTTGTTCTTCACTTGCACTCTCCATTTGCATAGATCCCTGTTCTATGTCTCAGATGCTATATTTTACTCATGGGCTGTATCACCCAGATTCCCTTGTCCTCTATTTTCCAGGTGGGCTCAGTCAATGTGAGGCACTAACAGGAGATATGAGGGTAAAACCAGAGATTAGAGACCTACTCTCTAGTTCCCTTCCTACCAGCTATGTTTGGCAGTGTCTTGGTCTTCTACCAAAGGCCCCAGCTCCTGAAGTGACCCTTTGTGTTTTCTGGTAACCATGCCCTGCTTTGCCCGGTCAGTTCTAGGCTAAGTTGTGCTGCTTACTGTTAGTCCCAGTGCCTCCCCATCCCTTGTCAAGTTCCTTAACTCTTGTCAAGCCTCTGCAGATAGTCCCTTCAACTGCCCCTTTGACTATGCCACTTGTTATTTCATGAATATATCAGACCAGATCCCAACAGTATATAATCTTTACCCAGTATTATCTCTTGACAAGAAGATTGCTTCCTCAGTAGGACACAGAATCTGAAAGTTGACAAGTCACAGAACTAATCCTAAAGGCAAAAGAGCTATAAACTCATGACAATCGGGGGCTAGATAATCTTTCCTCTGATATTTAGATTTACAATAAAGGGAGACTTTTCTATTTTACTTGTATGTCTAATCAAATGGCTTTTATAGCTTGAATATGTCCTACTAAGCAAAGCTGTAATGTGGAAAAGTTTTGTTCTACTCCAGAAATGTAGAGTTCTTGAATGGAAAAATTAACAGGACTCAACCAAGTGGATTTTTCTGTTGCCAAGATTCCTAAGTACAGCTATTACCCCTCCTATATTAGTGAGAAAGCTGTTTCAGGGTCCATCTTTCCTTCTAATGCAATTTGAATCCCTTCACTTTTTCCCTGGCAAATGGCTCCCTTCTAGATTTGTGCAGAGATCATGTTATAGGAGGAACTTACAGGCACAAATCACAGATGAGACCAAGTGTGAACTGGTCTCATCTGTGATCTGAATTGCTTGGTGAATTGTGGACACAAGAGGAAGTGACTTTTCATGAAATCCAATAGGTGTCTCTGGTATCACAGACCTTGTTCCAGCCATGTCAGATGTCCCCTCTGGACTGACCTGGAACTCTGGAGAAGGTAGAATTTATCTTCTCTCGCTTTCCTTCCTCATACCTGACAACATACAGGGCTGTTTCTTGATGGATACCCCCATTTCATCTCTTCCTATTCATTTCTGGGAACATGTTGTGAAACTGAAGAGCATATCCTTGACTAGAGAGATGCACTTCAGCTACTACATGGGGAGGACCGACTCTTGGGATAAGTTTTTGACCCCTGTCTTTTCCCCTAAGATCCTAACACTGAGAGTAGCTCTTTAATTCATACCTCATTTGTCAGGAGCAGTTCTCATACCTTAAATACAGTAGTCTACTGCAGCTTCTGTGCAAGGATGCTATGAGCATAAGCATTCTGCAAAGCAACCTCTCATCTGAGTGATCCATCCAAACACATCCACCATAACCTGCCATGGCTTTTACCATTCCTCATCCTGCTTACTACCGTCCAGTGAGACTGCATTTGTGTTTCCCAACTGCAACATGTCCTTTTGCTTCTGAGAAGAATACATGTTCTTTCCTGATACTGAAATGACGTTCTTCCTTCCTCTCTCGCCTAGTGAATCCTTACATGTTCACCTTGCCATAGCTTAGATATCCACTTTAATGAACCTTGCCTTGATTCTTGGTTCCACGCCCTATTTCTGTACTGTCTGAATAGTTCTCTGAATTGTCTTCTGATGTATCTTTCCCCAAACAGAATAAGTTCTAATAGAGTGGTGATCTTGCCTGTCTTACTAGAAGTCATGTGCTAGCACAGTACCTGGCTCTGTTGAATAAGAATAAAATAAAATAAAATTTAAAGAACATGGTGATGTATTCAAAGGTCTTGTATTGTCATTAGTGAACTAGAGGCTTCATCAGTCTCCTTGTTTGTGGCTCTGTGGGAACTCTACCCATTCTAAATCCCCTTCCCAGAGAATGCCTTTCCTGAGTCTTGCCTTAGACTTAAAGGAGTATGAGCTAAGTTGACTGCCCAAGGTCTATTCATTCTTAAGCTGGGAACTCCTCCCTATGACCCCTATTCTTTTTCTATATCATTCTTTGTAAGATGTTCTTACCTGGGCTGGGTCATGTCAGTAAGAGCCTGGGGCTCTACAAATGCCTCAGAGACCTTGCACTTATAAGCATTCTGCTCAGGTGTCTAGGGAATTCCATCTGGGATCTGAGCCCTCCCCACTTTCCTCAATATAGAAAGTTAATAGCAGGCTTTGTCCTAGAAGGATGAGCACAGAATCTAAACTTAAGATACAGCTGTTCCTGGCATGCCAGGGTTGGTCCAGAAGGAAGGAACAGACCCATTAACTGAGACATAATCCCTTGTATCCAAGTCCCCTTGTTTCTTGCATCTGGCCTTCCTAGTATCTGCAGCTATTCTAGGGACACCAAGTAGAAATCAAAGACCTTCCCAGGGTGGGGACGAGTTTCCTGGGACTCAGGCTGAACTCCAGTCCCCTATCTGTCTAAAGTCTAATCTCTTCACAGTATTAGGGGGTGATGGTAGGGTCCTAAATTATTTAAGACAACTGAATAGCAACTCTTCAAAATTAGATACTGAAGAGATTTTTCCCCCACTCCAGTTTATATTGTGGAAAGGACTCTCCTTGTGGGTGGAATGGTAGATCTCCTTCACATCTTTTTGAATGAAACCTTCTCTAACATCCGTTTTCTCAGTGAAAAACTGAAGAAGCAGTTTTTTTCTTCAAGTGTTCCAATAGGATGTTCATGGGTTGGAGCGTCACACTTCAGGATGTGTGACAAGGCATGGCCTCTGAAGCTTCAAAGGCTTGAGTTTGCAAAGCTAGCCCAGTTACATACTCACTATGTGACCTCAAGCAAGTTACATCATTTCCAGTTCTTCAAGCATAAATTGAATAATCTGTTTGGATAGTAGTTATAACTTGGATATTGCATATGAAGGGCCTAGTAAGACAAACATGACAAATGCTTAAACAGCATTATCAACATTACTGCTGTCCCTGTGTCTTCAGGAAGGGCTAGCTCTAAGCCTGGGAGATACAACCTGACCTTCTCTTTCAGGCTAGGAGCTAATATAGTCAGGGAAGGGGGCTAATGCAGTAGAATCATTATGTGAAGGATCTCATTTTCACTTCCACTCCCCTTTCAGAGGGTTCTAACTCTATAGAACCTCGGGAGAAGCTGGGAACTTCCAGAAGCTTGCAACCTGCTCCCCAAGCTTACATTTTACATTCTGTGTGAAATTGCTGGTAGTGGCCAAAATATACAGGATCCTTCTATCCTGCATGTATGCTGTACCCTTAGTCCTACTTTTTTATTTGGCTGTCAGTCTATACAGATTCATATCTAGATTTTGAAATTCATATCCAGATTCATATCTAGCATTTACCACCTCCAGTGGATAAACTCTGCTTTGACAAACTTAGTATCTGTCTATTCTGTATCTGGATGCCTTGTACAACATTTGAAAACTAAAAGTAGCCAATAAACCAACGTACTTGTTGAATTATCCTTAAGGTTACAGTAAGTCCTCATCCCTTAATTTGATGCACAAACTTTCAAAACCTCATTGTTCCAACTTAAGGGAGATATGCCTCAGATGTGCAGGAAAAAGTGTTACCTTTCACTATAGGAAAATATCTTAAGTTACACAGAAGAGATACATATTCAGTCTTGGAAACAGATCTGAATCAGAAGCAAACATTGACATTCTAACACTGTCCCCATTCTAACACTGTCCAGGAGAGGGCACCCTGGCCCCCAAATGAGATTATGCCACTGGCTGACGGGGCTCTGCAACACAAACATAGAGCTTGGTGTCGTTAAATATCTTAAACCTTCATTTGAATGCAACTACTCAGATTTTCCCATTCAATCCTATTTTATAGCTAGGTCTCCCATATGTGGGTCAATCAAAGATGAAAAGTCAGACCAACACAATACCAACAACAACAAGTTGAATATTGAATATTGGACTCTCAGTCTATAACTTTATCAGTTCAGTGTTATAATTTCTCTGAAATAAACATTGTTCATGTTCAATTCTAGAATAAAATTCTAAACTTGTTAGCCCAGATGCTTAATTGGAGTACATGGAGATATAAATACCAACTGAGGGACTTATATACATCTCTGAAGCCTGCGAATTTCCCTCAAATGGGAATACTGATGCTATAATAGGGAAAGCATTTTTCTTAAAGCCACCTTCCCAGCCTCACAAGAAGTACATCCAGGATTCTGGCTCTGAGATCAAACTTGAGCTCATTCTTGTCCATGACAGAAGTGGTATACTGCCATGGTTGAGTATAGACCACAGCCCCAGTGCCAGTTCTGACACTTACAAGATTTGTCTTTGACCAAGTTATGCCTAAATCTTTAGACTTCCTTTTTCACCCCGATCTCCATTCCTAAGTCTCATTTATTTTATTTCAATAATTTTTGGAAAGCGGGGGGTTTTGGTTACATGGGTTAGTGGTGATTTCTGAGACTTGGTGCACCTGTCACCTAAGCAGTAAATGCTGGACCCAGTGTGTAGCCTTCTATTCCTCACTCCCTCCCATCCTTCCTCACGGAGTCCCCAAAGTCCATTATATCATCCTTATGACTTTGCATCCTCATAGCTTAGCTCCCACTTATAAGTGAGGACATACAATATTTGGTTTTTCATTCCTGAATTACTGTCACTGAGAACAAGGGTCTCCAACTTTATTCAGGTTGCTGCAAATGCCATTATTTCACTCCTTTTTCTGGCTGAGTTGTATCCCATATTATGTATGTATACGCACCAATTTTCTCTATCTACTTGTTGGCTGATGGACATGTAGGCTGGTCCCACATTTTTGCAATTGTGAATTGGGCTGCTATAAACGTATATACAAATGTCTTCTTTATGTAATGTCTGATTGCTTTTGTGAGTTTACCTTCTGCAGGAACAACCCTATGAGAGAACAACTGTTTTTGAAACAGGGCCTCACTTTGCTGCCCAGGCTGGAGTGCAGCAGCACGAACATAGCTCACCACAGCCCCAACCTCCTGGGCTGAAGCTCATCCTCCTAAGCAGCTGGGACCAGAGGAACATGCCACCACACCCAGCTAATTTTTAATGAGATGTGAACTTCTTTAATCTCCACTTCTCAGATCAGAGATGTGAAGTACAGTCTAAGCAATTTGCCTAAGATTTCCACAGTGGTTAAAAGCAAAAGTTTTGGGTTTGTGTGCCCTAGGTTCAAATTCTACATCTTCCTTACATTGCGTGTACTGTGTTCTCAACTTTCTGGAACTCTTCCATAAATACTTATAAAATGTCAAACATTCCAAAACTACAACAGTGGGGGAAGGGGGAGCTTTTTAATCAAGAACAGTACTTACTCTTAGCCCTCAATGGTGGTCAATCTCTGTCTCATGCACCTCAATACAAAACAGATAAGTTTGGGGTTACTTATTACTGTTTCCAGAGTTTTGTTCTTCCATCTTTTGTCAAAAGCTCATGACCATATGGCATTAGCTGCAAATGTCACCCTTTTATTCCTCCTTACTTAAAGACATGTTGAAACTTATGGAAGAACATCATTGAGGATTTTTCTACCTGGATAAGCTTTCTACTTCATCCCAGTTTCTGGTATCCATGGAGAAGACTTAGACTCTGCAGACAAACCGTTCAACTCCATAACTGACTTCTGAACCTCCTCAGTCCCACTTTCATTTTTTTAAATTATACTTTAAGTTCTAGGGTACATGTGCACAACATGTAGGTTTGTTACATATGTATACATGTGCTGTGTTCGTTTGCTGCACCCGTTAACTCGTCATTTACATTAGGTATTTCTCCTAATGCTATCCCTCCCTCATCCCCCCACCCAACAGGCCCCGGAGTGTGATGTTCCCCACACTGTGTCCAAGTGTTCTCATTGTTCAGTTCCCACCCATGAGTGAGAACATGCAGTGTTTGATTTTCTGTCCTTGCAATAGTTTGCTCAGAATGATGGTTTCCAGCTTTATCCATGTCCCTACAAAGGACATGAACTCATCCTTTTTTATGACTGCATAGTATTCCATGGTGTATATGTGCCACATTTTCTTAATCCAGTCTATCATTGATGGACATCTGGGTTGGTTCCAAGTCTTTGCTATTGTGAATAGTGCCACAATAAACATACGTGTGCATGTGTCTTTATAGTAGCATGATTTATAATCCTTTGGGCATATACCCACTCATAGGATTGCTGGGTCAGATGGTATTTCTAGTTTTAGATCCCTGAGGAATCACCACACTGTCTTCCATAATGGCTGAACTAGTTTACACTCCCACCAACAGTGTAAAAGTGTTACCATTTCTCCACATCCTATCACCTGTTGTTTCCTAACTTTTTAATGATCACCATTGTAACTGGTGTGAGATGATATCTCATTGTGGTTTTGATTTGCATTTATCTGATGACCAATTGTTTTCATGTGTCTGTTGGCTACATAAATGTTGTCTTTTGAGAAGTGTCTGTTCATATCCTTTGTCCACTTGTTGATGAGGTTGTTTGATTTTTTTTTTTTGTATATTTAAGTTCTTTGTAGATTCTGGATATTAGCCCTTTGTCAGACGGGTAGATGGCAAAAGTTTTCTCCCATTCTGTAGGTTGCCTGTTCACTGAGATGGTAGTTTCTTTTGCTGTGCAGAAGCACTTTAGTTTAATTAGATACCATTTGTCCATTTTGGCTTTTGTTGCCATTGCTTTTGGTGTTTTAGTCATGAAGTCTTTGCCCATACCTATGTCCTGAATGGTATTGCCTAGGTTTTCCTCTAGGGGTTTTTATGGTTTTTATGGTTTTAATCCATCTTGAATTGTTGTGTAAGTTGTAAGGAAAGGATCCAGTTTCAGCTTTCTACATATGGCTAGCCCATTTTCCTGGCACCATTTATTAAATAGGGAATCCTTTCCCCATTGCTTGTTTTTGTCAGGTTTGTCAAAGATCAGATGGTTGTAGATATGTGGTGTTATTTCTGAGGGCTCTGTTCTGTTCCATTGGTCTAGATCTCTGTTTTGGTACCAGTACCATGCTGTTTTGGTTACTGTAGCCTTGTAGTATAGCTTGAAGTCAGGTAGCCTGATGCCTCCAACTTTCTTTTTGCTTAGGATTATCTTGGCAATGCAGGCTCTTTTTTGGTTCCATATGAACTTTAAAGTAGTTTTTTCCAATTCTGCAAAGAAAGTCAGTGGTAGCTTCATGGGGATGGCATTGAATCTGTAAATTACCTTGGGCAGTGTGGCCATTTTCACGATATTGATTCTTCCTATCCATGAGCATGGAATGTTCTTCCATTTGTTTGTATCCTCTTTTATTTCACTGAGCAGTAGGTTATAGTTCTCCTTGAAGAGGTCCTTCACATCCCTTGTAAGTTGGATTCCTAGGTATTTTATTCTCTTTGAAGCAATTGTGAATGGGAGTTCACTCGTGATTTGGCTCTGTTTGTCTCTTATTGGTGAATAGGAATGCTTGTGTTTTTGCACATTGATTTTGTATCCTGAGACTTTGCTGAAGTTGCCTATCAGCTTAAGGAGATTTTGGGCTGAGATGATGGGGTTTTCTCAATATACAATCGTGTCATCTGCAAACTGGGACAATTTGACTTCCTCTTTTCCTACTTGAATACCCTTTATTTCCTTCTCCTGCCTGATTTCCCTGGCCAGAACTTCCAACACTATGTTGAAATAGGAGTGGTGAGAGAAGGTATCCCTGTCTTGTGCCAGTTTTCAAAGGGAATGCTTCCAGTTTTTGCCCACTCAGTATGATACTGGCTGTGGGTTTGTCATAAACAGCTTATTTTGAGACACATTCCATCAATACCTAGTTTATTGAGAGTTTTTAGCATGAAGGACTGTTGCAGAAAAGGCCTTTGACAAAATTCATCTATTGAGATAATCATGTGGTTTTTGTCTTTGGTTCTGTTTATGTGATGGATTACATTTATTGACTTGCATATGTTGAACCAACCCTGCATCCCAGGGATGAAGCCCACTTGATCATGGTGGATAAGCTTTTTGATGTGCTGCTGGATTCGGTTTGCCAGTATTTTATTGAGGATTTTCACATCGATGTTCATCAGGGATATTGGTCTAAAATTCTTCCTTTTGTTGTGTCTCTGCCAGTCTTTGGTATCAGGATGATGCTAGCCTCATAAAATGAGTTAGGGAGGATTCCCTCTCTATCGATTGGAATAGTTTTAAAAGGAATGGAACCAGCTCCTCTTTGTACCTCTGGTAGAATTTGGCTGTGAATCCAACTGGTCCTGGACTTCTTTTGGTTGGTAGGCTATTAATTATTGCCTCAATTTCAGAGCCCATTACTGTTCTTTTCAGGGATTCAACTTCTTCCTGTTTAGTCTTGGGAGGGAGTATGTGTCCAGGAATTTATTCATTTCTTCTAGATTTTCTAGTTTATTTGCATAGAGGCATTTATAGTATTCTGTGATGGTAGTTTACATTTCTGTGGGATTGGTGGTGATATCTCCTTTACCATTTTTTATTGTGTCTATTTGATTTTTGTCTTTTTTTTTTTTTTTTTTTTTTTTTTTTTTTTTTTTTTTTTTTGACAGAGTCTCGCTCTGTCCCCCAGGCTGGAGTGCAGTGGCACTATCTTGGCTCACTGCAAGCTTCACCTCCCAGGTTCATGCCATTTTCCTGTCTCAGCCTCCCGAGTAACTGGGACTACAGGCGCCCGCCACCATGCCTGCCTAATTTTTTCATATTTTTGATAGAGACACGGTTTCACTGTGTTAGCCAGGATGGTCTTGATCTCCTGACCTGGTGATCCGCCCGCCTCGGCCTCCCAAAGTGCTGGGATTACAAGCGTGAGCTATCGCGCCCCGCATCTTTTTTTTTTTTTTTCTTTATTAGTCTTGCTAGCGGTCTATCAATTTTGTTGATCTTTTAAAGAAAAAACAGCTCCTGGATTCATTGACTTTTTTTTTTTTAAGGGTTTTTTGTGTCTCTATCTCCTTCAGTTCTGCTCTGGTCTTAGCTATTTCTCGTCTTCTGCTAGCTTTTGAATTTGTTTGCTCTTCTCTAGTTTTTAATTGTGATGGTAGGGTGTCGATTTTAGATCTTTCTTGCTTTCTCTTGTGGGCATTTAGTGCTATAAATTACCCTCTACACATGGCTTTAAATGTATCCCAGAGATTCTGGTTCATTGTGTCTTCATTCTCATTGGTTTCAAAGAACATCTTTATTTCTGCCTTCATTTTGTTGTGTACCCAGTAGTCATTCAGGAGCAGGTTGTTCAGTTTCCATGTAGTTGAGCCGTTGTGAGTGAGTTTTTTAATGCTGAGTTCTAATTTGATTGCACTGTGGTCTGAGAGCCAGTTTGTTGTGATTTCTGTTTTTACATTTGCTGAGGAGTGCTTTACTTCCAACTATGTGGTCAATTTTGGAATAAGTGCGATGTGGTGCTGAGAATAATGTATAGTCTGTTGATTTGGGGTGGAGAGTTCTGTAGATGTCTAGGAGGTCTGCTTGGTCCAGAGCTGAGTTCAAGTCCTGGATATCCTTGTTAAACTTCTGTCTCATTGATCTGTCTAATATTGACAGTGGGGTGTTAAAGTCTCCCATTATTATTGTGTGGGAGTCTGTCTTTGTAGGTCTCTCAGGACTTGTTTTATGAATATGGGTGCTTCTGTATTGGGTGCATATATATTTAGGATAGTTAGCTCTTGTTGAATTGATCCCTTTACCATTATGTAATGGCCTTCTTTGTCTCTTTTGATCTTTGTTGGTTTAAAGTCCGCTTTATCAGAGACTAGGATTGCAACCCCTGCTTTTGTTTTCCATTTGCTTGGTAGATCTTCCTCTATCCCTTTATTTTGAGTCTTTGTGTGTCTTTGCACATAAGATGGGTCTCCTGAATACAGTACACTGATGGGTCTTGACTCTATCCAATTTGCCACTCTGTGTATTTTAATTGGGACATTTAGCCTGTTTACATTTAAGGTTAATACTGTTATGTGTGAATCTGATCCTGTCATTATGATGTTAGCTGGTTATTTGCCCGTTATTTGACTCAGTATCTTCCTAGCGTCGATGGTCTTTACAATTTGTCATGTTTTTGCAGTGGCTGGTACCGGTTGTTCCTTTCCATGTTCATTGCTTCCTTCAGGAGCTCTTGTAAGGCAGGCCTGGTGGTGTCAAAATCCCTCAGCATTTGCTTGTCTGTAAAGGATTGTATTTCTCCTTCACTTATGAAGCTTAGTTTGGCTGGATATGAAATTCTGGGTTGAAAATTATTTTAAGAATGTTGAATATTGGCCCCCACTCTCTTCTGGCTTGTAGGGTTTCTGCTGAGAGATCAGCTGTTAGTCTGATGGGTTCCCCTTTGTGAGTAACCTGACCTTTCTTTCTGGCTGCCTCTAGCATTTTTTCCTTCATTTCAACCTTGGTGAATCTGACAATTAGGTGTCTTGGGGCTGTTCTTCTCGAGGAGTATCTTTTGTGGTGGTCTCTGTATTTCCTGAATTTGAATGTTGGCCTGCCTTGCCAGGTTGGGAAAGTTCTCCTGGATATCCTGAAGAGTGTTTTCCAGCTTGGTTCCATTCTCCCCATCACTTTCAGGTACACCAATCAAATGTAGATTTGGTCTTTTCACATAGTCCCATATTTCTTGGAGGCTTTGTTCCTTTCTTTTTACTCTTTTTTTCTCTAAACTTCTCTTGCATCATTTCATTCATTTGATCTTCAATCACTGATACCCTTTCTTCTACTTGATCAAATTGGCTACTGAAATTGTGACTGCATCACGTAGTTCTCTTGCATGGTTTTCAGCTCCATCAGGTCATTTAAGGTCTTCTCTACACTGTTTATTCTAGTTAGCCATTCGTCTAATCTTTTTTCAAGGTCTTAGCTTCCTTGCGATGGGTTTGAACATCCTCCTTTAGCTCAGAGAAGTTTGTTATTACCGACTTTCTGAAGCCTACTTCTGTCAACTCATCAGTCATTCTCCATCCTGCTTTGTTCCATTGCTGGCAAGGCGCTGTGATCTTTTGGAGGAGAAGGGGTGCTCTGGTTTTTAGAATTTTCAGCTTTTCTGCTCTGGTTTCTCCCCATGTTTGTGGTTTTATCTACCTTTGTTCTTTGGTGACCTACAGATGGGGTTTTGGTGTGGATGTCCTTTTTGTTGATGTTGATGCTATTCCTTTCTGTTTGTTAGTTTTCTTTCTAACTGTCAGGTCCCTCAGCTGCAGGTCTGTTGGAGTTTGCTGGAGGTCCACTCCAGATGCTGTTTGCCTGGGTATCATCAGTGGAGGCTGCAGAACAGCAAATGCTGCAGAACAGCAAATGCTGCAGAACAGCAAATATTGCAGCCTGATCCTTCCTCTGGAAGCTTTGTCTCAGAGGGGCACCCAGCTGTATGAGATGTCAGTTGGCCCCTACTGGGAAGTATCTCCAAGTTAGGCTATGCAAGGGTCAGGGACCCACTTGCGGAGGCAGTCTATCCGTTCTCAGAGCTCAAATACCATGCTGGGAGAACCACTGCTCTCTTCAGAGCTGTCAGACAGGGACGTTTAAGTCTGCAGGATTTTCTGCTGCCTTTTGTTCAGCTATGCCCTGCCCCCAGAGGTGGAGTGTACAGAAGCAGGCAGGCTGCTTTGAGCTGTAGTGGGCTCTATCCAGTTGGAGCTTCCCGGCAGCTTTGTTTACCTATTCAAGCCTCAGCAATGGTGGACGCCCCTCCCCCAGCCAGGCTTGCCGCCTCACAGTTGAATCTCAGACTAGCAGCGAGCAAGGCTCCGTAGGCGTGGGTCCTGCTGAGCCAGGCACGGGTTATAATCTCCTGGTC
Source organism: Homo sapiens (assembly GCF_000001405.40). NCBI lineage: Eukaryota > Metazoa > Chordata > Mammalia > Primates > Hominidae > Homo > Homo sapiens. The sequence continues at coordinate 4,531,741 of NC_000011.10, read as the reverse complement.
TGCCGTTTGCTAAGACTGTTGGAAAAGCACAGTGTTTAGGTGGCAGTGCCCGGATTTCCCTGTACAATCTGTCACTGCTTCCCTTGGTGCTAGGAAAGGGAAATCCCCTGACCCCTTGCACTTCCCAGGTGAGGTGATGCCCTGCCCTGCTTCAGCTCACCCTCCGTGGGCTGTACCCACTGTCCAACCAGTCCCGGTGAGATGAACCAGATACCTCAGTTGGAAATGCAGAAATCACCCATCGTCCGCACTCATCACTCTGGGAGCTGCAGACCGGAGCTGTTCCTATTTAGCCATCTTGGAATGCTCCTCCCCACTTTCATTTTCATTTTGGTTTAGTGACCCCTATGAAATTCAGGGTAAATATAAAATTTTACCATCTGAACAGGAAGTTTTTATCCATATTTTAAGTTTTAAAACATGTTCTGATACATAATGAAATTATTACTGCAGCCAAATGAACAATATATCATCTCACAGAATTACCTGTCCTTGTGGTAAGAATGCCAAAAATCTACTCTTAGAAAATTAGTAAATATTTCATTATACAAATACAGGCCTCGTGTTATACAAAAGCTCTCTAGGCTTATTCATCCTTTATAGCAGCAACTTTGTACCCTTGACCTACATCTCCCTGTTTCTTCTCCTTCGCTGCTCTGGGTAACTAGTTCTACACTCCATTTCTGTCTTTGACATTTTCTAAATTTCACATATATTTCTGTGTCTGACTTATTTCACTTACATGAACTTGAGGGACATCATGCTACCATCACAAATGGCAGTATCTAATAATGCTACAACTTCTCTAGCCATTCATCTGTCAATTGACACATAGGTTTATTCCATGTCTTGGCTATTGTGAATAGCAAGTTTATGAACATGGAAGTGTGCTTATCTCTGCAAGGTGCTGATTTCATGCCCTTTGAGTAAATACCAAGTAGAGGGATTCCTGGGTCTTATGTTCTGTAAACTACATGGACGTTCCTCAAGAGGTTTTCTATAATGGCTGATATGGTTTGGATTTGGCCAAATCTCATGTCAAATTGGAGGAGGGGCCTGCTGGGAGGTGATTGCATCATGGGGGCTGATTTCCCCCCACCCCCCTCCCGCAATGTTCTTGTGATAGTGAGTACTCAAAAGATTTGGTGGCTTAAAAGTGTGTGGCACTTTTGCCTTCACACTCTTTCCTGCCGTGTGAAGAAAGTGCTTGCTTTCCCTTTGCCTTCCACCATGATTGTAACTTTCCTATGGCCTCCCAGTCATGCTTCCTGTTAAATCTGTGAGACTGAGTCAAATCTCTTCTTAAATTACCCGGTCTCAGATAGCACTTTATAGCAGTGTGTAAGGACAGACTGATAGAATGGTCAATACCAATTTGCATTTCATCAACAGCATATAAGGGCTTTCTTTTCTCCTTTACATGGCCTACAGAAAGACTTAGACAACCATGAAACAATAGTCGGAGATTTCAACACCCCACCAATAGCATTAGACAGATCATTGAGGCAGAAACTAACAAACTCTGGACTTAAACTCAGCACTCAGCCAACTGGACCTAATAGACATCTACAGAATACCCCATAACCATAGAATATGTTCTTCTCATCTTCACATGGACCATATTGAGATTAACCACATGCTTGGTCATGAAGCAAGTCTCAAATTCAAAAAAATGAAATCATACCAAGCACACCGTTGGATCACAGGTCAATAAAAATGGAAACCAATATCAAGAACCCTCAACTACACAAATGCGTGGAAACTAAACAACTTACTCCTCAATAACTCCTAAGCAAACATCTAAATTAAGGCAGAAACTTAAAATTCTTTGAAATTAACAAAGATGGGGATACAGCTTACCAAAATCTCTAAGATGCAGCCAAAGCAGTGTTAAGAGAAAAGTTTATAGCCCTAAATACCTTCAAGAAGTTGCAAAGGGCTCAAACTGACAATCTAACTTTGTACTTAAAAAGGACTAGAAAAAAAAATTCCCGGTGCTAGCAGAAGAAAAACATTAGAGAAGAACCTAATGAAATTGAGATATAAAAAAATCCAAACAAAAGATCAATAAACCCAAGAATTCTTTGGGGGAAGAAAACACAACTAATGGACCCTTAGCTAGATTAAGAGATCCAAATATGCATAATCAAATAACAAAGATAATATTACAACTGATCCCACAGAAATACAGAAGATCCCCAGAGACTACTATGAATGTCTTCAGGCACACAAATTAGAAAATTCATAGTGAATCAAGAGATTGAAACCCTGAAAAGACCAGTATCAAACTTCAGAAATTGAATCAGTAGTAGAGAAGTTGTTAATCAATGTTAATGTCCACAATATGATTTATGGCCCAAACTGTGGTCTACTTGGTGAATATTCTATTAGAGCTTAAAGAATGTGTATTCTTCTGTTTAAATATATTATATGCATTTTGATTGAATACTGTTGGTTAAAATATGTTCAGTGTTAACTATGGCTTTTCTATTTTTTTCCCCACACACTTATCTGCTGGATGCATTACTGAGGGAGAAAGGTATTAATCTCAACCTTTAATAATGGATTTACCTATTTCAGTTCAGTTTTTTGCCTCACATATCTTGATCTATTGTGGGTTCATACACATTAAAAATTTGTCTTTTCATAGACTTGACCTCATTATCATACATTCCTTTTTATGCCTGATATTTATTTCTCTGGAGTTTGCTTTGACTTGAGTTAATATAGCTATTCCAGATTGATTCTTTTAATTTTTTAATTTTTAATTTTTGTGAGTACATAGTAGGGTACATATTTTAATAAGGTAAATAAGATGTTTTAATACAGACATGCAATACGTAATACATCATGGAGAATGGGGTATCCAATGCCTCAAGCATTTATCCTTTGTGTTAAACAATTCAATTAGTTACTTTAAAATGTACTATTATTGTTAACTAGTCACCCTGTTGTGCTATTAAATAATGTATTTTATTCATCCTATTTTTTTTACCCATTCGCCATCCCCACCTTCATCCTACCCCTGCTGTAACCTTCCCAATCCCACAGATAATTAAGAACATACAATATCTGTCTTTCTGTGCCTGTCCTCTTTCACCATAGATGGAATTTCCATTTCCATCTATGTTGTTGCAAGTAACAGGATTCCTACACACAATGGAGCACTATTCATTTATATGTGCCACACTTACTTTATTCATCTGTTGATGGACACTTAGGTTGCTTCTGAATCTTCACTATTGTGAATAGTGCTTCAAGAAACATGGGAATAAAAAAGACGTCTTCAATATACTGATATCCTTTCTTTTGGATATTGTATTAGTCTGTTTTCACACTACTATAAAGAATAGCTGAGACTGGTTAATTTATAAAGGAAAGAAGTTTAATTGATTAAAAGTTCTGCCTGGCTGGGGGAGGTCTCAGGAAACTTATGGCAGAAGGCATGGGGAAAGCAGGCATCTTCTTCACAAAGCAGCAGAAGAGATAGCAAGCAGGGGGAATTGCCAAACACTCTTAAACCATCAGATTTCATGAGAACTCTCTCACTATCATGAGAACAGCATGAGGGAAACTGCCCTCATGATCCGATTGCCTCGCACTAGATCCCTTCCTCAACATGTGGGGATTACAAATTGAGATGAGATGTGGGTGGGGACACAGCAAAATTACATCAGCTATATACCCAGCAGTGGATTGCTGGACCATATGGTAGCCCTATTTTTAGTTTTTTGAAGAACCTCCAAACTATTCTCTAGAGTGGTTGTACTAATTTACATTCCCATCAACAGTGAATGAGGGTTCCCTTTTCTCCACATCCTCACCAGCATTTGTTATTGCCTGTCTTTTTTATGTAAGGTATTTTAACTGGGGTGAGATGACATCCCTTTATAGTTTTGATTTTCATTTCTCTGATCAATAATGTTTAGTGCCTTTTCATGCCTGTTTGCCATTTGTATGTCATCTTTTGAGAAAGGTCTATTCAAATCTTTTGCCCTTTTTTGGTTCAGGTTATTAGATTTTATTTCCTATAGAGTTTGAGCTCCTTATCTATTCTGGCTATTAATCAGATGCATCATTTGACTTTTTTAAAGTTTTTCATCTTTTTTGATGTGTGCAGTTACAGCTATAAACTTCCCTCATGCTGCCTTCACTGTATCCTGTGAATTTTGGCACGTTGTTTCTATTTGTTTCAAGAAATTTTTCAATTTAATTTTGTCATTGACCACTGGTCATTCAGAAGCATATTGTTAAATTTCCCTGTAGTTGTATAGTTTCTAAAATTCTTCTTGTTATTAACTTCTAGTTTTAGTTCACAGCTGCCAGAAGATGCTTGACATTTGCATTAGTCAGGGTTCTCTAGAGAGACAGAACTAATAGGATAATTGTCTATATGAAGGGGAGTCTATTAAGGAGTATTGACTCACATGATCCCAAGGTGAAATCCCACAATATACTGTCTGCAAGCTGAGGAGCAAGGAAACCAGTCCAAGTCCCCAAACCTCAAAAGTAGGGGAGGTGACAATGTACCCTTCAGTCTGTGGCTGAAGGTCCCTAGTAAATCACTGGTGTAAGTCCAAGAGTCCAAAAGCTGAAGAACTTGGAGTCTGGTGTTTGAGGGCAGAAAGAAGCACAGGAGAAAGATGATGTCTGGAAGACTCAGCAAGTCTGTTTTATTCTAGCCACACTGGCAGTTGATTAGATGGTGCCAACTCACATTAAGAGTGGGTCTGCCTTTCCAAGTCCACTGATTCAAATGTTAATCTCCCTTAGCAATGCCCTCAGACACACCCAGGAACAATACTTTGCATCCTTCAATCCAATCAAGTTGACACTTGTTAACTATCACAACATTATTTCAACTTTCTTGAATGTGTTAGCACCTGTTTTGTAACCTAACATATGGTCTCTCCTTGAGAATAATCCATGTGCTGAGGAAAAGAATGTGTATTTTGTAGTCATTGCACAAAACGTTCTCTAAATGTTATCTATTAGAACATATGGTAGGTCCATTTGGTCTATAGTGCCAATCAAGTCCAGTGTTTCTTTTTCTGTCTGGAGGATCTGTCCAATGCTGAAAGTGGGGTGTTGAAGGTCTCCAGCTATTATTGTATTGGGGCCTATATCTCTTTAGCTCTAATATTTGCTCTACGTATCTGAGTCCTTCAGTGTTGGCTGCATATATATTTAAAATTGTTATAACCTCTTGCACAACTGACCTCATTATATAGCAACCTTTGCTTCTTACAGTTTTTGTCTTAATCTACTTTGTCTAACTATCCCCACTCTTTTTGGTGTCTATTGGCATGAAATATTTCTCTTCATCTCTGTATTTTCAGTCTGTCTTTATAAAGCATTTCTTCTAGGCAACAGATCAATCTTGTTTTTTTCATCCATTCGGACACTCTTTTGACTAGAGTTTAGTCCATTTATCTTTAATGCTATTGATAAGTAAGGACTTAACTCCTACCATCTTGCTGTTTTCTTGTTTTACAGTCTTCTCTTCCTCCTTTTTTTCCTGTCTCACTTTACTGAAGCTATTTTTTTTTTTTTTATGTGGAGTCTCACTCTGTCGCCCCAGGCTGGAGTGCAGTGGCATGATCTTGGCTCACTGCAAACTCTGTCTTCCAGGTTCAAGCAATTCTCCCACCTCAGCCTCCCAAGTATCTGGGATTACAGGTGCCCACCACCATGCCCGGCTACTTTTTGTATTTTTACTAGACATAGGGTTTCACCATGTAGGCCAGGCTGGTCTAGAACCCCTGACCTCGGGTGATCCACCCAACTTGGCCTCCCAAAGTGCTGGGATTACAGCCATGAGCTACCATGCCCAGCCAGTAATTTTTTCCTCTGGTAATATGATTTAGTTTAGTGCTTTTTGTGTTTCTATTGTAGGATTTTGGTTTGAAGGTACCATGAGGCTTGTAAATACTATCTTTACAACCCATTTTTTATGCCAATGATATCTTAATCCTGTTCACATAAATAAGAAAAACTAAAACTTTGTTCTTCTATTAGTCTGTTCTCACACTGCTAATAAAGACATACCTAAGACTGGGTAACTTATAGGGGAAGAAAAGGTTTAATGGACTTACAGTTTCACGTAGTTGTGGAAGTCTCACAATCATGATGGAAGGCAAAGAAGGAGCAAAGGCCCATCTTACATGGCAGCAGGCAAGAGAGCATGTGCAGGAGAACTGCCCTTTATAAAACCATCAAATCTCATGAGACATTCACTATCACAAGAACAGCATGGGAAAAACTCACCCACCCCCATGATTTAATTACCTCCCACAACATATGGGGATTATGGGAGCTACAATTGAAGATGAGATTTGGGTGGAGACACAGCCAGACCATGTCATCTGCTCAATTTTTATTTTTTTATTTCTATCTTATTGTACTATTTCTTAAAGATATGTTATTTTTGATCACATTTTAGTCCTTCTACTTAGGATAAGAGTAGTCTCCACATCAGTTAGTGTAATAATATTCTGTTTTTCTGTGTATTTACTATTACCAGTGAGTTTTGTACCTTCAGATAATTTCTTCTTGCTCATTAACATCTTTCCTTTCTGATTGAAGGATTCTTCTAGCATTCTTGTAAGACAAGTCTAGTGTTGATGAAATCCCTCAGCTTTTGTTTGGGAAAACCTTTCTCTTCTTGACATGTGAAGGATATTTTTGCTGAATATATTATTCTGGAATAAGTCTTTTCCCTTCAGCTCTTTAAACATGTTATGCCACTCTTTGTCTGTATGGTTTCCACTAAAAAGTCTGCTGCCAGATGCATGAAAGCTCCATTGTATACTTTCTCTTCTGCCTTTAGAATCCTTGTTTGATCCCTGATCTTTATCAAAGATAATAAATGCCTAATAATGGGATTTTGATCATTAAATGCCTTGAGGGTAGTCATGCTTGGGTTAAATGTGCTTGGTGTTCTTTAACCTTGTACTTGGATGTTGATAGCTTTCTCTAGGTTTGGGAAGTTCTGTTATTTCTTTGGACAAACTTTTTACCCCTATTTCTTTCTCTACCTCCTCTTTAAGGCCAATAGTTCTGTTTTCCATTTTGAGGCTATTTTTTAGATCCTATAGACCTGCTTTATTTTATTTTTTCTCCTTTGACTGTATTTTCAAATAGCCTTTCTTCAAGCTCACTAATTCTTCTGTTTGATCCATTCTGCTATTAAGACTGCATTCTTCAGTAGGCTAATCACATTTTTTCAGCTCCAGAATTTCTTCTTGATTCTTATTTCAATCTTTTTAATTTATCAAACTCTGAATTTTGTTGTCATTGGGAATTTGAGTTTCTTGAGCACAGCTATTATGAATTGTCTGAAAGGTCACATATGTTTCTCCAGGATTGGTCTCTGGTGCCTTATTTAGTTCATTTGGTGAGGTCATGTTTTCCTGAATGATATTGGTGCTAATATCTATTAGATATCTGGGCATTGAACAGTTAGGTATTTGTTGTCTTCACTGTCTGGGCTCGTTTGTGCCCATACTTCTTGGAAAGGCTTTCTAGATATTCAGAAGGATCTGGGTGTTGTGATCTAAGTGGTATCTGCTTTAGGGGTCATCCTAAGCCTAGTATGGCTGTGGTTCTTAAAGACCCATAGAGATATCACCTTGATGGGCTTGGAAAAGATCCAGGAGAATTCTCTTAATTACCAGGTAGACTGTCATCTCTTCTTTCTCCCAAATAGTCTGTTTTTTGGTTTTTGTTTCTTTTGTTTTTTTGACACTCCTGCTCTGTCACCCAGGCCGGAGTGCAGTGGTGTGATCTCAGCTCACTACAACCTCTGCCTTTTCTGAGCCAAGTAAAGCTTGGGGTTGAGTGACACAAGCATTCCTGTGTCTACCACAACTATGAGAACTGAAGCCAGTACAGCACTGGGTCTTGCCCAAGGCCTGCTATAACTACTCCTTGGCTACTACCTATGTTTGTTTAAGGTCCTGGGCCTCTACAGTTGGTTGGTAAAGCAGCAGACTTGTCTCCTTCCCTTCAGGGAAGCAAGATGCCCTGGGTGGGTCCAGAGGTACTGTCCAAAAGTCAGGGACTAGAGTCAAAAACCTTAGTCTACCCGGTATTCTAATTGTACTGCAACCTAGCTGGCACCAAAAACAGAAGATGCAGTCCTTCCCACCTTTCTCTCCCCTTTCCAAAGGCAGACGAGCCTCACTTCATGGCTACCACCACCTTAGGCCCGTGGAAAGTGCTGTCAGACCACTACCAAGGTCTGCTTTAGGACCCAGGGCTTTTAAGTCAGCTTGTGGTGAAAGCTGCCTGGCCTGGGACTCGCTCTTCAGGGCAGTGGGCTCCCCTCTGGCCCAGGACAGGTCCAGAAATGTCATCTCCATCAAGTCCTGAAATTGGGGACCCCAAGAGCCTACTTTGTACTCTACCCCCTCCCACCATGTCTGAGCTGGCACGCTTTACTTTACCTTCTGCTTTTCTCAAATGGGAGTTTTGCCCCATAGCTACCACAGCTGGTAATGGGCTGAGTCTTACCTGAAGGCAGCATGTCTGAGGTTCAAAGTCCCTTGACATAGTACCTGGGTATTGCTGCTGTTTATTCAGGGCCCAAGGGATCTTCAGTTAGCAGGTGATAAATGCTGCCAGGACTGGTTCCTTTAAGGTAGCATGTTCCCTTCTGGCCGAGGGTGTATCTAAAAATGTCATCCAGGAGCTAAGGCCTTATGACTCTGACCAGTACCCTATTCTACTGTGGCTGAGCTGGTATCCAAAATGCAAAACAGTCCTCCCCACCCTTTTTTCTTTCCTCTCCAAACAGAAAGAAGTGGTCTGTTGTCGCTGTGAGCTGTGCAGCCTGGGAGAGAGGAGTGATGCAAGCACTGTTAGCAACCCCGGCTTGTGTCTCAGTAGGTCATGTTCTCCCCACCGTCTACTCTCTCCAGGCCGGGTTCCACACTAGCGCTCATCTTACAGTTGCAGTTCCCATGGCCTAGACTGCCTTTCAAGTTTAGATTCCCAGAGCACTTTAGCCCTTAGTGGCGAGATTTGCATGAACTCATGTTCTAACTGTTGGGATTGGTGATTCTCCTCTGTCTAGGGATGGTTTAAGTGTTTCCTCTGTGGGTGGGCACCAACTGAGTCTGGGACGATTGTCCTGTCTGCTCTAACAGGATGGCACTTAGTTCATTGCCTCACAATTGAGTTCTCCCTCCCCCAGCACCTGGAGATGCTCACCACACTGCCACTGCCAGAGGAAGTTGGGGGTGGCTTCAGCACTTCAAGACTTTTTTTCTACCTCTTTAGTCCTTCTTTCAGTGCACAAAGTTAAAACCAGGTACTATGAGTGCTCACTTGACTTTTTTTTTTTTTTTTTTTTGTTATTATGAAGGTGCTTTTTGTGTGTATAGATAGTTGTTAAATTGGTGTCCTTGTGGTAGGGACTATTGGTGGTGCCTTCTCTATTCCATCTTGCTCTGCCTCCTGGAAAGAACTCTCCCAGCTTGCTTTTTATTATTAGCAAAAGGATAGAAAAGAGATACCATGTTTTAATCTGTGCCTTTACATTTAAAGCAGACTTCTTGTAGACAACATGGTTGGGTCTTGTTTTTTGTTCTTTAATCTGCTCTAAACTTATTTTTAAAAATAAAAAGTCAAAACTTCAAACAACATGGCTACAGATCACATACCCTTAAAGATAAAGACAGGACTGGTTAAACATTATTTTTTTAATCCTAACCAGACTGAGCTGACCTATTACTGTCCAGGTCCTGAGGCTGAAGAGGTATCCCGGAATGTCTAATTCTTCTGGATTCTGAACTTTCTTTCCTTGTTCATATTGATTTAGTCATCTTTGTACCCATCTTGCATTGGAAAATTGGAATATATTAGAATTCTGGGGATTACTCTGCAAACACAGGGAGAAGTGACAACAAGAAAGCACAGTTCACGAGTTTCTTGCCCCGGAATATCACACAGAAAAGCAACCTATGAGGTATCAGAAACCCTGTCCCCAAAGAACCTCGAAGTGGCCATTGTGACTAGAAACAAACATCTCTCAATACCCTTGCATCCCCTCAAATTCTAGATTGCAAGTATATCTTGGGGGTGCTCTTTCATCCTTGCTACACAACTCAACTTTTGGCTTCACCCCAAGACTCACATTGTAGCATGAACATAGTATATTGGGGAAAGAGAACAACTTTTCCACACACAGTATACCTAATGCCATTTGTTCTCTCATATTACAACTTGAGACAAACATATTAATTTCAGGGAAGATAAGATGATGCCAGCTATCTCAATTTAAGTCAAATCTTAACTTTGGAATTCTCAGTTGATGTGACTTCTCTAGGATATTTAACATAGAAGTACGAAAGCAATTAATGACAATAAATTATACTACTTTAAAAGTCTGACATATATAGCTATTTAAATCTCACAAAAATTAGTGAAATTGATTCCATCATTAATGTTAAATAACTGAAGTTCATCGTACTAGTCAGGGTTCTGCAGAGAAACAGAATCAACAGGATGAGTGTATATAAAAATATAAAAGAATTGGCTAACATAATTATGGAGGCTGACAAATCCTAACTTCCACAGGATGAGTTGTCAAACTCAAGACCTAGGACAGTCAATAATTTAGTTCTAGTCTGAAGACCAACAGGCTTGAGACCCAGGAATAGTCAGTGTTTCAGTTTGAGTTCCAAGGAAGGAAAAAAGCTGATGTTCCTGTTTGAAGGCTGTCAGGTAATAAGGGTTCTCTGATCAGGGAGGGTCAGCCTTTTTGTGTAGTTAGGCCTTCAGCTCATTGGATGAGGTCTACCCACATTAGAGAGCAATCTGCTTTACTCAGTCTGCCAATACAAATGTTAGTTTATTTTTAAAACATCCCACAGAAACACCAAGAATGATAGCCTGCATAAAGAAAATGTGGTACATGTACACCATGGAATACTATGCACCCATAAAAGGAATGAGATCATGTCCTTGCAGGGACATGGGATGAAGCTGGAAGCCATCATCCTCAGCAAACTAACACAGGAACAGAAAAGTACCTCATCTCACTCATAAGTAAGAGTCGAACAATGAGAACACATGGACACACTGGGAGGGGAAGAACACACACCAGGGCCAGTTGGAGGGTGTGGGGTGAGGAGAGGGAGACCACTAGGACAAACGACTAATGCATGCAGGGCTAAAAACCTAGGTGATGGGTGGATAGGGTGCAGCAAACCACCATGACACGTGTATACCTATGTAACCTATACATTTTGCACTTGTATCCTGGAACTTAAAGTAAAATTAAAAATAGGCAAAGACATGAATAGACAGTTCTAAAGTCAAACAATAGATGGCTGGCGAGGCTGTGGAGAAATAGGAATGCTTTTACACTGTTAGTGGGAATGTAAATTAGCTCAACCATTGTGGAAGACAGTGTGGCAATTCCTCAGGGATCTAGAACCAGAAATACCTTTTGACTCAGGAATCCCATTACTAGGTATATACCCAAAGGAATATAAATCTATTTGCAGCACTATTTAAAACAGCAAAGACATGAACCAACCCAAATGCCCATCAATGATAGACTGGGAGGTGTAGGTAAAATAACCACAGAAATGGACATAAACTATCTCAACTTGTGATTACACATATTTTTAAGCAAAAACAACTTGAAAAAAGTAGTAGAATGCAAATTTACAATGTGAACAACATTTGTATTTGAGTAATTTTCTTTGTATAGCCTAGATTTTTATATTAAGATTTTTTGATAATAGCAATGATTAACCAAAGAAAAGTGTTTATTGGTTAGGCCAATACCCAAGGGGTTTTTTTGCACCTTGTGTGTGTGTGTGTGTGAACTCAATATCCCTCTTGGCATCCTTGAGTACCTCTGGCCCCAAGGGAGGATTGTCAGAGACCTGGGGCCAGCCAAGAGCCCAGAAGCGGGGAGGTGGGAATAAGTCTGTGTTCCAGTCCTTGGAGGTAGAATGTGATGGGTGGAGTGGAGACTGTTTCCAAGAGGGTAACTAAATATCCAGATGGAAGTGTGCAGGCTTCTCTGTGCAACTCTTGGGAAGTAACTGGCTGTTTTCAGAACCTAAAAAAAAAAAAAGCACATAAGAAATTGAAGAGATCAGTGGCATGGCCTCCCCTTGACAGTCAAATTTGTTCCAGCATCCACACAAGAGATGAGCACTGTTAAGAAACAGAACCCAGGGCTCTACAGACAATACTCCAGTGGGTAAGCACATTCCAGAGAAGGGGCCAAAGTTATTGGAAGCAATATCAAAGTTTCAGAAACTATATTTGCTTTTGGGTCCATCTAGGTCCTTCCTCACAGATCTAGTCAAAAGTAGAGAAAATAAGTTGAGTATAAACTGCCTGAGATTGAATAAAAGGAGAAGAAGAGTCCCAGGGTGGAAGGCTTGCTTGCCTAGTACTTCTTCAGAACAGGAGAGAAAAGATTGGACTATTCCAGCCTGATCAGTCTTGTCTTCTGCTTGACAGTAAGGCAGCCTTCTCTCCTGACCTCATTCTCACACTATTGGCAAGTCTCTTCAATTGATTGTATCCACATTAAAGAGGCTAATCACACCATGGGAAAAAATAGTCAGTCATATGAAATAGCACTGTCTGTATCCTGTGGAAGGGATCAAAGACCAGAGAGGAAGAGCAGGTAAGAAGAACACAGCGCCCATTCAGAAGCCAGGCTTCGTAAACCTCGGCTTTCTCTGTATATACATACACACATTTACAAACAGCTCATTTAATACATGAAGCAACTCCAAGGTAGCTATTGCTCCCCTGCATTATACAGACCAGGAAACAAAATAAATACTTTATTGTTTCTGGCTCCGTGACATTAGGCAATGTAGAGTTAGTATTTGAACTTAATCTAATCCGTGCTTGTCACCATAACAATCTTTCAAAATCCTTGGACTCACCGTCAAAATGCCTCTCCCAGGGTTTGTGGGCATGTCACCAGTGTCCAGGTAAGGATGCCTTCAAGTGGGCTGACACAGAAAATAGTTCAGACCACCATTTAAGATGCCAATAAGCTACACACACACACACACACACACACACACACACACACACACACACACAAAATAACAGTATGTTCAACTTTCTCTTGTCCCAGCTTTCTCTGGACACTTTTTGTGATGAGTAGCCACTATGTCGACTTGCCCTCACAATTGAGTGGGTTCCTTTCTGCTTTAGGATGATGGTCCACCGTAATTTTAGAGAAGATGTTAGGTATTCTCACTTTATATGTAAAATTGTACATTGACTAATGTTCATCTTGGATCCCTGTTCCATCCATACAATTCCTACACTTTTGCAACATCTTCTAATCTAAGATGTCCTATGTAACAAACACAAGGAAATCACTCCAATATATAAAACGTAAATTTTAGTCTATTCCCATATTAGAATTCAGGGAAGGGCAGCAGCTGTCATGTGCCAAGAGCTTCACACTCATCTCGTTTGTTCTATATACTTATCCTTTGCAATATTCTCCCTACTTCACATATAAATTAAAGGGAGGCTTCAATAGGTTAAGCAATTTGCCCAGGGTAAGATGAAGTTCTGGAAGGGAAATCTGGCTTGTTAGTGGCAAGTCCGGTGCCCTGAGCCAGCTGTGTGGGGCTGCCTTCCAGGACCTCCTTTTCTTTCCCGTCTTATCCAATGAATCCAGAGCAACCTTACTTTTGAACTCAGAGGAAATGACTTTACATACATTATAACTTATTTACATATCGAAGAATTAGTCACTAAAGGATCAGTTAACATGGAAACACTCATGAACCATTAAGTTCAGAAAATTTTCATATTTCTATTTAGGACTGTCAATGCCTGACCAAATGTTAACTCATAAAAGGATAAACTGAATGTTGGAGCCTGAATTAAGGAGCCATGAGTCTGCACAGGAATGTTTCTTATGCTTATTTGCTACAGAAGTGTAATTGCTGCTTACATTTTAGATAAACAAGCCCATGCACATTTCAATTTGATACAATTTGGGGGAATGTAGCGACTATGGTGTCTCTCCCCACTTACCCACCCACTCTGGTATAGACTGGAGATACCAAAGAAGGGTGATCTGGGATAAGGGCCTCAAAGGATATAAAATTTCCCTAGGTAAAAACCAAACAGGTGGTGAAACTTAGCAAAAATGTGTGGTGTCATGAGACTTGCTGACTGACGGTAAGAATGGTCAGGAGGGCAGGCCTGAGACAGAGGACATGTCAGGCCCTCTGATTCTGAACCCTGAGGATGTGAACAATAGGATTCCTTGCTAGACTTTTAGAAGCACCTAAAGGACAGAGGACAAAAAAATAGACAAGGATTTTTATAAAGTGATCTTCCTGTCTCCTCACAAGGAGGCCAAGAAGGATGTGGTAGGGCAGAAGTGTCTTGCTGACTTATATCAGTCCATTCTTTTTAAATCCCTATTAGATGGACAATATCTAGTAAAAGTTGCCCAAAGATGTATTTCTTCTATTATCTCAAATTATAGGTGATATCAAAATTCTTGCCAGGAAAACTTAATAGATCCTGTCCTTAGAGTAAACGTTTCTTAAAAACTCATTTATTTTCATTTTGTTTAACCATTAAGTCTGGGCAACTTTAAATGTGAGTGGATCATGAGGTCAAGAGATCAAGACCATCTGGCCAACATGGTAAAACCCCGTCTCTACTGAAAATATAAAAGTTAGCTGGGTGTGGTGGCATGTGCCTGTAGTCCCAGCTACTTGGGAGGCTGAGGCAGGAGAATCACTTTAACCCGGGAGGCGGAGGTTGCAGCGAGCCAAGATCGCGCTACTGCACTCTGGCTTGGTGACAGAGCAAGACTGTCCCCAAAAAAAAAAAAAGTAGGTCCTGTACTAAATATCTTTGATCAACTAGATTTGACAATCTGAAAAAACCAATATTAAACCCATTCAGAGAAAAAGTAATGTGCTTCCTTAGTACATTTACCATAGCAAATTTTCTCTTTATATTTTTAGCAGGTTTTGATATTTTATAACCTTATTTTTAAAGCTCTTGATCATTTTTAAAGGCATAATATAAAAAAGCACAAATCTCATCCACCCAAAATCAACAGACAAAAGCTGGGTCCAAATCTTCCGTTTTCTATTTAAAGGTGTGTGTTTCTCTCTCACATGCATACTTTAATACAATTAAACCATAGTTTAATCTGCCTCCTGCTATTCCCTGACTTATTATACTATGATGTGAACATTATACCAGGAAGTGCTTATCTTTAAAAATATCAACATAATCTAATTCACTGAATGGAGGTACTAGAATTTAAACAATGCTTTATTTGTGAGCACATTATTGCAAATTTTCATTAGTAAAAATTAGTTGGAAACATCTAATCGGTATGTTATTAGTGTTGCTATTGATCAGTGATGAGAAGCATATGCAGGCACTGGCTAAACATGTTACATGGATTTACATTTAACTATTACATGTAGAACTCTTTTGTACTTTGTTTCCTTCAGAAAAATTTCCTTAGAGTAAAATTATGAGTTAAAGGGGGATGCATAGTGTTGGGGATTTTTACAGTGTGGTAGGGCGATTTAGTAAAAATCATGAGCATAATTACGGATCATTAACAGTAGGTATCATTATGGATAATTTATTTTATAAAACACGAACTGATTTTTTATTCAAGTTGGCATTCAGAATTTTTTATTATAGGCACCACCAGTCACCCTGGTTGGAAATGAAAATCTAGTCTACAGTTCCCGAAGCAGTATCACTCACAAGAGTAAAAATCTAAAACTAAGAGCTCCTGTCTCCTGGATACCCCAGATCCCTGAATATGTTAACCCCTAATAATGCCTGCTCCGTGCCTACCTCTTTCCGGCTCACTGGCATCCCTGGCCTGGAATCCCTGCACATCTGGCTCTCCATCCCCTTTGGCTCCATGTACCTGGTAGCTGTGCTGGGGAACATAACCATCCTGGCAGTGGTAAGGATGGAGTACAGCCTGCATCAGCCCATGTACTTCTTCCTGTGCATGTTGGCTGTCATTGACTTGGTCCTGTCAACCTCTACCATGCCCAAACTACTGGCCATCTTCTGGTTTGGTGCCCACAACATTGGTGTTAATGCCTGTTTGGCCCAGATGTTCTTCATTCATTGCTTTGCCACTGTTGAGTCAGGCATCTTCCTTGCCATGGCTTTTGATCACTATGTGGCCATCTGTGACCCACTGCATCATACCTTGTTGCTCACCCATGCTGTGGTGGGTCGTTTGGGGCTGGCTGCCCTCCTCCGGGGGGTAATCTACATTGGACCTCTGCCCCTAGTGATTTGTCTGAGGTTGCCCCTTTACCACACCCAAATCATTGCCCATTCGTACTGTGAGCACATGGCTGTGGTCACCTTGGCATGTGGTGTGACACAAGGGTCAACAACTTATATGGAATGGGGATTGGCTTTCTGGTATTAATCCTGGATTCATTGGCCATCACTGCCTCCTATGTGATGATTTTCAGGGCTGTAATGGGCTTGGCCACCTCTGAAGCCAGGCTTAAAACCTTAGGGACATGTGGCTCTCACATCTGTGCCATCCTCGTCTTCTACATCCCCATTGCTGTTTCCTCTCTCACACACCGCTTTGGCCATCGTGTGCCTCCCCATATCCATATCCATATCCATATCCATATCCATATCCATATCCTTTTGGCCAACATTTACCTCCTCATCCCACCTATCCTCAACCCAATAGTCTATGCTGTCCGCACAAAGCAGATCCGAGAGGCTCTTCTCCATATTAAGGCAAGGACTCAAACCAGGTGACTGTTCTATATCTTTTTATTTTAGATTCAGGGGTACATGTAAAGGTTTGTTACATAGATAAACTCATGTCACAGGGATATGTTGTACAGATTATTTCATCACCCAGGTATTAAGCTCAGTACTCAATAGTTATGTTTTCTTACAGGGCATATAAATACTTAGTCATGACAGGACAAAGCTCTGACTGGGGAAGCCCATGAAATGTCTGGGTCCTACCTGAACTTTGAGGATAAGAGTCTAAGAGCAATCTTAAAGTCTATTCTGTTTGATCATGGATTTTCTATACAGTATAGACCTAATATCTGAAAGTGAAGAAAATCAGGGCATGAGTTTTTGTACTACAATTCTCTGTTTAACTATAAAATTAAGCAACATAAGCATACAGGCCACAGAAAGCAAGGTAATTTTTATCCTTTACTTTTTTGGTATAAAACATCATTCCTCTTTGTAGAATGTTATAAAGCAGAATTTCTAGAAGTCAGAATTATGTTCTAACATCTTGGGCAGTTTACAAATTCTGTTATTAAAGGTCTGGAAAATCTCAACTGTGTTGACAAGCTTTGCCAACCTTTTGGCTTGCCCCAGAAAATGCCTTCAGTTGAACATAAAAATATAAGTATGAGAAATCTTAATAGGACTTGGAGTGAGATCTTACCACGCACAGGAATTAAAATCTTCAAACCAAGTCCTATCCCATTTAAACAGCCAGATGAGTTTGCAGTATTCTGTATCTCCTAATGATAGGGCTAGCTGAGAGCAGGGAAGAGTAGACAGAGAAGGGCATTAGAAGATTCCATTTCAGAGGCCCTGAGATTGGCATATCTGGTAGACAGGAGCCACACCAAAATAACGGAACGGCGTAGAGGGAAGAGGGTAATGGGATTTGAAGGGGGTTGGGGTAACTGATAAGCCAAAGATGATGAGAATAGATGGAGGCCCTGTGGTGCATGTAAACTTTGAAATGCTTCCAGATCTCACTGGGTAATTCTTGTTGATACTTCTGAATTATGATTTGACCACTTTCATTATTCACTGATCACAAAGGTTCTGTAATGAGGACTACTTCAGGCCAGAAACCTGCAGGAATTTTGTGGCAATGCATGACAAGTAGACAAGTAGAATGAAGCAGTCACTCCCAATCCTAGTGACCCAGAATTATGATTATGTACATCTTAGTTCTCAGATGTTTCCAATATTAAATCATTTAACTACATTTACAAACAATAACATCTAAGAAGGCTAAAGTGACCAATCTTAGGTTAAAAATAAGTTGCTTTAGTATTTTTAAAGACAAAATTCTAAAGAAGCCAGTAATCAAACCAGAGCTAGCATATAAACTTCATATCACTCCCACGACCCCCACCCCTGCCCCCGCCAAAAATGTAGGAAACTGTAATTGCATGAGCTCTTTTCTAAAGTTTAGCCTAAACCCCTGAGCCCCTGACTATTAATAAATTTCTATGTCCTCAATCTATGCCTAACTCCAGGATCAAGTTGAGTCACATTTTATTTAATTTTCTCTATCGTCTTGACAATAAGAGGTGGTCATTCCTCCATCTTTATCAGGGTCTCTGCAGTCCAATGTCTGAATCTAACTATTGAGAGAAGATAGGCTTCTGTGAACATAATTTTAGTGCCAAATGTAATCTACTGATTAGTATCTTTTCCTCAACTCCAAATAGAAGTCTGGGCCGAAACTTATTTTACAGATGATCTCCTAATCGTAAGTCCAGGCATTGGAGAAGATGATACTCAAGTCCAACAGTAGCACCAGTGCTGAGGAAAGTGACCAGGACCTTTTCTCACAGGAGATCTCTTTGGCATAATGCCTAAAATCTTTTTATACCATGTAAAGCAGAGTGTGCATATAGTGCGGGGCTCTTAAAACCTGCCCTTAATTAAAACTAGTAGGATTAGTATTATACTAAAAACTTCCTGAAAGAATAACCTTAGAAAACCCATATCAAAGTATTTTTCCCTGGATCATCTGCTGGGTCTATCACAGACCAGGACCAAATACCAATCATTTCCAGTGTCTTCACATGGTGTTGAATGATAGCAGATAAAGAAAATATCACTTGTATGTATGCTACTAGTCTATCCAGGGACAAACACTCATGACAAGTTCTATCATACTTGGGGTATGACCTGAAGTACATTACAGCATTTAGTCCCACTGTCAGCAGTAGTCATGGGTAGGCCACTTCCTGGTGAAGGGGTTATCTCCAAACAGGATGGAAGGGAACATACACTGGAGAATGCATATTATAAAAATGAGACAAGCCCAACAATTGAATCTCTTATTCAAAGCCAATGTCACATTTCCCTGTCACACAAATGTTTCTTTCCCATCACTAAGACTTAAAGTGGAAATAAAATACACTACCGTCAACCCCTTTTGAGTCTGCAGGTTTTCACGGAAAAAAGCAAAGATTGGGAGACACTTGAGAGAGGAGGCATTATTGTGATTTTATGTTCTTAACAGGTGGCTAAGAACCTCTGCTCTGAAATCAAAGACAGAGATGGATCTGAAACAGTATCTGTCAGACCAGACATGTTGTATAATGTAAACCTCAGTTTCCTCTTGAAATGAAACTAATGGCAGCCCCTTACAGATATTTTATAAGGATGTGATAACGTAAAATGCTTCTCTAGTGCCTGGCACACAAAGAATAAAAACATGCCTCTTAATACTTACCATACACTAAAAGGCTCTGGGGGGTTGGAGGTGGTGATAATGTGAGAAGAGTAACTAGAACAAATTCCAGGAAAGGCCAGAGAATGTTCTCATAATGACTTATGAATGTACTGGTTTTGGCTTTAGAAAGCTCCCTCCATTTGCTTCTCTGCAGAAAGTTGTATAAACAGAGCCAGCTTTTCTCTGCTCCCCTTGACTGCCCGGCACCCACTCATGTACCTCTGAGGCTTTTCAACTAGAGTTACACCCACCTAATCAGCTCTGTGTTGGTAAAAAACAAAATACCTCTAGATAATTCCTTGTATAACAAGCATAAAACTTAGTCACAGATCCAGTTATGTAAAACTATAATTGCCTTCAGCTTTTTCTACATCAGCCAGAATGGGTCTTTGAATAAACATAAAATGAGTCATAGACAACAGCCACATTCTACCAAATCCAATTAACATTGATCTTAGTTGATTCTAGTTCATAATTCATTCTGATACAATTTTCAAAACACCCCCAGGAGTTTTTCTATCACCTTCATGTGTTAGATTTAAAACTGCAGTAGAGGATGAAATGGCCTTTTACAGAATTGTCACAATGGAAGTCACATGAAAGAGGAATGCCTTCTGCTTGCTGTTCCCTGTCTGGCCTTCAAGCCAGATGTGTCTTGTTCTGTAACATATGGTGCTGCCTCACATCATGACCTGTGGGCACTGACCCTCCTGGATTTTCTGGTATTGTTGATCCACTGAAATCAGTCGTAGGATCCTGGAAGAGACCAGCTGGTCCACATCTGTCTGGAACCCATCCTTCATCGTGACTGCAGGACTCTGTGCAAACTAGCCAGTATGATCATTGTTGCTCTTAGCCAAGTTCCTCATCTCGCTGTGCCCCAGGAGCGCTCAGAATTCACCCCACAGCACTGGGAGTCTTGGGAGCCTCAGCTTGAGGGTGTTGGGGGTGTGCTGATCCCAACGAATGTCTCCTCTACTGCCAGGCACCAGAGGATCTTTTGTGCTTAACCTAATCTGAAGCCAGGAAGAAAAACCTATTCTACCACTTTAGATCCTTATAGAACTCTTTTCTATATTTTGTGATCAAGACTTTTGAACTGAAAAGATAAGAATTGGATGTATTTGTTCTCTGACCTGATTTGACATCTCCCTGAGGTAAATGGTGAGTCCAGAATTTGCAGACAGAGTAGAAGTGGTCACAGAAGAAATGAAAATAATTCCCTAGGGAATTATTTGGGATATTCGTCTTTGTCTCCATAGTTTAATGTGACCATTCTTCATAAATTATGCACTGTCCTGCCATTCCTGAATACTTGGTCAGTCAGAATGGAGGCTTTTAGAGAAACATTTTTTCCTCCCTATCATTTGCAAACCTCAAAGTTATATTCATGGCAGAGTAGCCTCTGTCCTGCTAGAGAGGCTTAGTAAGAGGCCCTGGCTGTCAGGGCCTTCTCTGGCTGTACTCTAGAAGTTCAGGTATTGGCCCTGAGAAATGCCTCTGCAGAAAATCTGAGAATAAAAGCCTAAATCTGAGGGATATGACCTTCTGGAAATACTGCCTGACCAACACAAACCAGTATTATGTCTTCAGTGTTTTAAAATAGACTAATCTCTTTTTCAGGAAATATGGTTGACTACTTTTGTCTTCAGCAACTAGAGAAAGTAAGTTCACATGGAACAAATCGACATTAGCCCAAGTGTCCAATTATATTACTAGCAATGATGAGTTGGAACGAGCATCTTCCTGTAAGAATATTACTTCCTGTCTCAGTCCTCATTGGTGAAACAAGTTGGATAAAGATGAATGTGTTTAATAGATACATAACCTTTCAAGGGATACAAGTATGAGGGAAAGGGAATAAATTTCACCCTTTGGAATAGCTAAATTAGAAAGATAATTAGATATATGATAGAGAAAATAGGTGGGCTGATGGACCTTTACTTAAAGGAGACACTGTTATTCTCCATTTAGCTGAGATTTCTCAGATGTGTTTAATGCCATAGGGACTTTGTACTATGTCATCTTGACCAAGCGGGAACGACGCTACCCAGACTTCCCTTCCCTCTGTGGTTCCTGGCTAGGCTGGCCACAAAATATAGTTTTGTGATGCCAGAAGGCAGAAATAAAGCAGCAACCATTCTCTGAAGGGCAGCATAGAGCATCTGGTACTGCTGCAGCTCATGCTGCTTGTCACTGATTACAGGTTCACCTCATTGGTTTGGGGCATCATCTCCTATTTAAATCCCTTTCTTCTGTTTCTCCAAGTGCTAGACTAGGTACGTTGTGCAGCTCTATGGTAAATGGTACCAGCTCCTTTTGAAAATCACCTGCATTGTCAAGGTTTGAAATAATGAAGGACAGAAACAGACTCTAGGCTGTCCTTGTATATTCCAGTCCATCCTGGCTGCTGTTTAATTCTTACTTTCTGTCAATTCACATCCAGGTTTTCTTCCTGACTGTTAGCCCTGTTGACCTAAGGTCTCATACGTATAATAAACCTTATATTTCATATCATTCATAGTATTTCTGCCTCTTTAATCAATCCTAAGAAGCTTGATACATCAGACTTCTCTACATACCTACTCCTACCAATCAAAGGCAGGAAGGAAAATCTATAGTCAGCATTACTCTATAAAACTTTTTAGTGGAGGCATAAATTCACTTTCTCACTTTAATGATTTCTTATGTTATCTTGCCCGATCATTTTGACAGTAAGAATGACATCCACCCACAGTGCTAAGATAGCTTGCTTCTAAAGGCTGCTTTCTCCTCTCGGATTCAGTGTTCCATAGAAATGGGATTGTTTATAAATCTTTTATGATTATTCTCTTGAAGAGCTGAAGAACCAGAGAAATTGCCTCATTGTTGAGCTTACCACTTGAGAATAAACCATTTTTAGATAGCCTCATTATAGACTATGCATTCCCCTCATCTTTCTACACTGGAGCCTCTGCTGCACTTAAGTCTCCTCACTCCTAATTTTACCTATCTCCTGCTGCTCAGATGTGTTCAGGCATGGCAACCTCCACAGTCTCTAAAGCATAATTGCATGGGCAGATGTTGCGGACTGAGACTGCTGCTTCCCTTTTCCACTCTTACGAACCTAAATACTTTGGTAATCAGCCAAATTAGTCAATCATGCTCTTTATTTAGGTGCCCTTAGCTTTGAACAATGGTGAGGAGTGAGAATCAGAAACAAGTTTATGTCAAGTTGCCAACTTCCCATGACAAAGCAAAGAATCAAGGAGAATATTTTCAGGAACAAGAGCTAAATGCTCTCATGCATGGCATTCTTTCATGACTAGAGGAGTTGGAGAGAGGGGTAAGATACCATAAACCCTAAAACAAAGGTGATCTTCTCATGTTTTCTTTTAAGTTGATATTTCTGCAGGAAAAACTGGACCAAGAATTCTATCCTGTTTAAAAGGAAGTAAGAGGCTATTTAACTTTTAAGTTCATGGGTACATGTGGAAGATGTGCAGGTTTGTTACATAAGTAAACGTGTGTCATGGTGCTTTGTTGTACAGACTATTTCATTAAGCCTGGTATCATTTTTCCTGATCTCTCCTTCCTCCTACCCTCTGGTAGGCCCCAGTATGTGGTATTCTCTATGTGTCCATGTGTTCTCATCATTTAGCTCCCACTTATAAGTGGGAACATACAGTATTTGGCTTTTTGTTCCTGCATTAATTTGCTAAGGATAATAGCCTCCAGCTCTATCCATGTCCTTGCAAAGCACATGACTTTTTTTCTTTTTTATGGCTGCAGAGTATTCCATGGTATATATGTACCACATTTTCTTTATCCAGTCTATCATTGATGGGCATTTAGGTTGATTCCATGTCTTTGCTATTGTGAATAGTGATGCAGTAAACATATGCATACGTGTGTCTTTGTAACAGAATGATTTATAATCCTTTGGGTATACACTTAGTAATGAGGTTGCTGGGTTGAATGATATTTCTGTCTCTAGGTCTTTGAGGAATTGCCACTCTGTCTTCCACAATGGTTGAACCAATTGATACTCCCATCAACAGTGTATAAGTGTTCCCTTTTTCTCCGCAAACTTGCCAGCATCTGTTATTTCTTGACTTTTTAATAATAGCTATCTGACTGCCATGGTATCTCATTGTGGTTTTAATTTGCATTTCTCTAGTGATCAGTGACGTTGAGCTTGTTTTCATGTTTATTGGCCACATATACCTTCTTTTGAGAAGTGTCTGTTCATGTCTTTTGCCCACTTCTTGATTTTTTTTTTCTTGTAAACTTAAGTTCCTTATAGATGCTGGCTATTAGACCTTTGTCAGATGCATAGTTTGCAAAAACTTTCTCCCACTCTGTAGGTTGTCTGTTTACTCTGATAGTTTCTTTTGCTGTGCAGAAGATCTTTAGTTTAATTAGGTCCCATTTATCAACTTTTGCTTTGCTGGAATTGCTTTTGGCATCTTTATCATGAAATCTTTGCCCATGCCTATGTCCTGAATGGTATTGCATTGGTTATATTCCAGGGTTTTTATAGTTTTGGGGGTTTTTTTTGTTTTTTTAAATATTTTTTTTATTGTACTTTAAGTTCTAGGGTACATGTGCACAACGTGCAGGTTTGTTACATATGTATACATGTGCCATATTGGTGTGCTGCACCCATTAACTCGTCATTTACATTAGGTATATCTCCTAATGCTATCCCTCCCCTCTTCCCCCACCCCACAACAGACCCTGGTGTGTGATGTTCCCCTTCCTGTGTCCAAGTGTTCTTATTGTTCAATTCCCATCTTGAGTTAATTTTTGTATAAGGCATAAAGAAGGAATCCAGTTTCAACTTGTTCTCCCAGCACCACTTATTAAATCCTTTCTTCATTGCTTGTTTTTGTCAGGTTTGTTGGAGATCAGATCATTGTAGGTGTGCAGTCTTATTTCTGAGTTCTCTATCCTGTTTCATTGCTCTATGTGTCTGTTTTTGTACCAGTAACATGCTGTTTTGATTACTGTAGCCCTGTAGTATAGTTTGAAGTTGGGTAGCATAATGCCTGCAGCTTTGTTTTTGCTGAGTATTGCCTTGGCTATTTGGGCTCTTATTTGGTTCCACATAAATTTTAAAATATTAGGTTGGTGCGAAAGTAGTTATGGTTTTTGCTATTGAAAATATTTGCAAAAACCACAGTTACTTTTTCACCAGTCTAATAGTTTTTTCTACTTCTGTGAAGAATGCCAATGGTAGTTTAATGGGAATAGCATTGAATATATAAATTGCTTTGGGTAGTATGGCCATTTTCACAGTATTGATTCTTCCTATCCATAAGCATGGAATTGTTTTTCCATTTGTGTCATCTCTGATTACTTTAAGCAGTGGTTTGGAGTCTTCCTTGTAGAGATCTTTCACTTCCCTTCTTAGCTGTATTCCTAGGCATTTTATCCTTGTTTGTGGCAATTGTGAATGGGAGTGAGTTCATGATTTGGCCCCTGGCTTGACTGGTATATAGGAATGCTAGCATTTTTGCACACTTCTTTTGTATCCTGAGACTTTGATTGAAGTTGCTTATCAGCTTAATAAGCTTTGGGTTTCAGACAATGGGGTTCTCTAGATATAGAATCATGTCATCTGCAAACAGGGATAGTTTGGCTTTCTCTATTCCTATTTGTATGCCCTTTTTTTCTTTCTCTTGCCTGATTGCTCTGGCCAGAACTTCTATGTTGAATAGGCATGGTGAAAGAAGGCATCCTTGTCTTGTGCCAGTTTAAGGGTAATGCTTCCAGCTTTTGCCCATTCAGTATGTGATTCATCACATAAAACTAAAGACAAAAACCACATGATTATCCCAATAGATGCAGAAAAGGCTTTTGATAAAATTCAACATCCCTTCATGTTAAAAACTCTAAGTACTGAAGGTGCACACCTCAAAATAGAGCCATATATGACAAACCAACAGTCAACATCATACTGAATGGGCAAAAGCTGCCAGGCCATTTCTAAAGAGAATGTTTGTTCAAGTAAAGCCCACCCTTACCTACAATCCTATACTCCTGCATTCTTAGACTTTGTTCCAGTTTGACCCCACACCTTGTGTTGCTTCTTATTTGGGAAGCCTTATTTCTACTTGAAACGCTTCAGCTCAATTACCATTACATCTGATGTCTGGCATATCAAGGAAAGTATAGGAAAGAACAAGGCATATAGAAATGTTTTACTCTGGGACCAGAACAAAAGTTATGACCTAAAATAGAGGTTAAAAGTTAATATGTAGAACCTTAGGGGTATTACAGCACAAGGCTCTGGGTGTGAAGTTGTTTCACCATGCAATGGTTACCAACTTGTCAGAGGCTTATGAGACAGAACACTCACACAACAGGTAGGCAGCAAAGGGCAATAGAGGCCTAGAATTCATGTCAAGCTGGTCCCCCAAGGCTCAGGAAAGCTGACCAGGATAGGTTGAGTTTCATCAGGGTGTGTGTCACATTTGAACCACACCTGAGGGACCCTAGAAAGCAGCACCTTCTGGGTTTTCTTCCTGAGGCAACATGACACCCTGGGCTAAAACATTGAAAGACATCCTGTTTCTAGGGAGAACTAAAGCCAGAGCCAGTCTGTTCCATCCAGTTCTTTCGTATCTCAGGATGTTGTATTCCCTGCACATTCTATAATTCCGTAGAACTAAAAACAAGGGGAGAACCAGGTCAGTCCAAGGCCACCCAGAAAACTGTTGTACACTGGGGAGAGGATCTATGGCATTGGAGCACTGTCTATACCTGAGGTTACAAGCTAGAACTAGAGGGAAACAGTAACATGCCATTCAGAAAATTTAGGGATTTAGTGTCAATGACAGCAGTTACTGAACTTTTTTCCTTTGGTCAGATACTAACCTGGGTGCTTTCTGATCATGATGGATACAGATGTCATCTTCAGATTCTTGTATCTACACACTCCCTTTTCTGTGGGTGATACTGCTGGGAATAGCAAAAGCTTAGAAACATAGGTCGGCTAGAGTCAGGAGACTAGAAGCAGCAAGACATCAGTCACCAAATAGACTGCAGTTAGACTTCCGACTAAGTCCTCAGAAAACTCTGAATTAGTCATCATAAAATCAGGCCATAACTAAGCGTATGAGATGGGAATTCTGGCAGCACTGGGCTGTTAAGAATTGGGTTTGGAGAGAGGAGACAATGAAGATACTTGGTGCTGGTCCTTCACACTTGGTCTCCTGTCCTGTTGCTCTCATCCTGTAATCCTTGAGCACAAGAATTCCATCTTTGATATATTTAAGCCTCATAAATTTAAGGCCTAATAAATATTTGAATGACTGAAGTTTGAATGGATAAGACAGTTAAATTGTATATCATCCATGGAGTTTATATCTTGATACAATTAGGATGTTTCTGTCTTGAGGCTTCAGGAAAAAAAAATCTTAGAGCCATAGATAGCTATCGTTCTACCAACAGCCCAAGCCAAATGCTTGGCAACGGACTTGGCAATTATTAACAATCAAATATTTTCACTGTTTTGCATACAATATTAGATCCTCAGTTACTGCTTAACTTCAAGAAGGACTGAAACTGAAAACACTAAAGTCCTAAAGTGGGGGTGAAGAGTTTTTAAAAATATTTGTAGACTGATAATGGGATCATCTAAATCTTTCCCATTCTGGAAGTTTCAGATCAAACACCAGGGCTGAACATGTTCTTTAGAGAGATCCTCCAACATTTGCCATGAACTCCTTAAGTGCATGAAGAGATGTATAGTTTTTAAAATCATTTTGAGTTTATAACTACAATTTTTATCAGATTAAATAATTTTAATAGAATTCCTGGATTATAGTAAATATTGACATCTTAAAATAATACTGGATGTCATCACAATGGCAGACTAGAAGATAACAGGCAGAGTAGAAGATGCCAGCCTTCATTTCCCCACATATACCTACCCACACAACAAATAGAGAGCTATCCACAAATCAAAATAGCCCTGGGGGGCCTCAAGAGCCAATTTAAGAATCTGCAGCAACACAGTGGAGCAAAAGTAGAGAATATCCACACAAAGGTTCACTGATGAGAAGGGCATACCTGAGGTGGCTACAAAGAAGACAGGGGTGATTGTATCAGCCATGGGGCAGGAACCACTGGTTTCCAGTGTGGTCTGCTCTGAAAAAGAAACCAGCATCTTCTTCAACTTAGGCAATCAATGACCATTCATACTGGAGAGCCCCAGAGAGGGAGACACAGCTGTACACACACCAAAAAAACAGCTGCCATTGTGCCACTCCAGGACTAGAGCTACCACTTCTCCCAATACTGCATGTGCCCCAGGGTCCCAAGCCATGGCCACTCTGCAAGTGCCCACATTCCAGATCCTGGCTCTGTGGCTGCATTGTGCCTACCCATGCCTCTGACACCAGATCCATCACCACAGCAAGCTAATTGACACCCATACCCTGAAGCCAAAGTCTCTCTGCATGCCAACACTTGAGACACCAGCTCAGCTACCACTAAGAAGTAGCTAGCCTGTGTTCCAGTCCTAGATCTAAGGCTGCACAATGTAGGCCCATGCCTCAGACACCAGAGCAATTTGCACCCAGAGCTAAGGTCTCGGCATGTACCCATAGAGAGCTAGACCCCAGATCCATTGTAGCTTTACGTACAACTGTGCTGCCATCCATGGCTGCTTCACAAGCACCCACACTTCACATATCATTACCAATTTAACCATATAAGTGCCTGAACCCCAGGTCCTGGTGCCATTACCACCCCAGGCCCAAAGCTATAGTCCTTCTATGCATGCCACACTTCAGGCCTCCATGAGCACTACTCACCAGACATGGGTGCCATTGCCAACTCAAGCAGGCCTGCAAGTTGTACCCCACGCTAAGAGGGATCCCCTCAGCAATAACTTCCCTGAGGGGAGAAAAGGATTTGAAGGACTCCAGCAGTCACTGCCACAAAAGACACGCCAACAGCCCTCACTGCTTCTGCAGACATCCACAGGGTTGGCCACTGAGGATCCCTGAAATTTTAGTTAACATGATCTCAGCAGACAGAGCTGCATGGAGACTATACCGACATGCCATCTTCAGTGCCAAAACCACTGACCCACACCCAGCCAGTGCCTTCACCCCTCCTTTTAGGGGAAAGTCTTTCCCCACCAAAACCAGTCTATAAAGTCTGGAAGAGATGACTACTCCACCAAATGAAAAGACAATGTAAGACAGAAACTTGAAAAGCAAAGCCATCACCATAAAAAGAACATGATTTCCTAGCAGCTGACCCCCAAAAATGGATATCTATGAACTACTTGATAAAGAATTCAAAATAATTGTTTTAAAATATCTTAGACTCAAGAAAATAGAGTAATAATTCAAAAAAAACTAGGAAGACAAATGTAACAGATGAAATTTTTAAAATTCCGGAGCTAAGCAATACAATAAAAATGAAAAAACATCAAATAGAATCAACAGCAGAAGTGATCAAGCAGACGAAAATTTGAGAACAAAGGAGAAAAAGGTAAAAAGCCTATGGAATTTATGAGACAATATCAAGAGAGCTAATTCTTGAATTATAGGAGTTTAGGCAGAACAAGAGGAGAAAAGGACAAAGCTTAATTTAAAAAATAGGTAAAAACTTTCCAATCTGGGAAAATATATAAATATCCAGGTACAAGAAGGTAAAAGGTTTTAAATAAGATTCAATCTAAACAAGACATCAAGGCATACCATAATCAAAGACAAGGAGAATATCCTGAAAACAGCAAGAGAAAAGTCACCTATCGGGGAGTTCTATAAGTCTGATAGTGGATTTCTCAACAGAAACATTATAGGCCAGACAACATACTCAAAGGGCTGAAGGGAAAAAAGGCTAATGAAGTAGCATTTACCCAGCAAGGTGTCCTTTGGAAATGAAGAGAGACAGACTTTCTCAGACAGCCAGGAGATGAGGGAATGCATCAACACCTGACCTGTTTTACAAGAAATGCTAAAGGAAAAATTCAAGCTGAAAGAAAAGGGAGCTAAATTGTAACATGAAAATAGCGGACAGTATAAAACTCACTGGTGTGTTTTTTTTTTTTTTTTAAAGTACATGCTCAGATTCAGAATACTCTGATACTTTAATGGTGATAATATAGTAATATGTAAGTTACTTCCATCTTTAATATGAAGGTTAAAAGACAAAACTGAAAATAGCTACACTAATCGTTAAGGGACAGACAATATAAAAGATGTAAATTGTGACATCAGAAACATAAAATGTGGGTGAGGTTGAGTAAAGCATAGAAATGTTTAATCAAAGTTATCAGCTTAAAATAGCCTATTACAATGTTTTCTGTAGGCTTCCTGTAAATGTCAAAGCAAAAACTTATAGTAAATACACAAAAGATAAAAAGTAAAGAATCAAAATATACCACTACAAAAAATTTTCACAAAGGAAGATAAGATAGAAACCGAAGGCCCTAAAAAAACAGGAAACAATTAGCAAAATGGCAATAGTAAGGCCTTACTTATCAATAATTACCTTGAATGTAAATGAATTAAATTGTCTAATCAAAAGACAGAGTGGCTTAATAGATTAAAAAAGACTCAACTGTATGCTGCCTGAGACTCACTTCACCTGTAAAAACACACACACCAACAGTAAAGATGGTAAAATATATTCCATGCAAATGGGAACCAAAAATAGAGCAGGGGTAGATATACTTAGATAAAATAGAATTTAAGTCAAAAACTGTAAAATGATAATATATGTTGATAAAGGGGTAAATTTATCAAGAAGATATAACAATTGTAAGTATATATGTGTACCCAACATCAGGCCACCTGAATATATAAAGGTAATATTAATAGACAAAGAATGTATAATACAATTACTAGGGGACGTCAATACCCCACTTTCAGCAATGTACAAATAATCTAGAGAGAACATTCATAAGAAAACTGACTAAAAACACTCTAGACCAAATGAACCTGATAACCATATGCAGAACATTTAATCCAAGAATAGCAACATACATATTCTCAAGTACACAAAAAAACATTCTCTAGGATGGACCATGTTAATCCACAAAACAAGGCTTAACAAATTTTAAAAAATCAAAATCGTATCAAGTCTCTTTTTAGACCACAATAGTATGAAACTAAAAATCAATAACTGGAAGAACTTTTGAAAACTTACCAATATATGGAAACTTAAACATTTTCCTGAATAATCAAAGGGTCAAATAAATTAGAGGGGAAATGAAAGATTGAGATAAAAATGGAAGCACAACACACCAAAACTTATGGGATGTAGCGAAGCAATCTAAGAAGGAAGTTACAGCAACAAGCGCCAACATCAAAGATCCCAAACAAATGGCCTAAATGTTACACCTCAAGAAAATAGAAAAAGAAGAAACTAAGCCCCAAATAAGTATGAGGGGAAAAAAAGGCATGAGCAGAAATGAGACTAGAAAAACAATAGAAAATATAAATTAAACTGGGTTGTTTTCTTAAAGATAAACAATATAAAACTTTAGAAAGTCTGAGAAATCTCTACAAACCTAAGAAAGAATGCTCAAAATCAGAAACGGAAAACATTGTAACTGATACCTATAAATATGAAGGATCACTAAAGACCACTATGAATAATTATATGCCAACAAATTGGATAGCTTAGAAGGTTATATGTTTAGATTCCTAAACTTATAACCTACAAAAACTAAATCATGATGAAATTTAAAATATGAGCAGATGAATAAGTAATGAATCAATAATTAAAAATCTTCCACCAAAGAAACTCAAGAGCTGATGGCTTCATTGTGCAATCCTACCATTTAAGGAACTAATACCAATCCTTGTCACACTTCAAAAAATCGAACAAGAACTACTTCCAAACTCATTTTACAAGAGCAGCATTTCCCTGATGCCAAATCCAGACAAGATAGAAGAAATGAAAATTATAGACCAATTTATTTCTGAATATAGATGCAAAAATCCTCAACAAAATACTAGCACAAAATTCAACAGCACATTAAAGAATCATTTAACCATGATCAAGTGGGATTTATCCCAATGATGTGAGGATGGTTCAGTATATGCAAGTTTATAAATGTGATACACAATGTTAACAGTATAAAGGACAAATCATATGATTACCTCATTAGATGCAGAAAAAACTGACAAAATGCAACATCCTTTAGTGACTTAAAAAAAACTATCAACAAATTAAGTATAAAATGTTGTACCTCAGCCAGGTACAGTGGCGTGGCTCATGGCTGTAATCCCAGCACTTTGAAAGGCCGAGGAGGGTGGATCACTTGAGCCCGGGGGTTGGAGACAAGCCTGGCAACATGGTGAAACCCCATCTCTACTACAAATACAAAAAATAGCTGGGCATGGTGGCACATGCCTGTAGTCCCAACTACTCAGGAGGCTGAAGGTGGGAGGGTCACTTGGGCTCTGGAAGGTTGAGGCTGCAGTGAGCCATGATCATACCACTGCACTCCAGCCTGGTGACAGAGTAAGAGCCTATATTTAAAAAAAAAAAAAATTGTACCTTAACACAATAAAGATTGTATATGATAAACTCATAGCTAACAACACTCTCAAAAGTTGAAAGATTTTCCTCTAAGACTGGAAACAAGACAAGGATTCCCACTGTCACCAATTGTATTCAACATAGTGCTGAAGTCTTAGAGCAATTAGGCAAGAGAAAAAAATAAGATATCCAAATCAGAAAGAAGTTAAACTGTCCCTGTTTACAGATGAAATAATCTTGCGTACAGAAAACTAAATATTCTACACACAAAAAACTGTTGGAACTAATAAATTTAGAAAAGTCATAAATAAAAATCAACACATAAAAATCAACAGTGTTTCTATACACAAACAATGAAATATCTGAAAATAAGACAACAATTCCATTCATGATAGCTACGAAAAAATAAAATGTAGAAATACATTTAACCAAGGAGTTAAAGACCTGTGCATTGAAAACTATAAAACACTGAAAGGAGTTGAAAATACAAATAAGTGAGGCCAGGCGCAGTGGCTCACACCTGTAATCCCAGCACTTTGGGAGGCCGAGGCAGGTGGATCATGAGGTCAGGAGATTGAGACCATCCTGGCTAACACAGCGAAACCCCGTCTCTACTAAAAATACAAAAAAAAAAAAAAAAAAAAAAAGCTGGGCGTGGTGGCGGGCACCTGTAGTCCCAGCTACTTGGGAGGCTGAGGCAGGAGAATGGCATGAACCCGGGAGGCAGAGTTTGCAGTGAGCCGAGATCGTGCCACTACACTCCAGCCTGGGTGACAGCAAGATTCCTTCTCAAAAAAAAGAAAATACAAATAAGTGAAAAGATATCCCAAGTTTATGGATCAGAAGAATATTTTTAAGTGCCCATACTATGCAAAGTGATCTACAAATTCAATGCAATCCGTATTAAAATTCCAATGATGTTTTCCTCATGAGTAGAGGGGAAAAATCCTAAATTTTATATGGAACCACAAAAGTTGTGAATAGCCAAAGCAGTCCTGAACAAAAAGAACAAGTGCTGATGAGGATGCAGAGACAAAGGAACATTTGCACACTGTTGGTGGGAATGTAGACTAGTACAGCCATTATGGGGAAAAACTATGGCAGTTCCTTAAATTAAACTCTCATATAAAGTATAACTCTCATATGATCCAATAAACCCTCTTCTTGATGGATATCCACAGGAAATGAAAACCTCATGTTGAAAATAGGTCTGCACTCACATGTTCATTACAGCACTACTCACTATACCCAAGATATGGAATCAACCTAAATGGCCATCAACAGATGAGTGGAGAATGTGGTATGTATACACAACGGGATACTATTCAGCCTTAAAATCCCATCACTTGCAACAATATGGATGAATGTGGATGGCATTATGTTATAAGCCAGGCACAGAAAGACAAATACTATATAATCTCTCATATGTAATCTACAAAAGTGGAGATAGATGATGTTCAACAAAGCCAGCAATAACAAGCAATAGGGAAAGGACCCCCCTATTCAATAAATAGTGCTGGGATAACTGGCTAGCCATATGCAGAAGATTACTCCTGGATCCCTTCCTTACACCATATAAAAGAATCAATTCAAGATGGATTAAAGATTTAAATGCAAGTCTGAATAAAAAAACATATCTGATACCAGCCCTGTAGTTTGAACCTACTTCAGGGAATCCAGTACAATATAGTCAGTTCAGAGAAGTTGGCATGATTACGGATCCTGTGAGGGACAATTCTGCTTCAGAGAAAGAGAAAAGCAGGCTAGGGCTCCAGGGGAAAATCAAGGTACAAATAAGTGAAATTATCAAAATTATATATTATCTGGGCCCAAAACAATTCATTTGACGACAGATTTCTGAGGACTGTGGTCAATAAGCTTGGTGGTAAGCTTGAGCACTCAGAGTATCCCGGGGACACCAGGGGACAAGCCAGTACTAAGTACTCGACTTATTTAAACTTCATAAAAACCCTCCTGTATTATCTCAACCCTGTCCCTGTTCAGCCCTGCTGTAGGGCTCTCAACCTTCTGCCTGTTTGGCCTGGTAATGAGGCCCCAATCCTATCCCTCCACAGCCTAGTTTTCCATTTCTGAAGCCTGATTCTCTTTCCACAAATCAGGCTCCCTTGAAGCCTCAGGCTCCCCTGAAGCCTGGGTCTCTCTCGGAAAATCAGGTTCCCTTGAAGCCTGGGTCTCTCTCGGAAAATGTTTCCCTTGAAGCCTGGATCTCTCTTGGAATATCGGGTTCCCTTTAAGAAACCTCAGGCTCCCCTGTAGCCTGGTCTGCAATTACCGGGGCAGCCTGGATTTCAGGCCCATGAAAGATCTGCTCGGCAGGTAATCTCGTCTCATCCTGGTTTACAGGTTCTCAACTTTTCCTCCATTCAAAATTCCAACTTTTTTCTGCTTCTGGTCCGGTGGCTACTGTGACAAGTCACATACATTCCTAAAAATGAGACTCCTCTTATGAGGGCTATAGCACAGGCAAGAGAATATGGGGATCCCGAAGCCTGGCAATTTCCTCTAATTTTACAACCTCCAATACCTGCCTTCCCTGTGGCAAAAAATCAGCCACAACCCACTGATCTTGCTCAGCAGGCGGCTGATCTTGCGGCACCTTCACGCTCCGTGTTAATATCTTGTTTTTCTGCAGCACAACTGCAGTTGCAACAGCCAGTTTGGTTATTGCCCCAGAAAAAATCCAGACTTCTTCTCCTTATCACTATTTAGGAATGCAGCTAGAAGACAAGGTTATTAAGCCCCAAAAAATCATTGTTCCCCTCACCTGATTACAAGTCCAACAGGCTTTTGCAACCTGCATTGCTTGGCAAGTACATTTGGCACGTTTCCCGGGTATAACTGATTATCATTATCCTAATGCAAAACTATTCCGGTTCCTTAAACTCACTTCTTGGATCTTACCTTAACATTACTAGAAACACACCATTAGCTGAAGCTGTCACTGTTTTTACTGATGCTTCCTGTAATAATGGCCAAGCAGCATGTACCGGGCCAAGAGAATGTGTTCTTAACACAGGAGTTATTTCAGCACAACGAGCTGAGCTGATCGCTGTCATGGCTGTTCTTGAAGATTTCCCTGAACCAGTTAACATCGTTTCTGATTCGGCCTATGTAGTACATGTTGCTCGCAACGTTGAAACTGCCTTAATCAAACTTCTGCCTGATAACCTAATTTTTCTTTTCCAAAAGTTTCAATCCGTACTCACAGCAAGGTCTTCTTTCTACATTACTCATTCGGGCTCACACACCCCTCCCCGGACCCCTCTCGGCAGCAAATGCCAAAGCTGATACATTAGTTGCTCCCGTTTTTACAGATGCAGAAAATGTTCATGCTTTAACTCATGTCAGTGCTGCAGGACTCTGGAAAAAGTTCCCCTTTACAGGCAAACAAGCTAAAACCATCGTACATCACTGTCCTACTTGTCAAGTGTTAATGTTACAGCCACTTTCTTCAGGAGTTAATCCTAGAGGACTTTCACAAAATGCTCTCTGGCAAATGGATGTGACTCATTATCCTGCTTTCGGCAAACTCTCTTTTATACATTAACTATTGACACCTTTTCTCATTTTATCTGGGTCACTTGTCAAACAAGGGAAAGTATATGGTTCATGTTAAACGACACATACTTTCATCTTTCTCAGTTATGGGCTGTCCCGAGAAACTAAAAACTAATGACGGCCCCGGCTACACTAGTGCTGCTTTTTTACACTAAATTTCTTAAATTTAGTAAGAAATCAACCTTTTACAGCAGCAGAACATTTCACTGGAAATAAATTTGATCCACAAAAAGGAAAAGCGGGTATGGTGGAAAGATGCAAAACTGACAAACAGGAATCAGGCACTGTGGTAACATGGGGTAGGGGTTTTGCTGTGTTTGCCCAAAAGAAGGACAACAACCCGTGTGGGTTCCCTCCCGGCAACTGAAATTGCACTATAACTTCAAAGATAAAAAGCTCTCAGAAACAAAAGGCGAAGAAACGTCAGAAATTGAAAGGCAAGCTTTGCCGCCTGACACATAAATTCCATGACCTCAACATTATGACACAATCTCACCGTGTGACCTACAATACCAGTCATTCTACTCCACCAACATGGGGTCAAATAAAGGTCTTATCACATCAAACGGAAAAATT
Source organism: Homo sapiens (assembly GCF_000001405.40). NCBI lineage: Eukaryota > Metazoa > Chordata > Mammalia > Primates > Hominidae > Homo > Homo sapiens. Next base: position 4,495,593 of record NC_000011.10, on the reverse strand, counting down.
ACTACAAGAAAAAGGAATTCCAAAAACAGGTAATATAATTCTGGCTGCCTTTATGGTAGTCAGTGTAGTGGTGAGTATACCAGCAGTTGGGGCAACTCAAAATTATGCTTCTTGCACATATGTTCCTTTTCCCCCTTTAATTCAGTCTGTCTCCTGGATGGACTCCTCAGTAGAAGTTTACACTAATAATAGTGCCTTCATGCCAGCCCCTAATGATGACAGCTTTCCAGCTCAACCAGAAGGAGATGTGCACTTTAATTTGTCAATCGGCTATAAATATCCACCACTGTGCATTGGAATGTCACCTGGCTGTTTAGCTTATTCTTATCAGAATTGGATGTGGACCATACCATCCTTGAGTAATGATTCTTATCAGGTACATAATGTGTTCAGTACCAACTCTTTTCAACTTATGATTGTTAAACTTAATCCACATGAGGACTGGAGGGTTCCTGTTACCACAAAAAATAACAAAAGGACTGCCAGACTGCTCCAATAAACCTACAAAGGGACCTTTTTTAGTAAATTCAATTGTATGGAATGATTGTAATGCTTCAAAGCCCGTAGTGTTCCAAACTCTACCTACGGTTGTTGTTGTTGACTGGGCTCCAAGAGGGTATTTATTATTGGCGGAATTGCTCCAGCCAAAATATGACATGCTCAGAGTTTATTTGTTAGAATATGTAGAGGACGGATGGCAGTCCTACAGGTTGAGGGAATGGGTAGCTCCTTACCCATTTAAATTGATGTACACAGGCATCATTCCTCCTAGACCAAAAATGATTCATCCAATTGTTACCCCAGAACATCCTGAATTATGGAAATTAGCTGCAGCCATGACAGGAATAAGGCTATGGAACACTACCTATCAACTCTTTGCTACTAATACCAAGACACCCATATTCAACATCACCTTGATGTCTAAACGGGTGATACCTATCATGAGATGTGTCAAACCCCCTCATATGCTGTTGGTTGGAAATACAATTATCATTCCCAATACACAAACTATAGAATGTGATAACTGTAAGCTGTTCACGTGCATTGATGCTACTTTTAATCCCAGAACAAGTATTCTCTTGGTAAGGGCTGGGGAGCGAGGGGGTATGGATACCAGTTTCTTTACATCATCCATGGGAGTCTTCCCCCTCTATACACATAGTCAATGAAGTTCTTAAAGGTATCTTCAAAAGAACTAAGAGATTCATTTTTACTCTTATTGCAGTCATTGCAGGTGTAATTTTGGTTACTGCAACAGCGGCAACCACTGGAGTTGCAACCCACAATTCTGTTCAAACCGCTCAATATGTTGAAGCATGGCAGGAAAACTCCTCCAGACTCTAGGATTCTGACTCAAGTTGATCAGAAATTAGCTAATCAAATTAATGATCTCTGCCAAAGTGTAATATGGCTGGGAGATAGTTACGAATTTGGAATGCTGTATGCAATTACAGCATGATTGGAATACTTCTGATTACTGCATAACGCCTTATGCTTATAATAAAGATCAACATAGCTGGGAAAAGGTCTCAAGACATTTAAAAGCCTGGGATGATAACTTAACCTTAGATATTTCAAAACTTAGGAACAAATTTTTGAGGCCTCACAGGCTCATTTAACCACTGTTCCTGGCTCAGACATTTTTGAAACAATAACTAAAGGATTATCTGATCTTAATCCCTTTAAATGGATCAAACCCCTTGGAGGATCATTGTTGTCCCTGGCATTATTAATATTGGCATGCTTGTGTTGTCTACTTTTAGCCTGCAGATGCCTCCAAAGAGTCTGAGGAAAAGTCCGAAGTCAATGACAAGCAATGATGGTGATGGTGATCCTAGTTAATAAAAAGGGGGGAGATGTGGGCGGCAAGCCACCCGGGTGCCAAGACAAGAGACTGAGGGCACAAGTTGTTCCAGTGTAATAAAGAAAACATAAAATCAGAATAGTTATACTAGAAATAGATTATAGATATGATGATACATGAATATTAATCATCAGCTTGTAGCATTACTCTTTATTCCAATATTATAATAATCCTTGCTCTACAATTATAACCTAGGAAAAACCAGGCCATACAGAGATAAGAGCTAAAGGGGCGCGGTGAGAAGTGACCAGAAGACAAGTGTGAGCCTCTGTCACGCCCGGACAGGGCCACTAGAGGGCTCCTTGGTCTAGCGGTAATGCCAGTGCCTGGGAAGGCACCCATTACCTAGTGGACTGTGGTCTAGTAGTAGTCAGTTCCTAGGGAAGACACCCGTTACTAACAGACCCAGAAAGGGAGTCTCCCTTTCCCTGGGGGAGTTAGAGAAGACTCTGTTTCACCACCTCTTGTGGAAGGCCTGACATTAGTCAGGCCCACCCACAGCCATCTGGAGGCCACAGCATCCAGCATCCCTGTGATGCTGTGCTTCAGCAGTCACGCTCCTGTTTCACTTTCACGTTCCACCCTGTACACCTGGCTCTGCCTTCCAGATAGCAGTAGCAGAATAAGTGAAAGTACTAAAAGTCTTTGAAATGCATAGAAGAAATAATGGTGTAAGCTGTCCTCTCTCTCTCTCCTTCTTGGCTGCCAAACAGGGAAGGGCCCCCTGTCCAGTGGACACGTGACTTATGTGACCTTATCAACCATTGGAGATGACTCACACTCTTTACCCTGCCCCTTTTGCCTTGTATCCAATAAATAACAGTGCAGCCAGGCATTCGGGGCCACTACCGGTCTCTGCATCTTGGTGGTACTGGTCCCCCAGGCCCAGCTGTCTTTTCTTCTCTTTATCTTTTGTCTTTATTTCTATGATCTCTCATCTCTGCACACAAGGGGAAAAACTCACAGACCCTGTAGGGCTGGTCCCTACAGTATAAGTAGATCATGTAAAAGTATGTATGGGAGCTTCTTTTTGTAGAACTGACTGAAGAAGTGTTCATTATGAGAGTTTGAAAGACAAAAGCAGAGATAAGTGAAATAATTTTATGATATGCTGTAAGAAGACTGTATTTCCTTTAAATATTCAGTCTTGAGCTGTCATGAGTTGAAATGCAAGATAGAACTCACAACTCCAGCAATTGGTGCTCCTTGGGTAAGGCTGTGAAACAAACAACTCCCAAATTTCAGTGGTTCACTACAAAAACAACAAAATCATCCTTGTTCATGTTATATGAACACTGTGGGTCAGTTATGACTATGCTACAGGCAGTGAGTCAGATTCACATCTGCTCCATGGATCTTCATCATGAGTCTAGGCTGTGATACGCTTATTCTTCTGGTAGAGGGAAAGAATGAAAGATAAGCTTTCCAGCCATATTTTAAAGTTTATTTTTTTTTTTTAGCAGCTCAAACACAATTTCTCATTTACACTTCTTACTCATTGTGGGTGGACTTTGGCTTTGTCACAGCCTCTAACTGGAACTTTGCTGGGTTTTGCAGCAGAGGGGAAAGAAAGCAGGAAAGTTAATGCACACTTTAATTTGCAAAGAATAATGGCCTCTAGCTCCATCCATGTTCCCACAAAGGACGTGATCTTATTTCTTTTTGATGGCTGTATAGTATTCCATGGTGCATATGTATCACACACCTCTGCAATAACACGTGTCTATATGGACCAGGCAACTTCTTGTCTTTCTGTTCCTTTCCATTCGATCTTTGCACCAATATCATAGTGTCCTTTTTAACTTTTATTTTAGGTTAGAGGTACATGTGCAGGTGTGTTATATAAATAAACTTGTGTCACGGGAGTTTGTTGTACAAGTTCTTTAATCACCTAGGTACTAGGCGTAGTACCTGATAGTTATTTTTCCTGATCCTCTCCCTCCTACCTTAAATAGGCCCCAGTGTCTCCTGCTCCTCTTTGTGTCCATGTGTTCTCATTGTTTAGTTCCCACTTATAAGTGAGAACATGTGGTATTTTATTTTTCTATTCCCCTTTTAGTTTGCAAAGAATAATGGCCTCTAGCTCCATCCATGTTCCTGCAAAGGACATGATCTTATTCTTTTTGACGGCTGCATAGTATTCCATGGTGCATATGTATCACATTTTCTTTATCCAGTCAACTGTTGATAGGCCTTTAGGTTGATTCCGTGTCTTTGCTATTGTGAATAGTGCTGCAGTGAATGTACACATACATGTTATCTTTATGGTAGAACAACTTAGGTTCCTTTGGGTACATACCCACTAAAGGATCACTCAGTCAAATGGTATTTCTGTTTTTAGGTCTTTGAGGAATCACCTACTGCTTTCCATAATGGGTGAAATAATTTACACTCCTACCAGCAGTATATAAGTGTTTCCTTTTCTCTACAACCTCACTAGCATCTGTTTTTTTTAATAAACTTTCTGATTCTCGAAGTACATTTCAGGGCTACTCAAATTTCATTGGCCAAATCAAGTCATACAGCAAAGTTTAAAATTCGTGGAGTGAAGGAAATACCCTACCCATGATAGAAGGACAGGAGACTAAATATTGGTGGACAGTAATACAGTCTATCACAACTACAATCATGTCTAACTAGTCATGCATTGCTTAATGATGGGGATACATTCTGAGAAATGTGTCCTCAGGTGATTTTATCAACCTGTGAACATCATAGAGTGTATTTACACAAACCTAGATGGTATCGCTTGCTATACACCTAAGCTATATGGTATAGCCTGTTGCTCCTAGGCTACAAACCCAATATTGTAGGCAATTGTAACACAATAAGTATTTGTGTATTTAAACAGAAAAATAGCTAATGAATACTAGGCTTAATACTTGGGTGATGAAATAATCTGTACAACAAAACCCCCATAACATGGCTTTACCTAGATAACAAACCTGTACATGTAACTTAAAAGTTAAAAAACATACAGTAAATATACGGTACTATAATGTTATGCAATCACCATCATATAGGTGATCCATTACTGACCAAAACTTCATTATGCAGTGTGTGACAGTATTGTATTTTCTTATTTTCAGAAATCTCAGCTTCAAGAGGGAAGGGTGTTATTTCTCTTTTCATGGTTCATAGTTCAAAGATAGTATTCAGCTCTTCTATCCGTTCATTTAATAAATATTACTAAGTATTTTGGAGGCAAAAGACATGCAGTGAAAAGCTAGATACATGATATAAATTGATAAAAAGGAACATCGGAGGACTCTTTTGATAAATGTTCACTAAAGGAATTGGCCATGTCTATCAGGAAGGAAGTAAAAGAGGAATTGACTTAATGGAAGAAATAGATCTACTTATAAATGGAGCTGTCTAACTGTAGAAATAAAATTGGGAGATAGTAGGCTATAAAGAGTGGCAAAGGGTGGAGGGTACTTGTCAGAAAAGACATGGGGGTAATTTCAGTACTAAAAGGAATAATGGTTTTGGGGTCACAAAATTTGAGGTACATTTCCTCACTCATACCTGGATAAAGAAGTCACCTGTTTGGGTGACTCAGCTGTTTGGGCCAATCTCAGCCAATAAAGGTCCTACTGTCTTTCACCCAGATTACAATACCACTTTGAGAGGTTTGTCTTCCTTAGCCATGTGATGAGTCTATGACAATGGGAAGGTCAAACCTCTACTATCAGACCAGACTATAGGTGCACTCCTGGTTTGACCTGACTCGTAGATCTGTGAGGAATGAAACCTCATTTTCCTTATCATACTAGAGAATTGTCAAAGATACTCTGCAATTTTCCTATTTAGATTTTTCCCCTCAACCCCAATCCAGCATTCTCATTACTTGGCAAGTGGGATAAAAAAAGAGAACTATCCATCTACATGTTCTTTCTCTGGAATAGACTGAGCACATACTCACGAATCTGCTTGGTCTTGACTCCATATATGATAGGATTGACCATGGGTGGGAAAAGGAGATAGAAAATAGCAAGGAGTATGTGGACACGAGGGGCAGCATGGCGGGCTACACGGTGCATGACTGAAGAGATGACTACTGGAGTGTAGGTGGACAGGATGGCACCTATGTGAGACACACATGTCCCAAATGCCTTGTAGCGGGCCTCCTGAGAGGCAAGCTGGAGAACTGCCTGAAGGATGAAGACATAAGACAGGATAACAAAGAGCAGGTCCAACACCACAATAAACATGGCCACAGCAATGCCATAGATATTGTTGAAGCTAGTGTCCCCACACGCCAGCCTTACCACAGCCATGTGTTCACAGTAGCAATGGGCAATCACTGGGCCTCGGCAGTAGTGGAAGCGTCTGAGCAGGAAGGGGAGTGGAGTCATTAGTGTCACAGCCCGGGCCACAGCAGCCATGCCAATCTTGGTGATGAGGGACCCAGTCAGGACCGTCGTGTAGTGCAATGGCTTGCAGATGGCCACATAGCGGTCAAAGGCCATGGCCAGCAGCACTGCTGACTCCATGATGGAGAAGGAGTGAAGGAAGAACATCTGGACCAGACAGGCAAAGAAGTTGATCTCCTGATCCCTGAACCAGAATATGGCAAGCATTTTGGGCAGCGTTGTAGAAGAAAGAACCAAGTCAATGGTTGCCAACATGGCCAGAAAGAGGTACATGGGTTCATGGAGGGCTGCATCAGCCTGGATAATGAAGAGAAGGGTACAGTTGCCTAGCAGGGCCAGAGTATAAGCAAAGCAGAAGGGGATGGAGATCCAGGCATGCAGGTGTTCCAAACCAGGAATTCCTACCAACAAAAAGACAGCTGGATGTGTTGAGGTGATATTAGAGGGAAGCATGGCTCCTGGAAATCTCCTTGTCAATTTTTACAGGGCTTCTTCACCTTCTATATATACCTTCTACAGTATATATGATTAGAGTTCAACCTGTGCTATCCCACCTGCAAAGATTACCTCTTGTTTCCATTGCTAGACTTTAAACAAAATAACCTAGCAGCCTTCATAGACATGGAGAAGTATAATCCATATTTTCTACCCTCAAAGAAATTTGAATCTCATTGAGTAGATGGGATATCAATTCTATGGATATTTAATATTCTAAGACAACTTTCATAAAGGAATGGAGTATATGTAGTGTTTTCTGTGTTCTTGGTGATGTCATGAATACCTTGAAAAAAGTGAAAATATGTTTAAATCAATTCATTTCTTTAGCACATACATTGGTACCATTCTACCTTTCAGTTAAGCTAAATTCCCAAATGCAAGAGCCAATTTTCTCTCCTGAAATCTGAGTTGAGTCCATGTATAAGTCAAACCCATTGGTTTCTAATGCCCAAATTAATCACACAATCTGCATATTTTCCCTAAAACTACTTTATCTGATATGGTTGCTACTAGCCATGTCACTATGTAAACCTAAATTTATACTTAATAAATTTCACATTTATACAAAATACTTTTCACGTGCTCAATAGCCACATGTGACTAGTGACTACCAAGAATATTTCCATCATTGTAGAAATTTCTGTTTAAGACCACTGCTCTACAGTATATCTTTCACATCTTCTCAGTATTCACAGGTCTCTGTAAATACAGCCATGCTGCAAGCATACGGAGAAAATGAAACGTCCTTTTTTGGTTCTCCACTGAAACTCATGTTAAACTCCCTGTGCATGTGACTCTCCCTCCACCTGTCTTCCAGTTCCTTCTTTTTGTCACAGGAGAATTTGCTCTCATCTTTAGCAAGACTGACTTATGACTTCCAAATATCCTTCTTGTTAACAATTTTTCACCTTTTTATCTTGTTCTGGTCATTGTTCTTTTTTCAGATCCTTAAACACTAGAGTTACCCAGTTTTTACCAAGACTGTTATAAAATTATAAAATATATGTTTGTATAAAACATATATTTATACAAAATATAAAATATAGGATCCACTTAATGAGATTCTTTTGAGGATTAAATGAGATAATGTACTTCAAACACTTAATAGTCACAGAACAAAGTAAATATTGAAAACAAAAACTGGGTCTCTTTTTCAAAAAGAAACTGTTGGGAAATATAATAATTGCTCTAAGATATTATAGCTAATAGTGTCAGACAGCCATATCTGAGTCCTTCTTTCTACCGATTCCCATGTCTTAAGTAACTAGGCTTATTGTTTCCATCTAGATGCCCTATATGCAACCTGCATCCAGCATAACCAAACTGAAAACTAACTTCCTTCCATAACATTTGGAAAATGTTTAGAATCTAAAGTTATTGGCTGAAATCATGACTGCCACATATTCTAGTGGTAGACCTTGCACAAATCACTTATGTACTAGTTTGTTTCCTTCTCTGTTAAAGGTAGTTCAGTGCTATTTCCCTTTATCTGAGGGGTATAGGGAGGTTAAGTGTGATTATGTATAAAATCATTTTGTATAATTCCTTAGTGTGCAGAGCTTTGTCACTTATATTTCTCTTCTGTAGAACTGTTACTTTTTAAAAAATTATTTATGTTGATTAATCTACCGTGACATTAAATCCTCCTCCCTTTATTCAAACCTCTGCTTTTCTTTACAGTGAAACATGTAGAAAGGTCTACAATCTCAACTCTCTCAAGGATAATTGGTTTTGAAACATATCAATCTGGATTTTATTCCCATCACAAACCAAAAATTCCTTTTACTGTGACAATCAATGACCTCCATGATGATGGTGCCCTTATCACTTACCTGGCTTCATGCAACTGGACCGCTGAGCAACTTTTATCTGAATTGACCACTCTCCTGCTTAAAACTCACTTTTCTCGTGTACCACCATATTCCCGTTTCCCAGCTCCAGAGTGTCTCACTTCCTTCTCCTGCTTCTGCCCTAACTGTAAGTATTACATTTCTACAGTTCTCAAGCATCTTTTCAAATTTTATATCCATGTCATTCAGAAAATATACTAACTAAATTTAATGACAACTATTTAAACATTTTTACTGAAGAGGTTAAGGAAAAATTTATGAACAAAACAGATGGATCCCTTAGTAGAATAAGTTTGCTAAAGGTTGGAGAAGGATAATAAAAGGACATCATGATTAAATTACATATTATACAAAGTTTCATTGTTGTGATTTAAAAACCAAGGAATAGGGCAGTTATGATAGGCATTTCATGATAGGGAGCAGGAGAAGTTGAAATTTGAAATAAAAAGCTCATTATACACCTTATTAGAAAATTTGAGAAAAATTGAATGAGGTGAGGAAATACTTGGCTTCACTTCCTTAAATGCCAAACTAAAGTTTCATGCCAGTGGTATATACAGAACAATTACACAGTGAACAAGAATAGGATGAAGGAGTGGAACAGGAAAGAGAATATGGATCCAAAGTTGCCTTACTGAGATGGATAATCCAATTCCACATGAAGAACCATAGAGAAGGAACCAAAGAATTGTCCACTCTAGACACAGAAGAGGGGAACTTTTATCCACTGGCTTCCACACCCCATAGGTCAAGGATGACCCAAGGAGTGTAGATTTCCTTGCATTTTCAGGTCCATACATGTACCAGAATAACACAATGAGATCCCTGAGGTGCCCATGCAATAAAGCAGAGAAACTGTGGGAGGTGGGATACAGCTGAGTAAGGTGCTATCAACCTACACCTGCACTCGAATGGTTCCCACAACAATGCCTACAACAAAAAGGGGAGATGACAGGACATGAGAAGACCATAATAGATTTGGAATATAGGAGTCACCCAGGGGAAAGGAACAGTCTAAGAAAATGGAACAGCCAGAGAAAATGCCCCAAGACATAAAAACACCTGTTATTCAAATATCAGCAGGCAGCCAGCACAGGTAGGATGAAGCAAATGAGCAGGAGAATCAGGTCAGAACAGTGGGGCCAAATCACACAGGGCCCCACAGGCCTTTGTGGACTTTGCAAAAGTTCCCCATTTCTCTCAGAATCAAGGACATTGTTTTCAGCAGAGAGGAGATGTATGTGACTTATACTTTTAAAGTTTTCCCTGGCATCTATGATGGAGAATAGCACAAAGAGGGAAGGGTAGAATTGGGGGAAAGTACCTGGAGACTATTGCAGGAATCCAAGGAAGGGAGAACATTGGCTCAGAATCAAGGTAGCAGTGTATGTAGTGGGAAGTAATAGGATTGGGGATATATTTTTAAAATGTGTCAGTGGCATTTTTGACAGGTTAGATATAGGAAGTGAGACAACAGGGAGTCGAAGATGACACCCTGATTTTTGGCATAAACCACTGATAGGAGCTGCTCCCAACTGAGACGGGGAAAGCATGAAAGGAGGAGCTCGAGACTTCAATTTTTGAACATGGTGAGTTTGAGATATCAGAAATTCAAGTGAATATGGTAATACGTATAGAAAATAAATCATATTTAAAGCCACAAAACTGTTTGAGATCGCCCAGACAGTAAATGTTCACAGAAAAGAGAACTAGAGAACCCAGAACTGAATCCCAACATTAAGAATGGATGGGAGAAGAGTTGGAGCACACTGAGATATTCGCAAGGGAAACTGACAGTGGAAACTATTAAGATAGAAACATCCCCAAATAATGTACTATCTTAGTATATAGAATATAGTTTACTAACAAGTGGATTATTACCATGTAAAATGCTACTGATGAGTCAAAGAACTTGAAAACACAATTGGCCTTGTGTTTAGAATTGCACAAGAGGATTGGATACCTTGATAAAAGCAATTTTGCTAGAAGAGAGACAGGCAAAGCCTGACTTGACTGAGTTAGAATAGATAAGAGGGGAATTGAAGTTTGTTAACATGGCTAACTTTTTTGAGGAATTTGGAAGCAAAGGACAGCAAGTAAATAGGGCACTGGCTAAAATGGAAAGCGAAGTCAACTGTGTGTGTGTGTGTGTGTGTGTGTGTGTGTGTGTGTCTGTGTGTTTTAGAACAGAAGTATCATGTCTTTAGCTGAAGCAAATTATCCAGTAGTAGGGGAAAAGTTGAAACTTAGACGAAGAAAGAGAATACTGCTCCTGAAAAGACCGTGAATATTGCATCTTTCTAGGTGGTCTGCTGGTTGATCATTGAGAATATAAACATATCCTGAAACAAACACAAATTTACATACCTTACATTCCTTGTAAGCTCCAGACTAGGATATCCAACTCCATACTCGATATCCCCACATATCTTCCTCACAGATATGTCAAACCTGCCATGCCTGAGGCAGAAATCATGACTACTTCTCTTCTTGTGCTGCCCATATCTCAGAACGTAACATCCTGCCCAACCAGTTGCTCAACCTAGAATCAAGTCATCCTGGATTCTTCTCTTTTCTTCCTGCATCATATTTAATCATCAGCAAGCACACTGGATCATCCTACATAGTAAATCTCCACGTTGCCCATTGCGTTTCCAACACTTCCACCCTTCCAACACCATCACCCTTGTTCAAGCCACAGCATCTCCCAGCAACTACTGCTACAAAAGAATCCTAACAAGTACACAAAGTTCCACTTTGTTCTCCAATATTTATCCTTCAACAATTACCCACCATATCATGAAGTGAAGGGACTGGAGTTAAGAAACTCTACCTATTTTCCTTCTGTAAACCCAGCCTCTAACATACATAGGTGTGGAACATTTCACTAAATAAAACAGACTACTAGATTATTGGAAGACATATTTCTCAGAATACTACTCCCCTCATGTGATTTAAGCTCAGAATTTGGGTTATCTTCTCATTTAAAATGCATCCAGAATGGAGGTTCTAAGCATCCCGATTACAATACTTTGTTACCTGCATCAGAATAAAATTCTCTTCTTAATGGAAAATACTATTTTAAATATTCATAATGTTTGTGCATTTTTGTCAGGAACAAGCTCTTATGACAACAGACATTTTTATTTTCAAGTACATATCAGTACCTAGAAACATGCCTGGCGTCTAAGAAACTCTTCTAAAATACTGTGAAATAATCCCACAAACCTGCTGCATCTTTACCTTATCTCAATATGTATTTTCCACAAAACCCACATGTTTTACTTTGAGTCTCCATGTCCCCCTAGATTCCTCCATTCAACTTTTAAACATCACTAACCACCCTGTGAGCTGTCTACCCATCTTCATACAAGAAAAAAAGGCATCTCTTCTATCAGATTTCTTCCTGAAAAGACAGGGTGTCTAATAGTTCATAAATCTTACTTCCTTTGAAGTTCATCTAAAATCAACTCCTCAGAATGAAGTGCTCTGAGTAGGAGTGTGAATGGAGCCAGTCTTCTTCCCCTAATATCCAGAAACTAAGACCTCCTCTGTAGTGCAAGTTTTGTCCAGACTGTTCATTGTTTTCAGAACTAAGATGTCCATGCTCAAAGGATTTATCTTCTATTTCTCCTTAAAAAAGGCCTCTGTACCCAGAATGGACTCAATTAATACTGAATCTATTTGGTTGCCTATACCTTTATCTTAAAAGGATATCAGAATGACATATCTGAAAAACTTAGAACCAGACAAGGAAGGATAATCACATAATCAAGATACTTCAGGACTGCTTCTGGTAGAAGAACCTCAAAGATAAGGTATTTCTTACCTTTCCCTGCCATCTTTCTAGTTCAGGCCTCGTTTTCTTCCTCTTGACTAATGCAGAAGCCCTTTAACTGGGATGGGGCATTTGCCAGGGGTTAGAAAAAGCAATGACAGGAGGTGAGAAGTGACAGATCCAAACTGGAATAATCAACTAAGACTTCTTGGAGATGGCCCACAGTGTTTGGCATAGGACGGAAGCAGGCATCCTCTGTGGTGGGGAGAGCATCTGGAGTTTGTGTACCAAACAGTTGGGTGGGACTATCGAGACTTCTGTTCCCTCTATTGAAGGACCAGAGTAGAAGCAATAACAGGGTTGGAGAGCTGATGCCTAAGATCAGGAATGGCTATGGGAAGAAATTGACAGTGCCCCCACCTTCCAGCTCACTCCCACCTTCCTGCTCACCCCAATAACATCACTTGTTTTCTATTTCCCTAAGTTGCAGCTGTATCCACAGTCCTCAGTCTGACTTACAATCCTGGGCCCTTTTCATTAGCTTCATGCAGCACCAGTGCCGCCTTCCTCTTTCAGTCTAAGGAGTCTTAGAAGGAGGAAGCTGGGAAGCGAGCAGCTGGCTTTAATCCTCACCAACCTCTGCCCTTCTCCCAGAAGGCTGTGGAAGCAGAAACTGCTGCACTTGAGCAGAGTCCTCAGAGACATCTCTGGCCTCCTCTCTCTGGGTTGATGCAAGGGGACTTCCCCTGACCCAAGGGGACTGTATCCTTGTTTCCTACAACCCATGCCTCCTCCCCAGCTAGTGGCACTGAGTTGTGCCTACCAGGGGTCATGCCCTACTTGCCAGAGGCTGTGAGACTTTCAGGTGGAGCTGGCTTGTGTCTTGGTGTTTGCTGTGCCTCTCCTTACTCTTTATCCTTACAGTGTCTTCAAAGAAAGCCAGCCTCATCAGAAAATATACACTGCAGGCAACTCCTGTCAGAACTGACTTGAAAGGGCAGGGAGTCCAGCCTGACCAGGCCAAGGTCATCCATTAGGCATTTTATTTTGCATTCATATTTCATATTGGCCTGAGATATGCATTAATAACCAGCTCGTGAACTTGATCTGGCACCTGTCTGATCCCTGATCTATTTTTCTTATCTCTAAGGTAGAGATAACTTTTACAATATTTTCTAACTCACAAGGATAGGAGGATCTAAGTAGATAAACAAGAGGCCACTATGAATGTGATTCCTTATTAATAATTAGGAAATTACCAATCATCTATAAATGATAAAGAGTGATCTTTCTACCTACAGCTGACTTAATGTGTGCTATTTTTCAAGGACCTGAGAAGATGCTTTTCACTAGAGTTCTCCATGGATTTTGTCTACCCTAATTCCCCATAATTTTTAAAAGCAATCTCAGAACGCTGTAACTCAGTCATCTCACTCCCTTCCCACACAGGTACCCTGGAACTAACTTCCCCTTCTGTAATAGTTGGCCCTCAAGGGTGTGGACTCAGCACTCCTCCATGATAAGTCTGATCTTTTGGGATGCTGGGATAAAGTGGAATTCCTACATAGTTTTAACAATGTACAGCTAGGCCAAGGGGATACAGCCTGTATGAAAAGCACCTCACCAAAACCTAATATGGCAAAAGCCAGATAAAAGCCAGACAAGAGCCAGATAGAATAGACAGTGTTTTTGTGAACAAAGCACCTTAATTTGCCCCCAACTCCATTCTGAATGGGCAATCCTGACATCATAGGAGCAGGATAAGAAGCACATGGAGTGGGGGAGTGGGCAGTGGGGCCATTGGCTCAAACCATGCTGGAGATAACTGCTGGAATATTGGAACACTTAGACTGTTTAATTCATTGACATCCTCCCCACCCTATCTTTTCTTTTGTAAAATCTAGATTCTTTTACATTCATATGCATCTTTGTTTTGGTGTTCTTCATTCCCTCCAGGTTTTTCATGTTTCCATCTGGATCATTTTTTTTCTGCATGAAAAACTACTTTTATTTTTGCTTTTATTACAGGCCATATAGTGACACATTCCATCAACTTTTGCTCATTTGTAAAATTATCTTAGTCATCTTTGTTTGTGAAAGATGACTCACCTCCCGGGCCTCTGTCTAAAATTCTATTTCAATTTGAATAGGTTTTTAAATGGGCAATTCTTCTTTCATCCACTTTAGTATATTAATTGTATTCTGCCTTCACTTGCTTTTTTTGAAGTCAAGTATCTATTAATATCAGTCTTATTGTTGATCCTGTGAATATAATGTGCCCTACCCATACCTGGGTGCTGCTTTCTTTTTTTTTTTTTCCAGTTAGCTGTGATCACACAGAACATTGTAGGCCTTTGTATCAGTCTGTTCTCACACTGCTATGAAGAACTACCTGAGACTGGGTACTTTTATGGAGAAAAGAGGTTTGACTGACTCACAGTTCCTGCAGGCTGTACAGAAGCATGGCTGGGAGGCCTCAGGAAACTTAGTCATGGCAGAAGATGAAGGGGAAGCAAGCAGGTCTTACCACAGCGGAGCAGGAAAAAGGGAATGGGGGCGGGGCCATACGCTTTTAAACAGAACATCAAGGGGGAAATCTGCCCCCATGATCCTATCACCTCTCACCAGGTCCCCTCTTCTGACATGTGGGGATTACAATTCGAGAGGAGATTTGGGTGTGGACACAGAGCCAAACCATATCAGCCATGTAAGGATTTCACTTTGCAAAGGTTCATAATTTCTCTCGGAATAAAAGCCAAGGTTGAGCAGTGAATTGACATTATTTGACATATGTTTTTTAGATATTGCTTCTGACTTAATGGGAACAGCACAAGATGATGAGGATGAAAGCAGAGAAAGGATTACAGATGCTATTGTAGGCATCCAGAGAGAAGATGGTGTTTCCAAATCAATGTGTTAATCATATATATGGAGAGAAATCAGATGTATCAGATTTTATATCTATTTTTTAAGTGCCAGTGGGAATTCCTGAAAAATTAGCTCCAGGCTGTGAGAGAAAAAGAAATCAAAGATAACACCAAGACTCCTTGCTTGAGGAACACGTAGGTGGGAAGGTGTTGTGAGGGTTGCTAGGCAGAACAGGATCCTATACTCAAGCATTGATCCTACTTTAAGGATGATGTGCACCTCTGTGTCCTAGCTTGGAATGTTGGGATGACCTAGTTTTTGAGTGATTAGAAGTATTGCATCTAGGCCTAGATAACTGCATCAAGTTTCCTTTATCCTAATCTATATACCCATCTATATGGGTATAAAATTATATGTGCCTGTAGGCTACTCATATTTCTTATTCATGTTTTGATTGTGTGCTAAACTCAAATGAGCTCATAGAGAAGGTAATTTTCCTTTTACTATTTGTGACTAATCCTGGCTGTGCTAATGTTATGTTGATATATTACCTGTCTATGGGATCCTTATACTACTGGACTTGTTCTGGGAACAAAATTATTTCTTCACTGGGGATAGATATGACCTTAAGGATGATGTTATTCCCCGTATAAGTCAATGGGAAAATAAGATTTCTCTTGTTGGAAATACCTTTTAAAATTCATGCTCTTTTCCATGTTTGTTTATATGTGGTTACAACTTAGTGTTTATTTTTTAGCTGCCCACCTGCCCCAACTATTCTCAGACAAAATAATCAAGAGGTGTTGACTACATGAGGCATTTGTCTTTGTGTCTGAGGGATTCATGGGAGCAGTGATGGAATATAAGGGGAAGCAAGAGTGTAGGTTCTTGCAATACTCTTGTCTCCTGCACAGCTTCCAACCTTCTACACCACACCTGACAAATGCTTGGAGATTGTTTCAAAGATAACTAATATAGAGAGAGATAGAGATGCTTCCTAAACAGTAGTCTCTGAGGAAACAATGAAAGGGGTCACAAAAAATGAAGTACAAGAATGCATTTGTGGAAGATGATGTATGAAAATATACTCATTTTCTAGGCTGTAATAACAAAATACCACAGACTGGATGGTCTCAATACAGAAACCTATTTTCTCAATTCTGGAAGCTAGATGTTCAAGTTAAGGTGTGGCAAGGTTGATTCCTTTTGAGGCCTCTCTCCTTGGCTTGGACATTATCTTCTCCTTGTGTCTTTTCTTATATGGACACCTGTTGTATTAGATTGAGTGCCATCCTAATAACTTCATTTTAACTTAATTAACCTCTTTGAAGACCTTATCTCCAAATACAGTCATATTACTCTGAGATACTAGGGTTTAGGACTTCAACATATGAGTTTACTGAAAGGAGACACAATTCAGCTCATAACACCCTGCCTTCTGGCTCCCTAAAGTCTAGTCCTTCCCACATGCAAAATACAAGCATCCCCAATTCCAGGGGTTAACTGTAAATACAAAATCTCATCTAAATGTAATATCTAAATCGTTTATGTGACACTCTGGTATGAATCCATCCTGAGGCAAAATTTCCCTCCATCTATAAACCTGTGAAACCAGACAAGCTACCTGTGACCAAAATAT
This sequence comes from Homo sapiens, assembly GCF_000001405.40. Classification (NCBI taxonomy): domain Eukaryota; kingdom Metazoa; phylum Chordata; class Mammalia; order Primates; family Hominidae; genus Homo; species Homo sapiens. Next base: position 4,478,720 of record NC_000011.10, on the reverse strand, counting down.
AATGGTAGAACAGGCACAGGATAGGCATTCCCACTCAAAAAGGGAGAAATCAGAATAAAAGTGTTATGAGTCACAAATAAGTCTAAAACCTAGCAGGGCAAATTACACTTGATTTAAGGCTCAGAATAATCCTTTTTGACTCAATGGACAGCAGCCCTAATCCCTCAGTCCTGGGTTAGAGGCACCCTGGCCTTCTGAAACCAATGGGCTGGCTCTGCCCTCTGGAACCAAGGAAGAGGCAGCCTAACCTCCTGGATCTGTGTCTTTTGGGCTTGTGGTGGCAGTGGTATCCCTGCCAACCTCTGAACAACCTTAGGGTATGTTCTCCCTTTTCTTTAAGGATAATGCACGTTTGCAGCTAAATAGCTGTATTGGGCCATCCTCTGGAATCCCGGAAGTCCAGCTACCTTCTTTCATGTCATCCTAACTCTGTTCATTTCTGCTGCTAATAAAATTCTCAAAAAGCATGTTGGTCTCTGATGCAATTCATGGGGTCCAAACTATCAGATAAAAGGGATTCCTGTGAGTCTTTCCTGCATAGCCCCATCTCTATTCCTGGCTTCTGCTGAGATGGCTGATTGTATTCATAAACACATGCCTAATCCTTTTTTTAAAAATTGGCACATATTAATTGTACATATTTAGAGGGTGCAGGCAATATTTCCATACATGTATACAACTGGTAATGATAAAATCAGGGTAATCAATTTGAGATAATCTGTCACCTCAAATATTTATCATTTCATTGTGTTGAACATTCAAAATCCACTCCTCTGGCTGTTTTGAAATCTATACTAAATTATTAACTATTGTCATTCTAGTGTGCTATGGAATACTAAAACTTATTCCTTCTACCCAAAGGGCAATTTTCTACCCATTAACCAACTCCTCCCTATACCCTCTTCCCCCCTACTCTTCCAAGCCTCTGGTAACCACTATTCTAGTCTCTACTTCTGTAACACCGACTTTTCTTTACCTCCCAAATATGAGTGGGACCATGAAGTACTTGTCATTCTGTGCTGGTTTATTTCATTTAATATACCTAATCTTTTTAGAAAATGGTTATCCAGCCACACCCTTGATATTCTTTCCAAATTACACTTATTTATTGTAATATGGATATGCTGAGAATTTTTCAGTCTTTAATTCCTGATTCCTTTTTGCTTAAATTCTTCTCCAACTTATCTCTCTCCTCACTCATAAGCAACAAGAACAAACCGGGTCACAATTTCAGCACTTTGCTTAGAAATCTCCTCAGCTAAATATCCAAGTTCATTACTTACAAGTTCTACTTTCCACAAAGTACTAGAACACAATTTGTCCAAGTTCTTTTTCATTTGATAACATAGATCATCTTTCTTCCAGTTCCTCCTTCCTGAGACCTCACTAAAAGCATCTTTAATATTCATATTTCTACCTACAATCTCTTCGAAGAAATCTTAGCCTTTTTTAACACGCACCTCAAAACTTTTTCAGCTTCAGCCCATTACTCAGTTTCCAAGCAACTTCCACATTTTTAGGTATTAGTTACAGTAGCACCTTACTTTCTGGTGCCAAAAGTAGTTTTCTAGGGCTTCTATAAAAGGTAATACAAACTGGGGGGCCTAATAAACAGAAATTTATTTCTTCACAATTCTAGAAGATAGAAGTCCAAGACCCAAGCAGAATTGGTTGCTACCGAGGCCACTCTTCTTGGCTTGTACATGGCCATCTTTCTGTATCTTTACGTGGTCTTCACTCTGCCTGTGTCTGTGTACAAATTTTCTCTTCTTATATAGACACCTGTCATATTGGATTAAGGCCCATCCTAATCACCGCATTTTAACTTAAGTATTACTTTAAAGACTTCATCCTCAAATACAGTCACATTCTGAAGTGCTGGGTGTTAGGATTTTAACATATAAATTGGAAAGGGGAACAAAATTCAACTCATAAGACACGGTATGAGGGAGCATCAGAGGTGCAGTTCTCAGGATTAATATTAAGGGAATTCTTGAGTACCTAAGTTTGAATGAAATAGAACAAAACCTAAGTCAATACGCCCACATCTCATCTTCTTTGACTTCTCATATTTCTTCTATGCTGGGCCTTGGAATGGTGAGTTTAGAGAACACAAACCATTGGAATTATTCCATCCTCTGTCTGAGGACATAAACATGAGTCCAGCATCCCTTTCTTAACAGTCTGTATCCCTAGCAGATAGCATAGACTTGGCTAGATTATTAAATAAGTAAACAATTCACATTCTTGTTGAAAATATAAGATACGTCTATGCACAAAGAAAGAGTTATGTGATATATAATAAAATGTCAGAGGATATGGTTTTTCTTCAAAGTATTTAATGAGATGGAATAGCCATGAGGATGAGGAGGTAAAAAGAAGTCAAAGAATACAGACTGGCTTAGTTGAAGAAATAACCTTCTAACAAGCAGAGCTGTCTCACTTGGAATAAATAGGCCTAAAGGATGCATGTGCACCAGCACTGACAGTGTTTAGGTAGAGTCTAGGGTTCAACTGTTAGAATGTAGCAGAACTCCTGCACTGGATGGAGTAGAGGTCCTAACTCGGGAATCTGAGTGGATAATTCACCAAATTTCCAACAAGTCAGAGATGGAAATTCAGATTTTCACAGTCTTCTCTTAGGCAAATGAACTTGGAAGCATCTTTGTGTCCTTCAGCAAAGTCACCATGAGGCCGGAGGGTCAAGACTCTGTCAAGTTTACTGACAGGAGTCAGGGCTCTGTGAGGAGACAGCACAGTCACCAGGTTCAATCCAGAGGCTACCAGAGGGCAAAGACCCACAAATTCTAAACAGACTGTTGGCACTGAGCTTCAGGACATCATTTATTCTTTCCATAATACAAGAAAAGAACTAAACGTGGAGTCTAGCACCCATCTACTCTCAGCACAGCCCTGGCCCACTACAGCATTCACTGTGCCCCACTCTTTTTCCACTTATTCCTCACTCTCTATTCACACATCCTTTCTCGGGAATACTCCCAAGACTGTCACGGATCTGCTTGGTCTTAACGCCGTAGATGATGGGATTGACCATGGGTGGGAAGAGCAGATAGAAATTGGCGAGGAGAATGTGGACGTGTGGCGCAGCACAGCGGGCCACACGGTGCATGACTGAAGAGATGACTGAAGGTGTGTAGAAGGCTAAGATGGCACCTATGTGAGAGACACATGTCCCAAATGCTTTGTAGCGGGCCTCCTGAGAGGAGAGTTGTAGAACTGCCTGAAGGATAAAGATATAAGATAGGATGATAAAGAATAGATCCAACACTCCAATAAACATGGCCACAGCAATGCCATAGATATTGTTGAAGCTAGTGTTCCCACAGCCAGCCTGACCACAGCCATGTGTTCACAGTAGCAGCGGGCAATCACTGGGCCTCGGCAGTAGTGGAAACATCTCAGCAGGAAGGGGAGTGGAGTCATTAGTGTCACAGCCCGGGCCACAGCAGCCATGCCAATCTTGGTGATGAGGGACCCAGTCAGGACCGTGGTGTAGTGCAGTGGCTTGCAGATGGCCACATAGCGGTCAAAGGCCATGGCCAGCAGCACTGCTGACTCCATGATGGAGAAGGAGTGAAGGAAGAACATCTGGACCAGACAGGCAAAAAAGTTGATCTCCCGATCCCTGAACCAGAATATGGCAAGCATTTTGGGCAATGCTGAGGAGGAAAGGACCAGGTCGATGGCTGCCAACATGGCCAGAAAGAGGTATATGGGCTCATGGAGGGCTGCATCAGCCTGGATGATGAGAAGGAGGGTGCAGTTTCCAAGCAGGGCCAGTGTATATGCTGAGAAGGGGATGGAGATCCAGATGTGCAGGTGCTCCAGGCCTGGAATCCCCATCAACAAGAAGGAAGTTGGATGTGTTGAGGTGATACTGGAGGCTGACATGACTCTTGGAAATTCTCCTTGTTGATCTTCATAGGCTCCTTCACCTTCTAGGAAGAGTATCCAGGGTACATAGGATTAGAGAGTTCAATCACCTTCTATGATGAGCCCTTGTTACCATTCCTAGTCCTTAAACAAAATCCACTAGAAGTTCTCATAGACATGGAGAAGCATAATCTATGGTTCCTGCCCACAAGAAACTCTCATTTTTACTGACATCTAAATATTTAGATATCAATAGACCTGATACCACTAAACAGTTCTCATAAAGGAATGCAGAAGTGGTATTGTTTTGTGTTCTTGGTGACAGGATTATCTTGATCAAACAAGTAAAATATGTTTAAATCAATTGATTTAGGTCATACATTGTTACCATTCAACCTACCAATCAAACAAAACTCCCAATCATATGAGTAAATTTTCTGTTGAACTTTCTGGCTTAAGTGACTATATAAGTCAAATGAACCCTGCAATTCCAGTGCCTCAATTAATCATACAATCTGTTTAACTTATCTGGAAGTATACTATCTAATGGCATTGCCACTTGCCCAAATGTGGCTATTTCTAGTCATCAAAAATAAAATTAAAAATTCATACCTCAATCAGAAAAAATTAAGTGTTCAGTAGCATCTAAATTTAAGTGCTCAATAGACCTAATTTAAGTGCTCAATAACCCCATGTGACTAGTGGCTACTATATTGGACAATTTAGGTCAAGACTATTTCTATCCTTGCAGAAAGCTCCATTAAAGGGCACTGCTCTATAATACATCTTCCAGGTTCTTTTAACAAAAACTTTAAAAATACAGCTATGCCTGCAGCTTACGAGAAGATGAAGAGCCTTCTCTTTTGGTTTTCCTTCATCTAAACTCACATTAACTTTCCTGTTCATGTGGGTCTCCCTCCGTCCATCTTCCATTTCCTTAATTTTCATCACAGAACTCTTTCATCTTTAGAAAGACTAACATCTGGCTCCCCCACACACAAACTTTAGCTTAACAATTTTTAATATTTCTCTCCTCTCTTGCTCGTTTTTCTTTCTTCTGTCAAAAGCCTTAAACACTGAAGTTGCCCAGTTTTTACCCGGGCATTCTTCTTGTTAGAATTTATTTAATGAAGTTCTTCTGAGAATTAAATGAGATAATGCATCGAGACAGCACAGTCAGTAAGCAAAGTAACTGCTTAGTTATTGGTCTTTTTTCAAAATGAGAAAATTGAGTGTTGGGAAAATAATATCTCTAAGACACCATAGTTAATAGTGTCAGCCAAGTTTGAGTTCTAGCGTTTTCCAAATTTAATGTTCTAAATAATCATCTCCTTTTGCTTCTACCTAAATGCCCAAAGGCAACTCATGTTTTGTATATCCAAATCTAAAACAAGTTCCTTTTTTTCCATAAAGTACGGGAAAAGTTTAGAATCTGAAGCCTCAGCCAAAATCATGATTGTCCAAGGTCACGTAGCTAGAAGATGTGGCAAATAGCTTATTTCAAGCCCCTGTTTCTTCTCTGGAAATGGGTAATAAAACTGCCCTACCTTTATCTCAGGGTTGTAGGGAGAATACTAGAATTACACACAAAATGTCTTTTTGTATAATTATTTAGTGTTTATTATTATTATTTTTTGAGGCAGAGTCTCGCTCCTTCGCCCAGGCCGGAGTGCAGTGGCGCTATCTCGGCTCACTGCAAGCTCTGCCTCCCCGGCTCACGTGACTGTCCTGCCTAAGCCTCCCGAGCAGCTGGGACCACAGGTGCCCGCTACCACGCCCGGCTAATTTTTTGTATTTTTAGTAGATACGGGGTTTCACCCTGTTAGCCAGGATGGTCTCCGTCTCCTGACCTCGTGATCTGCCCGCCTCGGCCTCCCAAAGTGCTGGGACTACAGGCGTGAGTCACCGCGCCCAGCCTAACGTTTATTATTTAGAGCCTTATTTGTCATCTGTCTCTCCCTCCACAGAAAACTTATGCTTGAAAAGAAAAAAAAAAAAGGTTTCTATGTCGATTAACACTTTATAATCTTCTCCTCCATGATCTTATATCCTCTCTATTTTTTCAAAGTTTAGCTCTTCTTTGCATAAAAATACCTAGGAATGTCTACATATTCAGATTCAACTCCCACAAATTTCCTGTAGTATTAGCACATTCTAATCTACCTGAAAAAGCGCTCATTTGGGCCAGAAATGACCTCCATATGATGCCATGGTCACATACTTGCCTTCATTCATGTTGATCTTTCAGCAGCTTTTTTCTGAATTGACCATTCTTCTGAAACTCCTTTTCTCCTCTTGGCTCCCCTTAATACTTACATTACCCATCAAAGGAGCTGCTTCTTTCAGTCTCCTGCTTCAGCCCTACCTCAAAATATTGAATTATTGCATGTCTCAAGCTTTAATTCTGTTCAATGCTATGTTCACATAAAATTCAGTAAATATATTTGGCAAATTTAGTACAATAAAAATGTAAATATTTTTGCTGATTCGATTAAGAAAAAATTCATGAACAAAACAGATCCCTTAGAATAATTTTGCTAAAGGTTGGAGAAGGATAATAAAAGGACATAGTAAGTAAATTACATCATAATATACAAAGGTTCACTGCCGTGATTTTAAAAAACAAACCAAAAAAAGGATCAAGGATAATGAGGATAGGAATTCCATGGCAGGGAGCAGGGGAGGTTGAAATCTGAAATAAAGAGATCATTGCAGGCCTCATGGCAAAGGGAATTCTAGCAAATATTAAATGAGGTGAGGAAATACTAGCTTTGTTTCTTTAAAAAGCCAAACCTGTAATTCCAGACAAGTGGTATACATAGAAAAATTATACAATGAACAAGAGTAGGATGAAGGAGTGGAACAGGAAAGAGAATATGGATCCAAAGGTGCATTATCGAGCTGGATAATGCAGTCATCACTGTATCCAGTTCCACATGAAGAACCATTAAGAAGGAACCAAATAATTGTCCACTCTAGACACAGAAGAGGGGAACTCTTATCCACTGGCTTCCACACCCTGGCTTCCACACACATCCTTGGGACGACCCAAGGAGGGTGAATTTCCTTGCACTTTTAGGTCTATACATGCACCAGAATAACTGAATGAGATCCCCGAGGTGCCATGCAAAAAAGGAGAGAAACTCTGGGGTGGGATGCAGCTGAGCAAGGTGCTATCAACCTACACCAGCACTCAAATGGTTCCCACAGCAATGGCTACAACAAAAAGGGGAGATGATAGGACGTGAGACAGCCATAAGATAATGTAGGATGTAGGAGTCTCCCACAGGAGAGGAACAGTCTAAGAAAATGGAACAGCCAGAGAAAATGCCCTAAGACATAAAAACACCTGGTATTCGAAGATCAGCAGGCAGCCTGCTAGGATGAAGTGAATGAGCAGGAGAATCAAGTTAGGGTGCTGGGGCCAGATCACACAGGACCTCATAGGCCTTTGTGGAACTTTGCAAAGGTTCCTCATTTCTCTCAGAATCAAAGACATTGTTTTCAGCAGAGAGGGAGGAGACTTAGACTTTTAAAGTTTTCTGTGGCATCCATGATGGATAATAGCACAAATAGGGAAGGGTAGAACCGGGGAAAAGTGCCTGGAGACTATTGCAGGAATCCAGGGAAGGGAGAGAACATTGGCTCAGGATCAAGGTAGCAATGTATGTAGTGGGAAGTAATGGGATTGGGGATATATTTCAAAAATAATGTCAGTGATATTCTTGACAGGCTGGATATAGGATGTGAGACAACAGAGAGTCAAAGATGAGACCCAATTTTTCACATAAACATCTAATAGAAAGGAGTTGCTCCCAACTGTGATGGGGAAGTTATGGAGGGTGGAGGTCAAGACTTCAATTTTGAACAGGTTAAGTTTGAGATATCTATCAGAAATTCAAGTGAAGATGGTGAAATATATGTGGAAAAGAGATAAACAGCACCCAGATAGTAAGTGTTCACAGAGAGAAAAGAACCTAGGACTGAATCTCAATGTTAAGAATGGGGTAGGAGAGGAGTTGGGGCCCATGGAGAAGTTGGAAAAGAACTCTGATAGTGGACAAGTATTAATATAGAAAGATTTTTAAGGTGATGTGCTATATTAATAGTCTATTGAATATAGTTTGTTAATGAGGACATTATCACTGATTTAGTAAGATTATACTAAATGCTATTGATGAGTCAAAGAATTTGAAAACCAAATTAGCCTGCTTTTGGAATCACAGAGGATCAAATGCCTTGATAAAAACTATTTTGCTAGAATAGAGGAAGGTAAAGTGTTACTTGACTTAGAATAGCTGAAAGAGGAATTGAAGTCTTTTAACATGGTTCACTCCTTTGAAGAGTTTGGATGTAAAGGCCAGTAAGTAAATAGAACACTGGCTAAAAGTGAACAGTAGAGTCAAGAGTTTGTGTGTTTGCATGTCTGTGTGTTTATATGTAAATTTGTTTTTAAGAAGGGAGAAATAACATGTTTTTTTCTGTTGAAAAATTATCCGGTAGTAGGAGAAAACTTGAAAATTAAAAAAGGGAATACTGTTCTTGAAAAGAACTTGAACACTGCATCTTTCTTCTGGTTGACCATTGAGACGTAAACATATCCTGAAATGTCAAATATAATTTAAATACTTTACCTTCCCTGTAAACTCCAGACTAGACTATCCCCACATATCAGCCTCACAGATATGTCAAACCTGTCATGCCTGAGGCAGAAATTATAACTACTTCTCTGCTTGTGCCACCCATATCTCAGAATGCAACATCCTGTCCAAGCAGTTGCTCAATCTAGAATCAAGTCATCCTGGATTCTTCCCTATTCTTCCTGCACCATATTTAACCATCAGCAGGTACCACTGGATCATCCTACGGACTAAATCTCCAAGGTGTCTATTTCCATCATCATCACCCTTGTGCAAACCACCAGCATCTATCACCAACTACTGCTGCAAAAGAATCTTAACAAGTATACAAAGTTCCTCTTTTATTCTCTAATATCTGTCCTTTCATAAATATTCACCAAATCACAAAGTGAAGGGACTGAAGTTAAAGGACTGTGCCTATTCCCTTCTGTAAACTCAGGCTCTAACATACATGGTAAGCGTGGAACATTTCACCAAATGAAGCATGACTTCTAGACTGCTGAAAGACATCTCTCTGACGTTCTCAGATTACTACTCCCCTCCTCTCATATGATGCAAGCTCAGAATGTTTGGTTATCTTGTAATTTAAAATGCATCTAGGATGGAAGTTCTAAGAATCCCAACAATAACCTCTGTTACCTACATCAGAATAAAATTCTCTTCTTAATGGAAAATACTGTTTTAAGTATTAATATTTGTACATTTCTTCCAGGAACAAGATTTGACCTCGTAGCAAATAGGTACTATGACAACAAGAACATTCTTTCTCTTCAACTGGTATATCTTCAGTACCATGAACATTTGCTGGTACATAACGAACCTGTGGGATAAAAAAAAACACAGCTATTGTACATCTCCCCTTGTAAACATGCATTTTCCTCAATCCAAGCATGTTTTACTTTGTCTTCATATCCCCCTTGAATTCCTCTGTGCAACTTCTGAACATCACTGATCATCTTGAGACCTGCTCGCCCATCCTCACACATAGAAAATGGATGGCATCTCTTAAATTTTTCTGGAAAAGACAGGATGTCCAAGTCCATAAATCTTATTTCCTTTGAAGGTCATCTAAAATCAACTCCTTTCAGAATGAAGGACTCAGAGTAGGAGCGTGAATGGAGCCAGTCGTCTTCCCCTAATATCCAGAATCTAAGACCTGCTCTGTAGTGAAAATTTTGTCCAGACTGTTCATTGTTTTCAGAACTAAGATATCCATGCTCAAAGGACTTGTCTGTTTATGTCTCCCAGAACTCCTTAAAAGAGGCCTCCATATGCTGAATGGACTCAGTTAATACTGATATCTATTTGGTTGCCTACAGCTTTATCTTAAAAGGATATCAGAATGACAGATTTGAAAAATTAAGAACCAGACAAGGAAGGATAGTCACATATGCAAGGTGCTTCAAGACTGCTTCTGGTAGAAGAACCTCAAAAACATGTATTTACCTTTCTCTGACATTTATCTAGTTCAGGCCCCATTTTCTTCCTCTTGACTAATGCAGAAGCCCTTTAACTGGGATGGGGACACTGGTGGGACTTAGGAAAAGCAGTGACTGGATCCAAACTGGAATAATCAGCTAAGAGCTCTTGGAGATGGCCCACAGTGTTTGGCACAGAAAGGAAGCAGGCATCCTCTGTGGTGGGGCAAGTGTCTGGGGTTTATACACAAACCAGTTAGGTGGGACTATCAAGACTTCTCTTCCCTCTGTTGGAGGGCAAAGATGAGGAAATATGGGGTTTGGGCAGAGGGTGAGGTGTGGGAAGTAACTGAGAGTGCCCCCACCCACCTTCCTGCTCACCGCAACTGTTACCTCTTTCCTCTTTCTCCCCAGTTGCAGCTCTGTTCACACTTCTCAGTCTGACTTAAAATTCTGGGCTCTTTCCCTTAGCTCATGCAGCCCCAGTGCCACCTTCCTTTTCTAGTCTAAAGAGTTTGGGAAGGAAGAACCTGGGCAAATAGCAGCTGGCTTTATCCTCACCAACCTCTGCCCTCCTCCCAAAAGGCTGTGGAAGCAGAAACTGCTGCACTTGAGGAGAATCCTCAGGGATCACAGACGGCTCTGGCCTCATCTCTCAGGGCCTTTATAAGGGGACTCCCCTGACCCAGGACTCAAACCCTGAGGGTTTCCTGCCCCATTTAATAGCACTGAGTCATGCCTCCCAGGGATCATGCCCTACTTCCCAGAAGCTGTGAGCATTTTCAGTGGAGCTGGCTTGCACCTTGGACTTTGCTGTGCCTCTCCTTACCTTTACTATCATACTTGCAGTATCTCAAAAGAAAGACCAACTCACTAGAATGTGTACACTGCAGGCAGCTCCTATCCCAATGTGACGTGAAAGGGTAATGATTCCAGTCTGACCAGGCCAAGGTCATCCATTAGGTGTTCTATTTTGCGTGCATATTCTATATTAAACTGAACGCTACATTAACATCCCACTTGTGACCTTGGTTTGGCATTTTCTGATGCTTAATCTGCTTTCTCATCTCTAAAGTAGAGATAATATTCCCAATTTATCATAACTTACAGAATGGATGGGAAATTTATGTACATAATTGAGATGACAGTATAAATGTGAATGTGTATGAATAATGACCGTTCCTCTATAAATGATAAAGGGTGACCTTTCTGCCTACAACTGACTTGAATGTCTATTTTTCAAAGACCTGAGAAGAAAGCTGCTTTTTACCAGGGTTCCTGTCTTAGTCTATTTTCTTTTGCTTATAACAGAATACCATTAAATTGGGTAACTTATAAAGGAAAGGAATTGATTTCTTGCAGTCATGGAGGCTGAGAAGCCCAAGATCATGGGGCCTAGGTCATTCTTGCTGGTGGGGCCTCCCTACAGTCTCAAGGGGCCACAGGACATCCCACAGCAAGGAGCTGAGCATGCTAATGTGCTACCTCAGGTCTCTCTTCCTCTTCTCATAAAGCCACCATTCCCACCACAATGTTAACAAGCTGGTTTGTTAATCCATTAATCTATTCATGAATAGATTAGTTCATACATGAGGGCAGAGCCCATGTGACCCAGTCACTGCTTTTAAAGGCCCCAGTTCTCAGTACTGCCACATTGGAGATTTGTATGGCAGGGACAAATATTCAAACCATAGCATTCTGCCCTGCCCCACCCCCTAAAACTCATGTTCTGACATACAAATACATTCATGCTATCTCTATAGCCCCAGTGTTTTAACTCATTCCAGCACCAACTCAAAAGTCCAAAGTGCAGACTCTCATCTATGAGTCTGTGAAATCAGAACAGGTTATCTACTTCCAAGATACATTGATGCTACAGACATAAGACAGACATTCTTATTCCAAAAGGGAGAAATAGGCAAAAAGAAAGGAATAACGTGCCCCAGGCAAGGCCAAAACCCAGCAGGGCAGACATTACATCTTAAAGCTAGACAATAATTGCTTTTCACTTTATGTAAAGCCTCCTGGCAGCCCCAGGCAGCCCCACCCTATGGCTTTGCTGTGTACTCCACACAACACTGCCTCTATAGGTTTCTGAGGGTTTCCCAGGTAGGCATTGCCTGCTGCTGGTAACGCTACAGTTCTGGCGTCCTGCTTTCATGACACTAGGCATCATCCTGGTAAGAACTCTCTGCAGCAGCTCCAACCCCACATTTTTACTCAGCACAGCTCTAGTGGGGGCTCTTAGCAGGGGTGCAGTGGCTCTGCCCCACAAGTCTCTGCCCCAGCTCCCACGTTGTAATCAACTTCCTGTGAAATCTACATGGAGACTGCCAAGTCTTCACAGCTCTTGCTTTCTGCAAGCCTGCAGGATTAGCACCACATGGACACTGCCAAGTCTTCACAGCTCTTGCTTTCTGCAAGCCTGCAGCATTAGCACCACATGGACACTGCCAAGGCTTAGGGCTTGTATCCTCTTAAAGGGCAAGTCGACCTGCACCTGGGGCTGCTTGGGCCATAGCTGGATCAGCTGAGAAGCACTGAGCCAGAGTAAATTAGGGAGCAGAATCCCAAGACAGCCCTGGGTAGCAAACCTTTGGAGGGTGCCTGGGGCCTCTCTCTGGAAACTATTTTTTCCTTCTAGGCTTCTGGACCTATGATAGGAGTGACAGCCTCAACTATCTTTGAAACGCCTTCAGGGTCTTTCTTCTGTCATGCAAAAGACCACCACAATGGCTAAATAATAGAGGAATTTTATTGGCAATATTAGTTGCAAACCGGGAAAAGATAGTCTCTAACTTGTACCAAAGGTTCTCTCTCTGAAGAGGAAAAGGGCAGACTGGTTTTTATGCTTCACAAGGTGTGTATTACACGATAGTCATACATACTCAGCAGGTTTGGAGAAAAAGCTAATACATATTTATGAGGGGAGTTGAGCATATGCATAGTGGGTAAAGATATATGGAATATACATCTCATGTTCATTTTGGAGTGAGGTTTTAGCATTAAAATGAGGCAGAACTTGGCTCTTTATTTTTGCCTTTTGTCAAAAGACAAACCATAGGACACAAAGACAGTTATGAGCTTGCTGAAACTGGCTTGAGGTCTGCAATTGTTAATCAGGAAAGAGTGTAAGGCAAGTCCTCTGTCTAATCAGAATTGTAGTGGCCTGGGTTGTAAATCACTTAGGAAAGGTTTGACAATCTACCTAATAGCTCCTGTTGTTAGGGAGATTAGCAAGAGTGTGGTTCTTCTTGTAGCCATAAGGAATTTAGGAAGTTACCATGCCAGTCAAGCGTGAATCCTCAACCAGTAGGTAACTTTTGTTTCCTTAAACTTAGGGTCCATATCAGTTGATAAAGGGGCATCTATTTTGGTCTCTCAAATTATACTTCCATTGTCTTGAGGAATGCACCTGGTTCTTTTCAATCCATGTTAATCTCTGTAGCAAACCACGTCTGGGCTACACTCTTGGTTTCCTCTCCTGAGCACACTTTTTCATTCTTTACATCAAGAGGCTGAGAGTTTTCCAAATCTTTCCACTTTACTTTCCTTTTAATCATAAATCCTGTTTTTAAATTATGCCTTTGCTCCTGAATCTCAGTGTAAGGGGCCAAAATTAACCCCCATGAAGCACCTTCTATATTTTGCTTAGAAACTTCTTCAGCCAAGTACCCTAGTTTATCACTGTCAAGTCTGGCCCTTCACGAAGCCCTTGGGCATGAACACAGTTTAGCTAAGTTCTTGGCCAATTTATGACAGCGATGATCTTTACTCCTGTTTTCAATAATTTGTCCCTCAATTCTATCTGAAACCTTATCAGAATGGCCCTTACACTTCATATTTTTACCAGCATTCTGGCCACAACCACTTAATCTCTAAAGAGTTTCAAATGTTCCCTAATCTTTATTTCCTCTAAGCCCTCATCAGAGTCTAGGCTTTTAAGATGCTCCTCCAAATTTGTCCAGCCTCTTCCCAATGTTAGAAACAAATGCTTGATACTGCAAAGAAGAACCAGCACTCAGGCAAAAAGTTTTCTCAGCAAGGCAATTTACTTCTGTAGAATGGTGCAACCTGCATCAGCCACAATTGCAAGAGCACACCAAACAAAGGAGAAAAGGGGTTTTTATCCCTAACGCAATTCCTGTTTGTGTCCTTTCCCCATTGGCTGGAGTTGGACCTTACAATCTAAGCTATCCAGGTTGGCTAAGACTTAAACTTCTCCAAATAGGGAAAAAGACTTAAACTTTTCCAGATAGGGTAAACACGCACTTTGCGAAAGGAGGGGAGGAAGAGATGTCCATTACTAACTAGGCAGGAGGGAAGGCATGTCTGGGCATGTCTGGGTGTGGCAAGGCAGGAAGGGTTGGTCACAGAACAGAGACAACAAGGAAATTTGAAACTTTTTCCAAATAAGGTAGTGAGATGAGGACTTTGAAGACTGAAGCAGGGAGAAGGGCTAATTTACAGTCTTACAACTTACAACAAGAGAGTTAAGTTTTGAAGAGGAAATTGTTCTAACAAATTTTCCCTTTTCCATTTTATAATTCTTTCTCTTCAAAATGTCTTAACGTAATTCGGCTTGGTTGTTCCTCTTGGTAGTTTAGAAGTAGGAATTTATCTGAATAGGGTGGGGGAGAGTGGAGGAAGGCTTTTGTGAGAGTGGTTCTAGAAGCCTTTGCATTAACCCACAAATACAGGGTATGATACAGCAACTTACAAGAATGAGTACACCTATAACAATTGCAAAAGAAGTAAATATTGAAGTCAAGAGTCCTTTCCACTTCCCAAACCATTTCCCATGAGACTTGTAAAAGGGTTATTTATTCCAGAATTTTTAGCTAATTCGTTTTCTAAATTGATAAGGCTTTGCAATGGTTTTGTAATTGTTCCATCAAGGGCCGTGTTATTAGGAATAAAAATACAACATTGAACTCCCATCATGACACAGGCTCCACCTTTTTCAGCTACTATATCAAGAGCTATTCTGTTTTCCCCAGCCATCTGGCTGGTGGCACCTAGTTGTTCAAATATTTCTCTAATGGCATCTCTTTTGTAATTGACAAAATGTTGTTGGTTATAGTAAATGTAATTTACCCAATCTGTTTTTGTTTATAGTCGACCACCAGAATAATACAGATTCAAATCCTGTGGCTATTTGATTTCAGGCTTTAAACTCATCTGGTACCCCCTGGGGCACTCCAATAACATCTATATAAACATGAGGATCAAAAGACCCATGAGGGACACTTCTTTTACTGTGGTGGTGGTTCTTTTTGCTGGGTTGATGAAATGCCAGGGTAAAAGGGATGGCCAATTGTATTAGAACACAAGTGCTGCTCCAGTTACTTGGCAGAGTACCCAATAGTTGTCTACCACAATACCACCATACATCTGCTCAGGGATGAACAAGGGCAGACTGATGGGTTAGTTCTTGGAAAGGTTTAGACTCACTGGATCCAGTTAAGCTTCCAAGGAATGCCACATTTCCCCCCTGCTGTGAGAGACAGGAGGTGAAATTGGCATTTATAGCTGGAGGTTGGATGGATGGCCCTCGGGGGCTGACCTGCAGGACGTTTAGCTTCTGGGAATAGCAGTGAGAGGGTTTGACATGGCTTATTGCCCCAGGCTGTGGGGTTTTGGAAGAGAGCTACCATACAGTCCATGCCTGGGTGGTTGGAGGACCATCCAAGTAGAAAGGGGACAATCTGGGTTTCTGGTCTGCCTGTTGCACAAGCGTAACAATCACTTTTATTTAGTGTACAGATGGAATATTTAATCCATTCTAGCCAGGTATTTGCATCTTGATACCCTGTTTCAATAGCTAAAGTTTGCTTTAGGTCATTGACTTCTACTATAGCTACCTTAGTTTTGTCATTTGATGTGAAGCGAGAAATAGTTTGATTTTGTGGGTTTGGTGAGAGGGTGGAGGAGGAGAAACAAAACACATTTCAAAGAAACCCACAGGGTCCTTTCCAGTTATATCTGCTCCTAAACCATAGAAGTGCTCTAAGGTGGGGTTAGAATTACTGGAGGTAGGGGTAGTAATGGAGATAAGTATTGGGTTGCACTGATGTGTTTGGCAATTGGGATGGGGAAGGTGGTTCCTTTGGTGAGGTGGAGGTAGGGCTTTAGGGCAGAATTTGCAGTCCAGCCCTGATACTTGGTGGTCCATATAACCTCTCCCCAAATATAATAAGTGAGGGCCCATACTGTCCTCCCGGAGGGACAAAGATACTTTTCTGAAGAACTGAGCTGTCTTTGACTTTTTAGGTCCACACAAGATATGGCAAGGCAAGCATCAAATGTAATTGTTTGGGGGAAAAGTGATCGGGTTACATTGATGATAAGGTGTCCTTGGTAACTAAAGGAAAAAGAAGAGGAAATAGGGACAGATTAGACTTTTCATTTTAACGTTACTATGGTGGGAGTTGGCCCTGGAATGATGGTCCATGGCTTTGGAGAGGGTGACACCTTGACTCGGCTATGATGGGTCCACCCCTTTTCAGCAGTTCAGACTGCTGTCTCAGTTGTGAGGAGCATCAGGTAAGGTCCTTTCCAGGTGGGCTCAAGCTTTCCCTCTTTCCAGCTTTTGACAAGGACGTGATCTCTGGGTTGGTGTTGGTGAACTGGGAATTTGAGGGGTGGAGTCTGCACTAGGAGGCCTTGAGTCCTGAGGGAGGAAAGGCTAGAAGACAGACCAAATGTATAGTTTTCAAGGACTGATCTTTTGTTTCAAATTTAGGAAGGTCAGTAGTAGAATTTAGGTAGGGCAGCCCGTAGAGCATTTCATAAGGGGACAGGCCAAGATCTTTCCTAGGGGCAGTTCAGATTCTTAGTAAGGCAATGGGAAGACATTTTGTCCATGGTAACCGAGTTTCAAAGATTAGTTTGGTTAAATGATGTTTTTTAGAGTTTGATTCATTCTCTCTAACCTCCCTGATGAGGGCAGGTGCCAGGGAGTATGATATTTCCATTTTATCCCTAATACTTGGGCTAGCCCCTTAATGATGTATGCAGTGAAGTGGGTCCCATTATCCAAATCAATGTTTTCTATTAGTCCAAACCTGGGTGTGATACATTCCAACAGAGCTTTGACTATATTACTGGCTGTTGTGCTTGGGAAGGGAATGGCTTCTACTCAGTGGGTGAGATGGTCTACTATTAACTAGTAAATACTTGAGGCAGCCTATTGGGGGCATTTCAGTATAATCAACTTGGACACTTTGGAATGGCCTTAACCCTGGATTTCGTCCCTGGGAGGTTGCCTTTTTGAGGTTTGCTTATTTAGTTTCAGGGAAAAGAAATAAAGATCAGACTGTTACTCTGTCTATGTAGAAAGGGAAGATACAAGAAACTCCATGTTGACCTGTACCCTGAACAATTGCTTTGCCCTGAGATGCTGTTAATCTGTAACTTTGCCCCAACCTCTTTGCCCCAACCTTGAGCTCACAAAAACATGTGTTGTATGGAATCAAGGTTTAAGGGATCTAGGGCTTTACAGGATGTGCCTTGTTAACAAAATGTTTACAAGCAGTATGCTTGGTAAAATCATCGCCATTCTCCAGGCTTGATAAACTAGGGACACAATGCACTGCGGAAAGCCGCAAGGACCTCTGCCCTGGAAAGCTGGGTATTGTCCAAGGTTTCTCCCCATGTGATAGTCTGAAATATGGCCTCGTGGGATGGGAAAGACCTGACTGTCCCCCAGCCCAGCACCCGTGAAGGGTCTGTGCTGAGGAGGATTAGTAAAAGAAGAAAGCCTCTTGCAGTTGAGATAGAGGAAGACCACTGTCTCCTGCCTGCCCCTGGGAACTGAATGTCTCCGTATAAAACCCCATCGTACATTTGTTCAATTCTGAGTTAGGAGAGAAACTGCCCTGTGGTGGGAGGCGAGACATGTTGGCAGCAATGCTGCTTTATTATTCTTTACTCCACTGAGATGTTTGGGTGGAGAGAAACATAAATCTGGCCTACGTGCACATCCAGGCATAGTACCTTCCCTTGAACTTATTTGTGACACAGATTCCTTTGCTCACATGTTTCCTTGCTGACCTTCTCCCCACTATCACCCTGCTCTCCTGCCACATTCCTCTTGCTGAGATAGTAAAAATAGTAATCAATAAATACTGAGGGAACTCAGAGACCAGTGCCGGTCTAGGTCCTCCGTATGCTGAGCACTGGTCCCCTGGGCCCACTGTTCTTTCTCTATACTTGAGCTCTGTCTCTTATTTCTTTTCTCAGTCTCTCATCCCACCTGATGAGAAATACCCACAGGTGTGGAGGGGCTGGCCTCCTTCATCTGCCGCCCAGCGTAGATGCCTTTCTCTAGGGTGAAGATACATTAAGAACATGAGCATTGAGGACAGTCGATGACAGATTCCCAAGTACGTCCATGGTCAGCCTTGCAGGAAGCTTGTGTGCTGGGAGGAACCCATGGTAACAATGGGAAAAACTGAAAGTAAAAATGCCTCTTATCTCAGCTTCATTAAAATTCTTTTAAGAAGAGGGGGCCTTAAAGCTTCTACAGAAAATCTAATTATGCTATTTCAAACAATAGAATAATTCTGCCCATGGTTTCCAGAAGAGAGAACTTTAGATCTAAAAGATTGGAAAAAAAAATTGGCAAAGAATTAAAACAAGCAAGTAGGGAAGGTAAAATCATCCCACTTACAGTATGGAATAATTGGGCCATTATTAAAGCAACTTTAAAACCGTTTCAAATAGAAGAAGATAGTGTTTCAGTTTCTGATGCCCCTGAGAGCTGTGTAATAGATTGTAAAGAAGAGGCAGAGACAGAGTTCAAGAAAGGAATGGAAAGTTCACATTGTAAAAATGTAACAGAGTCTGTAATGGCTCGGTCAACACAAAATGTTGACTACAAGCAATTACAGGAGGTAATATATCCTGAAACATTAAAATTAAAAGGAAAAGGTCCAGAAACATCAGGGCCATCAGGACTAAAACCATGAAGGCCACCTCCTCCTCAGCCAAGTGAGTGCTGGAGGAGGGAGCCTGAAACCAGGCTCACTGCGACTTGGCCAGCAGCACCCATTATTGCCCAACCTGCAGTTCACTACAGTGAAGGAGCAATTCAGACTCGCCTTGCAGCATCCTGTCTGGGTCACTTCCTCTTGCTGAGGTAGTGAAAATAGTAATCAATAAATACTGAGGGAACTCAGAGACCGGTGCCTGTGCAGTTCCTCTGTATGCTGAGCCCCAGTCCCCTGGGCCGAGTGTTCTCTATACTTCATCTGTGTCTTATTTCTTTTCTCAGTCTCTCATCCCACCTGATGAGAAATACCCACAGGTGTGGAGGGGCTGGCCCCCTTTAATTAGTTTTTCTGCACACGATGCAACCCTCCACTATTTGTCTGGTGAGGGTGTATATTCCTATGCACCCATAGACTCTAAGGACTGTATCACACATAGCTTGAGGACCCCAATAAGATCCTTGATGAAGTTGTGACAATATTTCCCTCATAAGAGGCTTAGATAACATTTCCCTTCCATCTGGTAATACCCACTTTCCTTCTGGGTTTTCTTTAGCTCCTGATTTTTTTTAGCTTTTCCTAGTCTGCATGGGAGAAGATGGGGAGTGCAGTTGTAGGGGGAAGGTGAGGGGTTAAATGAAAAACGGGTGCAGCTTGGGAAGAGGCAGCTTGCTTGGCCATTTGATCGGCTAGATTATTTCCCCCACTTTCAAAGGAGAGGTTCTTTTGGTGTCCTGGGACATGAACAACATATTTCCTTAGGCAGCTGGAGATTATCTAATGCTTGTATTATTAACTCTTTGTGGGCTAGGTTTTGACCTCTACTGTTGATAAGGCCTTGTTCAGTCCAGGTTTTCCCAAAACTATGTACTACTCCAAAAGCACATTTAGAGTCAGTATAAATTGTTCCTTCCTGATTTTGTACAAATTTTAAGGCTTGATTTAGGGCAAATAGCTCACACCTTTGTGTGGACCAGTCATTTGGTAATCTTCCTGATTCTATTTTTGTGAGGGTATCTTCATCAACTATGAAGTATCCATTATGCCTTTTCCCCTCAATTACCTGGAAGGAATCATCTATGAAAAGATGTTTCCCTGTTTGAAGAGGAGTTTCACATAGGTCTTGTCTAACTTTGGTTTGGCAACTAATTAGGTCTAAACATTTATGCTATGGTTTCTTTGGGTGTGAGTTCCCTGTTACTTCTGGGTTTGGATTTCCTATTAGGAAAGCAATGGGATTTAGGGAATTCTTAGTGGTTAGTGCTAGGTCATCCTTTCTAATGGTGGGATAGCTTCATATTTTAAAATTATTGAGTAAGCCATCTTCCTGCCTTTTGGTTGAGAATAGTTCTGACTTGGTGAGGTGTGCTAACAATGAGGTTTCCCCCAAAGGTTAATTTTCCGCTTTCTTCTGTTAGCAAGGCAGTTGCTGCTACAGATTGGACACATGCAGGCCATCCATGGGTTACTGGGTCTAGAATTTTTGACAAAAAGGCTATGGGCTGCTGGTGGCCCCCATGATCTTGGGTGAGTACCCCTAAAGCCACTCCCTTGTTTACACTGACGAAAAGATGAAATGGCTGCTCTAGGGAGGGTAGAATGAGAACAGGGGCAGTTACTAGTAAATGTTTTAATTTTTCTATCTGTCGCATTTCTGGTTGGGTCCAGATAAGTGGGGGCGACTCCCTCTGAATTGAGTTTTTGGTATAGCAGTTTTCTTTCTAGGGCATAAGAGTCAACCCATAGGCAACAGTATCCAACTAAGCCTAAGAACGTTCTAAGCTCCTCTTTTGTTTCTGGCAGAAGTAGGGATATAATACCTTCAATTCGTTCAAACCCAATCCTCCATTTGCCTTTGCTGATTAAAATTCCTAAGTACTTTACTTCAGGCTCTACAAACTGAAGTTTACTTTTTGAGACTCTTAATTCTTCTACTCTTAGAAAATTAAGGAAGTTGATTGAAAATGCTGTTACCCATTCTTTGTTTTCCCCTGAAATAAGCAGGCCATCCATGTACTGGAGTAGGCATATGCATGAGGGCAAGGAAAATTTTTCTATGACTTATTTTAAATTTTGACCAAAAGGATTTGGAGAGTCTGTAAACACTTGGGGTAAAACTGTCCATGGGTACTGTTGTTTTAAACTAGATCGGGGGTCTTCCCACTCAAAGGCAAACAAGTCCCAGCTGTCCTCCACTAAAGGGCAAGTCCAGAAGGCACCTTTCAGGTTTTACAGTGAACCATTCATAGTTAGGTGGGATTTTGCTGTTAATGGTGTAAGGATTGGGAGCAGCAGGGTATGTAGTTTGAACTACTTGATTAATAGCCCGGAGGTCTTACACTAGCCAGTATGACCCATCTGGCTTCTTTACAGGTAATATTGTGGTATTATAAGGGGGTATACAGGGTTCAAGATGTCTATCATGAACAAGGCTTTCAATTATAGGTTTTAAACCTATCCTAGCTTTTAAAGGAATAGGGTGTTGTTTTCTTACTACTTCCCCAAGAGTTTTTAATTTGACCTTTATTGAGGAAACAAATAATTTTCCTTGATTTCCTTCTTTTGACCAGGTATTAGGATGGATATACTCTTCATCTATAGTAGTGAGTAAGTTTAGAGAGGTGAGAAATTTTCCCTGGTTAACATAGAGGCCTAAGCCTAATTCTAGCATTAAATCTCTTCCTATTAGGTTAGTTCCTTCCTCTGGTATTAACAAAAATTGTATATTAGCTGATCTATTTTTATATATGACTTTTGTTTCCTCTAAAGGTTTTGCTTTAAATCCTTCTCCCTTCACTCCTGAAATAAGGAGTTCTTCTTGTGAACAAATTACACCAGATGGGGAATGATAAACAGAGGAGGAAGCTGCCCCTGAGTCAATTAAAAAGGTAATAAGCTTGAATTTGGGTCCCTCCTCTAAATTTATCAAGGGCTCTTGGTGGAACTCAATATAGAAAAGACAGAGCCCCTGACCCTCCTAATCTTCCTCAAAAGCCATAAGGGGAATAACTTCCTTTTCTTTTTCCCATTCAGGGCATTCTCTTTTAATATGACCTATTTTTCCACATTTGAAACATTTATTTTGCTTCTTTTCTCTATTTCATGGCTGTCTGGCTTGATCCCTTTTCCTTCTGTGTAGGGTCTGACAGCCAGGGACTTAGAAGATTTGTAAGTTCTATTTCCCTGGGCTGCCTGTTAGGGAGTTGTAAGGTGGACAACATAATTTTTGCGTTTTGCTTTTGCTTTTCTTCATCCCTCCGTACACATACCTTTTGGGCCTCTCTTAAAAGTTCCTCTATGGAATGGTCTTTCCAATTTTCTGTCTTCTGTAATTCCTTTGTGATGCCTGGCCAGCTATTGCTGACAAAGTGGAGCTTTAACATCCCTTGTCCAGGTGGGCCCTCCACATCTAAACCTGCATATTTCTTCATCTGTTCCTTAAGTCTGTTGAGGAATTCCATGGGCCCTTCATCTTTTCCCTGTTGTGTATTAAAGGCTTTAGTAATATTCTGGGTGCAGGGCACCAATTCTCTAATTCCTTTAATTATTTCCCTTAGGTCTCTCATATTTCTTCAATAGGCTATATTGTTATTCCATTGGGGATCTTGAGGAGGGAATTTCTGTTCAGCTGCAGGGATGTTTTGACCGGGGGGTTCTCACGCTCCCAAAAGGTCATAGCAGCCCTACAGATAATGCTTCTTTCCTCTTCCGAAAAGAGGATGCCTAGGATGTACATTAACTCGGCCCAAGTATACAAGTGGGGGCCTAAGAATTGATCAATTTGATCTGCTACTCCATAGGGATCATCTAAGAGTGGTTTTAGTTCCCTTTTCAGGCTTTGGACTTCTGAACTGGTTAAGGGGACATTCACAAAGCCAATGCCCCCTCCTCCTAGAGGAACTTCCCTTAAGGGAAAAAGGTTTGCAGCCAATCCTCTAGAGGTAGTGGGGAAAGGAAAGTTTGGATATCCTTCTTACATTGTTCTATCTCATGTTGAAGCCTTCCTAAGGGAGGGCTGGGGACAGCCCCAAGAGTCAGGGTCATAAGGGAGGGAAATGACAATGTGAGTTGGGGAAGAGTTTGAGGCAGTTGCAACTGCTGGAGGGGGAGGGAAGTTAGTAATGTTTGGAGGAGGAAGTTGGTCTGTAGGAGGGGGAAGGAAGTTTGGTGGGGGAAGTTGGTCTAAGGCAGCCCACGTGTTACACTTTTGGGGTGAGGGATATTAATTTCTTGAGAGGAAGTAGTTTCTGGCTTGTGTCCTGTAGTTTTATGGACTAGAGGATGACAGGCCTCTGCCACCAACACAAGGCATAGTCTATTTCCTCCAGGGAGATAGGACTTTTGTTATTGACATACTCTATTAAAAGTTGACAAATCCATTCCTCACTAGACCCAAACTTTGGCTAGAAGACTTGAAGGTTTGAGGATAGGTTCTTTGGTCCAAATAAAAAATCAATATTTTATCATTTGCTGCTTTTTCTTCTGTTTAGTTCTTTCCTTATCCTTCCAATATTTTAACACGAGACCTAGAGGGCTATCTGAGTGTATTTTATTGCCCATCTTTTCCTTTTTATCCTGTCTTGCTTGGGCTATTTCCCATCCTAGAAGCTTTAGGTGTTTCCTGAGTGTGACCCCTAAGTGGGGGGTCAACATCTCTTACTAGAGATTTCTTGTACCCTCTACTCTAGAGGCTCAACCCCCTTACTGGAGGTTTCTTGCACTCCTTTGCTTTTGCTTCATCCACCTCTGGCTGCTTCCACAGAGTGAATTTAGGTCCCTCTTAGCATTGGCATGTTGATGTAAACCCCACGACAGGAATCCAGCGTAAGCCATATGAGGTGACCACAGAACTGCAGATCAGGACCACACTGGCTTCGCACTCAATTGTGCAGCTCACCCACACCTTTTCAACCTCCAGGATGCCCTGACCACCAAGAAATACTTTACTGCCCCTATGGTTTTTCTTACCACAGTCTGTGCACAGTTACCTGGTCACTGCAGTATTTGTAGGCCTTTTCCTCCCATGTTGCTGAGAGTCCTGGTTTTATTCATCACGCTGGGTGGGGCTCAATTCCTTATTCCTGAGGCCACTGCAATGAGGCAGCGGGATGCATCTCCTCATGACAGGGGTTTGCAGACCCTTCCCCAGAGGAGAATGGGATCCCTGATGAGCCCCCAAATTGTTAGAAACAAATGCTTGATGCCACAAAGAAGAACCAGCACTCAGGCAAAAAGTTGTCTCAGAATGGCAATTTACTTCTGCAGAACAGTGCTACCTGCATCAGCCACGATTGCAAGAGCACACCAAACAAAGGAGAAAAGGGGTTTTTATCCCTAATTCCTGTTTCTGTGTCCTTTCCCCATTGGCTGCAGTTGGACCTCACAATCTAAGCTATCCAGATTGGCTAAGACTTAAACTTCTCCAAATAGGGTAAAAGACTTAAACTTTTCCAAATGGAGTAAATGCACAATTTGCAAAGGGAGGAGGGGAGGGAGAGACTGTTATTAACTAGGCAGGAGGGAAGGCATGTCTAGGCATATCTGGGTGCAGCAAGGAGGGAAGGGTTGGTCACAGAACAGAGAGAAAAAGGAAGTTTGAAACTTCTTCCAAATAAGGTAGTGAGATGAGGACTTTGAAGGCCAAAGCAGGGAGAAGGGCTAATTTACAATCTTACAACTTATAACAAGAAAGTTAAGTTTTGAAGAGGAACTTAGTTGTTCTAACACCAATATCTAGTCCCATATCTGCTTCTGTTATGCGTATATAAGGTATCCAAGTTATCAGCAGTGAATCTGTACAGGTTTGCAGCAACCTCAATTCTTGCCTCCTCAGAAAAAAGAATTTTGAGGGTCATGAGGCAGAAAAAGAGACCAAGGCAAGTCTCAGAACAGGAGTGGAAGTTTATTAAAAAGCTTTAGAGCAGGCACCAGGTACAGTGGCTCACACCTGTAATCCCAGCATTTTGGGAGGCTGAGGTGGGTGGATCAGCTGATGTCAGAAGTTCGAGATGAGCCTGACCAACAAAGTGAAACCCCGTCTCTACTAAAAATAGAAAAATTAGCCAGGCATGGTGGTAGGCACCTGTAGTCCCAGCTACTTGGGAGGCTGCGACTGAAGAATAGCTTGAAACCAGGAAGCGGTAGTTATAATGAGCGAGGTCATGCCATTGCACTCCAGCCTGGGTTACAGAGAGAGACTCCATCTCAAAAAAAAAAAAAAAAAAAAAAAAAAAAAAAAAAAAAAATAGCCTTAGAGCAGGAAAGAAAGGAAAGTACACTTGGAAGAGACCCAAGCAGGCGACTTGAAGGACAAGTGCCCCACTTAATCTTGATCCTGGGACTTTATAAGATGGCCCACTTCCAGGGTCTTGCACCCCTTTCCCATGATTCTTCCCTTAGGGTGGGCTGCCTGAATGCACAGTGCCCTCCTTACCCTTAGGAAGTGAGCATGCGCAGTGTGTTTAAGAAGTTGTACGCATGCCCATCTGAGGCTTTCTTCAGTTTTCTGACAGAATGCCTCTGGAAGGTCATACTCCACCACTTTGTTTTTTAATGAACATGCCCAGGCTCACTTGCTCATTTCCTGTGATTTTACTGGAAACTGATTACCAATCTCAAGTATTTTCATCTGTTTGGGAAGTTGCCTCTCTTAGGTACCTGAATTCAATTAACACTTTAGTGTGGCAGCTTGGACCATCGGGAGATTGTCTCTCCCTGGCACTGATGGCCAAGTTATCATTTTTAGAGGGGCAGTGTGGTAACTGCCCAACCATCACTTGACTATAGTCAGACATTCCTGGTGGGTAGGTGGTAGGGCCCCCTCCTGCCCCACTCATGCCTGTCTAACTACCTGTAATGTTTCCCCCCACTCAAGAGCCCAAGACCCCAAATCTTTGGAGGAAAATGGATGAAGGTCAGTCTTTTGTAACTGCTTTCTGCTGACAGAGGGGTGGTGGTGGTGGTTCTGTGGGTCTTGGCCTCTTGCTGTCAGGGCAGGAGGGTGACTCAGTGGCTTAGCAAAAGTGGTATCCAGCCAGGTCCAGGGGCAGAATTTTGCCTACTTTCTGTCCACTGATGAGCAGTCTAGCGGTTCCCTGTAGAAGGGTACCTCTTGAATATTGAGAGGACAGTATACCTCACGGAGGACCATCTGGAGCTTGATGGCCTGGGGGTGAGAGGAGACAAATTGGGTTTAGAATTTAGAAGACCTGAACCAAAAAGGTGCAAAACTAGGAGAATAACAAGTGGTCCTAAAAAGGAAAGAACCCAGGAGAACCATTTCCAGGCTCCTTCCCTATCTAACCAACCCTGAGAGGCAAGTTCCCATAATAAATGGAGGCTTGATTTGGAAGTCGTGTGATGTTGTCCTGTACTTTTCACAGTTGGTTTACCCAAAAGCAATACTTTTCATCTAAGGCTGAACAAAGTCTTCCTTGTGCTGCCATTAGCATATCTAGTCCTCAACAATTCTGGAGGGAATGCAAATTAATACAACCACTCTGAAAAACAGTATGGAAGTTCCTCAAAATACTAAAAATATAACTACCATGAGATTTAGTAATCCCACTACTAGGTATTTATTCAAAAGAAAGGAATCAATATGTCAAAGAGATATCTGTATTCCTATATTTAGTACTAGACACAATAGCCAAAACATGGAATCAATGTAAGTGCTATTAATATCTGAATGGATAAAGAAAAATATGATACACATGGAATATTAGTCATAAGAAAGAATGAAATCCTGTCACTTGCAGCAACGTGGATGAAACTGTAGGTCATTAAGTTAAGTGAAACAAGCCAGGTACAGAAAGACAATTATTGTATTTCTCACTCATGTGGATGCTAAGTACAGCTCATGAAAATAGAGAGCAGATTGGTGGTTATTGGGGGCTGGGAAGGGAGGCAGGGAGGATAAGAGATTAATTGAGTATAAAAATACAGCTAGATATAAAAAATAACAAGATGTAGTGTTCAAGAAATCAGTAGGGACTATAGAAAACAATCTACTGTATATATCAAAATAGCTAGAAGAGAATAATTTTAATGTTCCTAGCATAAAAGAAACATTTAAGGTCATGGATATTCCAATTATCCTGATTTGATCATTATCTATTATATGAATATATCAGAATATCACATATACTCCAAAAATATATATATCTAGCATGTAGCAATTTTTTATGTAATACATTATTTCTCTGGGGTATTTGTTTTTGTGTCAAAGGGAATTATAAGAGCAGAGGTGGAATATAAGGGGAAGTAAAACTCTAGGTTCTTGCTATACTCTTCCCTCCTGGACAGCTTCCAACCTTCTACACCCCACCTGAAATAGGCTTGGAAATTATCTTTCAAGGCTAAATAATATAGACAGGTAAATAGAGAAAGATACAGTGATAGCAAAAGAGATATATAATTTCTAAGCAATAATATCTGAGGAAACAAGTGGGTCAGAAGATAACAGCAGAACAATGTATTTATACAGGGCTTGTGTGAAAAGCTTAGCTGTGTTGTCAGGATTAATAGAGAATTATATAGTAGGTAAGTTCACATGAGACAGGAAAAGAGAAACATAATATTCTTGCCTCCTATCTGCTTGGTCTTGCTCTTCTTTTATTATGCTGGGCCTTGGGATGGAAATTTCAGAGAACAGAATCTATCATAATTATCATTTCCTTCTCTGTCTTAGGACAAATACACAAGTCTGACACCCCTAATTTAGTATATGTGTCCCCATCCCCTATCACAGATTTGGTGGAATTAGTAAATAAATGAGCCATTCTCATTCTTGAAAACATAAGATACATCTATGTGCAAAGAAAGAGTTGCATGAAACATAAAGCCAGAGGACATGTCTTATTCAAAGTACTTAATAAAAGGAATTGGACATAAGGATGGATTGGTAAATATAAGCAAAAGAATACACATACTGGCTTAGGTGAAAAAATGATTTTCTAGCAAGCATAGGTGTCTTACTCAGAACCTGCAGCCCTGGAATGTTTCAAACTTCCTAACACTGAGTGTTTCATCAGAAGCTGGACACCACCAGTCAGAATGAATGAAGGATTCCTATGTCAGATATACTGTTGGCCCTCACCCAGGTCCTGAGTAGATAGTTCACCAAATTCCCAATGACTAAGAAAAGAAACTCAGATTTTCAAAGTCTTCTCTTCAGCAAATGAAGTTGGAAGCATCTTTGTGTCTTTCGGTGAAGTCACCTGGAGACCCATGGGTCAAGTCTCTGTCAAGTTACTGATAGGGGTGAGGGCACTGTGAGAAGACAGCACAGTCAGCACATTCAATCCACAGGCTACCAGAGGACACAGACCCATGAGTCCTGAACAGACTGGTGGCTCTGAGTTTCAGGACATCATTTTTTTTTTTTCCAAGAAAAAACTAAACATGAAGATCCTGGCAGCCGTGCACATTCTACCATAGCCTGTCTCCAACTCCAGCAGACAAGCCAACCCATTCTTTCTCCACCTCACCCTCTACATATCCTTTCTTGGGAATACTCCCAAGATGCTCTCACGGATTTGCTTGGTCTTGACACCATAGATTATGGGATTGACCATGGGTGGGAAGAGCAGATAGAAATTGGCAAGGAGGATGTGGACATGAGGGGCAGCATGGCGGGCTACACGGTGCATGACTGAAGAGATGACCACAGTTGTGTAGAAGGCTAAGATGGCACCTATATGAGAGACACATGTCCCAAATGCCTTGTAGCGGGCCTCCTGAGAGGCAAGCAGTAGAACTGCCTGAAGAATAAAGATATAAGACAGGATAACAAGGAGCAGGTCCAACACCACAATAAACATGGCCACAGCGATGCCATAGATATTGTTGAAGCTAGTGTCCCCACACGCCAGCCTCACCACAGCCATGTGTTCACAGTAGCAGTGAGCGATCACTGGGCCTCGGCAGTAGTGGAAACATCTCAGCAGGAAGGGGAGTGGAGTCATTAGTGTCACAGCCCGGGCCACAGCAGCCATGCCAATCTTGGTGATGAGGGACCCAGTCAGGACCTTGGTGTAGTGCAGTGGCTTGCAGATAGCCACATAGCGGTCAAAGGCCATGGCCAGCAGCACTGCTGACTCCATGATGGAGAAGGAGTGAAGGAAGAACATCTGGGCCAGACAGGCAAAGAAGTTTATCTCCCGATCCCTGAACCAGAATATGGCAAGCATTTTGGGCAGTGCTGAGGAGGAAAGGACCAGGTCGATGGCTGCCAACATGGCCAGAAAGAGGTACATGGGTTCATGGAGGGCTGCATCAGCCTGGATGATGAGAAGGAGAGTGCAGTTTCCAAGCAGGGCCAGTGTATATGCTAAGCAGAAAGGGATGGAGATCCAGATGTGCAGGTGTTCCAGGCCTGGAATCCCCACCAACAAGAAGGCAGTTGGATGTGTTAAGGTGATATTGGAGGCTGACATGGCTCCTGGGAATTCTCTTCCTCCTTATCTGCTTCCACAGGGCCCTTCCAGAGAATATTCAATATCAGCAGAATTACAATGCTCACATTCAAACTCTGATCATTCTTGTGAGAAGATTAGTTCTTAGACCCATTTTTAGACATGAAAAGAAATGAGAAAATAATCATATGTATCATGAAATATTATGCATGATCCTTGCCCTTAAGCTGTTTATAAAAACACTGGGTGCTCAGGACATTTAATTCCAATAAAGCTAGTATTACAAAGCAGCCTTATTGAGAAATCAAGTGGAGGAAGAGCCTTTTGTGGCCTGCATGTGGCCAAAAGCAACTTTGTAAATAATACAGATTGCTGCTTAATTCAAATCATACCCACAAACATTTACCGTCACTGTCTTCCTATTGCCTTCCAATTCAAACTACACTCCCAATTATGAAAGAGTTTCTGCCCTGAAATGTCAATCTTGGTCATATGAAAAATAAATGTAGTTAGCACTTTCTAATAATTCACTTCCCTACAAGTTCTTTAGATTTTTTTTCTAGCAGGGTTTCGTAGGTCCTTGTTTGACACTCAGAAATCCCTCCAACTAAAGCCCTACCTCCAGGTAACTTGAGAACATGAGAAGCCCTTTTGTTGTTCTCTTTTGCCTAACTGTAGTTTAACCTTCATCTCTACGTGCTTCTTCCTTCCTGGACTTCATGACATTCAGAAGAAGAGATGCCCCACACTTACCTTTTTGCAAGACTGACCTATTCCCTTCACACTATTTTTCCATCTGGGATCCTTATCATTCTATCTTTTTCCACCTTCTGTTGTCATTTCCCTTGAAAACGTTTAAACATTTCCTTGCAATATTTTTGACCTGTGCCACCTTTTTTTTCAGCTCCTGCCTAAAAACTTTCTTTTGGGGATTTTGAGATCTTTTAAAACACTTAGCACAAATCTTGAAACAGTGCTCAGTAAACGTGGACACTTATGAATTGAGAAAACAAAAGACTAAGTCACTAACAATCAGAACAGTTGGAAAACGTCAAAGATGAAACTTGAGCTTCGAGAACTCTGGTTTGCTGCCTCCCAATCCAATGTCTTAAATCACTACACTCTTCTGCTTCTACCTCATTGCTTCCTAAGAAGTATAAATCCAGCATATTCAAGTTAACAGAAATATAACTCAAACTCATTATCATGATATAGGAAAAAAAATTAGAATCTAAAGACTTGGGTTTAAGTAATGATTGAGCCATCAGCCTACCAATAGAAACTAGTATTAATCACTGAAATTTTTAAAGATTTAGGTTCCTCACCTATAGATGAAGGCATAACCATATCTTCCATGACAATTTTACTGCTTCATGATGAGGAAAGATAAAATCATGAGAAGAGTCCCTGTAAACTGTAAAGCATTGTAAAACTGTTATTTGTCATTACAATATTCCCCCTCCCACACAAATCTGCCCCCTTTTTTAAAATGTTTTTCTTGACATCAGCACAATCCCGCATTCCTTGGCCTTATATCTCCCTCCATCTAACACCCGCAACTGTTTTCCTTCACAACAATGTTTGTTGAAAAAGTTGAGTAATTCATTATCTAATTCCTCATCTCTTAATTTTTAATTCCTTCCAATCTAGCTCCCATCTCCTCTACTCCCCTTATATGATCTTATCATTGCTTGTGTATTCCCCTCTCTCTCTCTTCTTTTCTCTCCTCTTTTTGTTGCCCTTTTATTCTCATACTTCTCTAGGTGCTCTCTTAGGTGGTAAAAATGCCAAGAGAAATCAATATTCAGGGAATGCTCAACTGTCTAGCTTCTACTCTGAGTTCCCAACTAGCATATCCTACTTCCCACTGGATAGTTCCACTTTAAAGTCTCAAACAAAATAGGGCCAAAACAGAAATCTGTCTCCACAAACTCTTTCCTCTCCATGACTTGCCCATCTCAGTATGTATTATTACCATCCATCCTATAGCTAGGTCAGAAACCCAGGGTGTAATCCTTGATTCAGTCCCCTTCCTCATCCTTTATATCCAATTTCAAAAGGCAAGTGTGATCGACCTATGTGTTCCAGTCCCTACTCTTTTTGTGTGCCTTGCCAAGCACTCTTATTTAAGTCACCATCATCTTTCATCTGGACTACAAAAGTCTTCTAACTCTTCTCAGTGGTATGGAATCTTGTACCTTCTATAATAATTCATTCTCTGTACTGCAGCCAAAAAGGCCATTTAAGAAAGCAAGTTCTATCAGGCAAGGCCTTCACTAAAGCCTTCATGGGCTACCATTGTACTTAGGATGGAATGCACATTCTAACTCTGGCTTACAAGATCCTGCTTGGTCTGGTCACTACTCACTTTTCAGCCTCATCTCTTCCACTTCTTTCATTATTCTCCAGGCATATGGCCTTCCACAGGTACTGGAGCTCATGGAGTTCTTTCTCAGTCAGTGATGGTGGCCCTTGATTCTGCCCCTGAATTGTCTCATGCTGTTCTTCTTCTCTCCATGCCCTGTGCCTTCCATAATTGACATATCATCATCTCTTTCCCCTGTCAGTATAAAAACCTCCTTAGTTTTCTACCCCTGCTCACCTCATCCACTACAGTGCGACAGACCACATATTTTATTAGTTTGGTGCAAAATTAATTGTGGTTTTTGCCATTACTTTTTATGCAAAAACCGCAATTGCTTTTGCACCAACCTAACACTTCCGTGCTGAAAACCACTTATAGGATCTCATTGCTACAAGAAAAATAAAAATCACTAAACTTTTGTGAAAACCTATTCCTGCCTAAATTGTTGGCCTTACTCCTTTTAGTCCCCTAAATATTCATCCTAGGTTCAACCACACTGGGTTATTTGCCATTTCCTAAAAGGGTAATGTTTGTAGCTCATACTGTTTATCTGGAATTCTTTCCTCTGTTCCCTTTCATACCTAATCAAGATCCTGCCACCTTCTTGGTGAAGTCTTTTCAGACTCTTTCAGGAAGATGTTCTCAGTCATTTCAATGAAGATTCACTAACGCATTGAATCAAATAGCACAATGAGGGTACCACCTGTGTTACCTCTGCATGTATCTCATAATTCATCGGGCCATGAATTCTTTGAGTACAAAGCCTGTGACTTTATTCACTTCTATATTCAGACTTTACTGAACATGGTTGATACTCAATAAGTGCCTTTTTATTTTTAACCTTTTTAAACTTTTAGGTTCAAGTCCTATGTGTATGTTTGTGATATAGGTAAATGTGTGCCACGGGGGTTTGTTGTACAGATTATTCCATCACTCAGGTACTAAACCTAATACCCAATAGTTACTTTTCTGCTCCTCTCCCTCCTCCCACCCTCCACCTTCAGATAGGCCCTCCATAAAGAACAGCACTAGGAAAAGAAAAGTGCTATTTTAAATGAATGCATGAATGATTCCCTTCCTGGAGAAACTTACTCCTTCCTTCCCACTGCATAATATACCACCCTCTGATCCAAACTGAGACTCACCTCCACAGATGCAAAATTCTATGAAATTTCCCGTCACTTTTTGTTACCTAGGTCAGACTAAAAGCCTCTTGTTAGAAACTCTGCCTCAAAGTCTAACTTATATCTGTGCATTTTCTCCAGGACTTAGCTTTGGGATGGACGCGTGGAAGCTCCATGATGAAAGGACTCTTTTGTGTCTTCACCACAACTATATCCCATATAGGCACTTGCTGACTATTTCTTGAATACACAAAAGAATGTCCTCTTAAACATGTTGTCACCCTTATCCTAAGTGGATATGCTTCAGTTCCAAACAGGGCTCCCCTCTCCCTGAGTGGCCTCATCTCCCTCACTCCCAGTGTGCTCCTGCTGCCCACACCTGGCCCTCCCATTTATTTGTCCTCAATCCCACAGCTTGCCTATTCTGTTTTAAAATGCCTGAGAATCCATCAGCTTTCCCTCTTTCCAGTGTCCATTCAAATGTACCTCTAATTCCATTCACCATCTGACTCTGCTTATCTGGTCTTCTGCCCAACACCCTTGAACCTGTTTGGTATGAGTGCTTTGTCCGGTCCTTACATGTCGTCGTCTTTTGTTTGTTTCCTGCCTTCACAGCCAAGATGTCAGCAAACAACAAAAGGAAGACTTTGTCTCCCCTAAAAGTGCATGGGGACTCCATACCTACAGAGTATTCAATCAGTGCCGTTATCTATGTGGCAGGCCACACGTGTATCCTGAGAGGACCTTAGAATGATGGGTTTGGGAAACTGAGTCCCCAAATGGTCATGGAGGAAATAAGCAGCATATCTAGTACTAAATTTCACATCTCCTCACCCCTACTCCATGCATTAGATTCTCATAAGGAGTGTACAACCTAGATCCCTTGCATGTGTAGTTCACAGCAGGGTTTTTGCTCCTGTGAGAATCTAATGCCCTGGCTGATCTGACAGAAGGCAGAGCTCAGGCAGTAATGCTCTCTCACCTACCGCTCACCTCCTGCTGTGCATCCCAGTTCCTAACAGGCCATGCCACAGGACCCTGTGGCACAGGGGTTGGGGACCCATGGTCTATAGGACTACTATAAGACCATGCTGCAAAGATATAACTAGTTATTGCTGAAAACTTTAATAAGTAAGTGTACCTGACCTGTCCTTTCTACCTCCTTATTTCAGCCTCCTCCTTTTTATCCTGGACTATTATAGCAGCTACGACTTAGGTTGGGCCAGAATGTGCAGTAGGAGGGAAGTGGCTAACATGGTCTGGGCCTTAGCTGAATGCTAAGGTTTTCTGGAGGAGGTCCCTAATGCACAACACAAAAAGGAGTGCATGCCTGAGAGGCAGGAAAGTTGTTCCTCTGATAATGATGACATGGAGGATCTGGAGCTTGCAGAAGCAAGTATTTTGAGGAGGATTGAGAGCTCTCCTGTTAGACATATACAGGGATGAGAATGAGAGAAGAGAATCGGGAGATAAGGTAATGCCTGAGATGAAGATAGGTTAGGTTGTCTGAGCATAAGTGATCTGCAAGAGCTGGATTCTGCTCTGTGCACTCCATGGCTCAGCTTCCTGACCTAGCCTATTCCCCTCAAATATTAAACATTCTTCTCCCATCAGGTCTCTGCTCTGCCTTTGGATTTTCCCTCTAGTGATTATTATTTTCAGTCTGATTTCTGCCATTATCCTGGTTGTTCCTGTTTTCACTGCTCCCCCAGCTCATATGCCCCTGACTTGCTCCAGCCCCAGGAGCCAGTTGATTCCAGCATAGGCACCCCTCCCTAGTCGTCTTGTCCCTGGTCCCAGCTGTGTTAGCTGTCTCACTGTGCCCTCCATCTGCCTGGTCTTCCCCTTCCACCATTGCCCCAAGTTGTGCTCACCCCTCAGCAGGAAGCTCAATTCATTTGGCATGCGCTTTAGGGAAAACTGGTGCAGTTTTCCTCTCTTAGAGAAGGGTTGGGAAAGAGAGTTGGAAAGGGAGGGTCTGGCTATATCCTCATAATCAGCTACTCTTTTCCCAAAAGAAAAAGGAAACAGGCCCTGTCTCTGAGGAATACCCTGAAAGGGCCCCATGATGAGCCTAGTCTCTTCTCTGTGGCCAACTCTAGGAGCCTTCTCTGCTTCAGGCTCCGGTCTTCTGGGATTCCTGCCTCTGGCTTCCTACAGGCCCTACTCCCTCACCATTCTGTGGTATTCGATCATGCCTCTCCCTCGAGGCAGGAAGGAGTGTGATTTCAGTAATCAGTGCACCCTTCTCCACCCTCCCCTTCCTTCTCCACCCTCCCCTTCCTTCTCCACCCTCCCCTTCCCTCTCCACCCTCCCCTTCCCTCTCCACCCTCCCCTTCCCTCTCCACCCTGCCCTTCCCTCTCCACCCTCCCCTTCCTTCTCCACCCTCCCCTCCCCTTCCTTCCCTGCAGTGCAAACTGCAAAATAGAGCCTCCTAAGAATGCACAAGCAGCTGTCTTATGGGTATGCTTTCCAGTTGTGACTCAGAAAAGTGGAGTTCAGGCATAACTTGGTCAAGGTTATCTATTCTTTGTTTTATTTGGAGTTTGGATGTTTTTGTTTGCAGACAGAGCTGTGAGTTAAGGTAATAGGTGACAGATCTAGGTTTGTCTCAGCTTGTGACCTTGACAAGGCACTTAACCTCTCCGTTCTTTGAATGGTTTCTTGTTGTGGGGACAAAAATCCCAGTCCTTCCCACCTCACTGGGTGGGGTGATCCAATGAGATCATTGAGGAATCACTCTCAATGTTATTGTTGCTCAATTATTAACCATTAATAATACCAACATATCAATAAGTCCTCTTATCACTGGTCTTGGAGCTTGCTATTCTTCTGCCATGGTCCTGAGAAACGAAGTTGGTTTTTACAGTAGCCTCTAAGTCTTTTAACCTGAAATAACTCTACATGGGAGCCCAGTAGCTCTTATTGAGACTGTATTCTGGTCACATTCCCTTTCTTCCCACAGAGACACACAAATCTTCCATCAGTTATCCTAACTCTTGTCCCTCAGAGACAAGCACTTGCCTCTCACACCTGGAGTCTCCAGAACATATTGGGTTGAGGTGGACTTCTACACAGGGCTTGCACTGTGAAAATCTGAATTAAGTTTAGCAGACACAGGCTACATAGAGATGGTGATCCAGACTTGAAGTTCACAAGCTTATATTAGGAACGTCATTGTGGAAGATACCAGGCTGTGTTAGGGAAAGATTGAAGTAATTATATATTTAATTATTTTGAGAAACCACCATATGCCATTTTCCACAGTGGCTACACTATTTTGCATTCCTACCACCAGTATACATGGTTCCAACCTTACTACTTCCTCATTAACACTATTTTCTGGATTTTGATCATAGCCATCCTACTGGCTGTGAAAATAGTATCTCAATGTGTTTCCATTTGTATTTCCCTAATGATTACTGATGTTAGGCCTCTTTTCTTATTGACCACTGGTATAGCTTCAGAAAAATGTTTATTCAAGTCCTTTGCCCATTTTTGAATTGGATTATTTGGGAGGGGGGTATTGTTGTAGGAGTTCTTGATATATTCTGGATAGTAATACCTTATTAGACGTATGCTTTGCAAACGCTCTCCTATTCTGTAGGTTGCCTTTCTACTTTCTTGATAGTCCTTCCATGAACAGAAGTTTTAGTTTTGATGAAGTCCAATTTATTTTTCTTTTGAGGCCTATACTTTTGGTGTCATAACCAAGAAAACATTGCTAAATCCAAAGTCCTGATGCTTTTCACTTATGTTTTCTTGTATGGGTTTTATGATTTTAGATCTTATATTCCATCTTTGATCCATTTGATTTAATTTTTTTATATGGTAAAGGTCCAACTTCAGTCTTTTGCATGTGGCTATCCAGTTTTCCCAGCACCATTTGTTTGAAAACACAAATAATGAATTCTTTTTGTTTTTTCCACAAGTTATTGGGGTACAGGTGGTATTTGGTTACATTAGTAAGTTCTTTAGTGGAGATTTGTGAGAACCGGGTGCACCCATCACCCGAGCAGTATACATTGCACCATATTTGTTGTCTTTTATCGCCTGCCCCCTCCCACTCTTCCCAAGTCCCCAAAGTCCATTGTATCATGCTTTTATGGCTTTGCATCCTCATTTTACTCAACCCCATTTTACCCAATAGCATTTGGCAGTTGAGCATTTCCCAATTCTTGGTTTCCTGAACCACATTATCTTGCAGGTTTTCCTTCTTCCTCATTAGTGTTGTCTTCTGCTGGCTAGTTCTTTTTTTCCTCTCCTTTGAATCTCTTCTCTTTGTACACTAAATTGTAGGCATTTTCATCCTTTTTCATGGTTTTAACTATCTACTCTTTGATAACTCACAACTCTATTTCTTCAACTCAGATATCTCCCTTGAACTTCAAATTGGTAAATTATTTTCTTTCTTTTTTTTTTTTTTTTTGAATGGCATGCCTGTTTTATTTAATTTTTTCTTTAAAACACTGAAAGTGTGGTCCTGTATCAGCAGCATTACCTGGGAATAATTCACAGGCTCTCAGGCCCACTCCAGACTTTTTATTATTATTATACTTTAAGTTCTAGGGTACATGTGCACAACATGCAGGTTTGTTACATATGTATACATGTGCCATGTTGGTGTGCTGCACCCATTAACTCGTCATTTACATTAGGTATATCTCCTAACACTATCCCTCCTCCATCCCCCCACCCCACAACAAGCCCCAGTGTGTGATGTTCCCCACCCTGTGTCCAAGTGTTCTCATTGTTCAATTCCCACCTATGAGTGAGAACGTGCAGTGTTTGGTTTTCTGTCCTTGCGATAGTTTGCTCAGAATGGTTTCCAGCTTCATCCATGTCCCTACAAAGGACATGAACTCATCATTTTTTATGGCTGCATAGTATTCCATGGTGTGTGTGTGCCACATTTTCTTAATCCAGTCTATCATTGATGGACATTTGGGTTGGTTCCAAGTCTTTGCTATTGTGAATAGTGCCACAATAAACATACGCGTGCATGTGTCTTTATAGCAGCATAATTTATAATCCGTTGGGGATATACCCAGTAATGGGATGGCTGGGTCAAATGGTATTTCTAGTTCTAGATCCTTGAGGAATCACCACACTGTCTTCCACAATGGTTGAACTAGTTTACAGTCCCACCAACAGTGTAAAAGTGTTTCTATTTCTCCACATCCTCTCCAGCACCTGTTGTTTCGTGGCCTTTTAATGATCGCAATTCTAACTGGTGTGAGATGGTATCTCATTGTGGCTTTGATTTGCATTTCTCTGATGGCCAGTGATGATGAGCATTTTTCCATGTGTCTGTTGGCTGCATAAATGTCTTCTTTTGAGAAGTGTCTGTTGATATCCTTTGCCCACTATTTGATGGGGTTGTTTGATTTTTTTCTTGTAAATTTGTTGAAGTTCTTTGTAGATTCTGGATATTAGCCTTTTGTCAGATGGGTAGATTGTAAAAATTTTCTCCCATTCTGTAGGTTGCCTGTTCACTCTGATGATAGTTTCTTTTGCTGTGCAGAAGCTCTTTAGTTTAATTAGATGCCCCTGTTTGCAGATGACATGACTGTGTATTTAGAAAACCCCATCATCTCAGCCCAAAATCTCCTTAAGCTGATCAGCAACCTCAGCAAAGTCTCAGGATACAAAAATCAATGTGCAAAAATCACAAGCATTCCTATACACCAATAATAGCCAAATCATGAGTGAACTCCCATTCACAATTGCTTCAAAGAGAATAAAATACCTAGGAATCCAACTTAGAAGGGATGTGAAGGACCTCTTCAAGGAGAACTATAAACTACTGCTCAAAGAAATAAGAGGACACAAACAAATGGAAGAACATTCCATGCTCATGGATAGGAAGAATCAATATCATGAAAATGGCCATACTGCCCAAGGTAATTTATAGATTCAATGCCATCCCTATCAAGCTACCAAAGACTTTCTTCACAGAATTGGAAAAAACTACTTTAAAGTTCATATGGAACCAAAAAAGAGCCCACATTGCCAGACAATCCTAAGCCAAAAGAACAAAGCTGGAGGCATCATGCTTACCTGACTTCAAACTATACTACAAGGCTACAGTAACCAAAACAGCATGGTACTGGTACCAAAACAGAGATATAGACCAATGGAACAGAACAGAGCCCTCAGAAATAATACCACACATCTTCAACCATCTGATCTTTGACAAACCTGACAAAAACAATAAATGGGGAAAGGAATTCCTATTTAGTAAATGGTGCTGGGAAAACTGGCTAGCCATATGTAAAAAGCCAAAACTGGATCCCTTCCTTACACCTTATACAAAAATTAATTCAAGATGGATTAAAGACTTAAATATTAGACCTAAAACCATAAAAACCCTAGAAGAAAACTTAGGCAATACCATTCAGGACATAGGCAGGGGCAAGGACTTCATGACTAAAACACCAAAAGCAATGGCAATTATTTGCTTTTCTAACATCTATTCTTATCTCATATACATGTCCAACTTTACAGGAGCAAAACAGAACTCTGCTTCCTCTCTCCCTCCACACCTGTAAACCTACTTTTCTCTTCGTGTTTCCTGTGCATTGAAGCCCTTCCCTTTACTCAACTTCTCAGATTGGAGCCTTCCTTGAAGCCCATCATATTCTCATAACCCCACATTGAATCAATCTACCAACAAATTCTATCAACTGGACCTTCAAAGTATATCCCAAGTGTAATCACTTCTCATTGCCTCCCTGCTGCCACTCTGGTCTAAGGCAAAATCATTTCCTGTGTTGGCTATAACAATAACTTTTGTAACAATAACGACTCTTTTATCCTTGTCCCTTACATCGAACCCGGTGCAGGTATTTTAAAGTTTAAGTCACAGTATAACAGAACCCTGTTCAAAAGCTTCTAATAGCTTTCCACCACAGATCAAACAAAATTCAGTCTTCACCATGGTTTACAAATACCTTTTTGGTCTCTGGACCTTTGCTACCTCTCCTACCATCTCCTCCTAGTCACTCCAGTCCAGCAACTGGTGGCCTTATACTGTCCCTCAAATTCACCAAACACATTCCAGAAATCAAGGCCTGTATGTCTGTTCCTTTCGCCTGGAGCACTGTCTTCCATACAGCTGCATGCCTTGTTCACTTGTTTCATCAAGATTTCTACCAAATGTCACCTTCTCAGAAAGACCTATCATGACCACCCTATCTAAAATTGTGTCCCATGTCATTTTTCTGTCTTATTATCCTGTTTTTACCCACGGCACTTTAAAAATTTATTTTTCATTAACAAATTGTATATAATTATCATGTACAACATGGAGTTTTTAAATGTGTATACATTGTGGAACAGCTAAATCAAGCAAATTAACATATTACCTCACATACTTTTCCATCTTTGTGGTGAGAACAGTTAAAATCTACTCTCTTCATAAGTTTCAAGAATATAATACATTGTTATTAACTGTAGTTCCCATCTTATACAATAGGTCTCTTAAATTTATTTCTTTTAACTGAAATTTTGTCTCCTCCAACCAACATTTCCTCAATCCTGACACCCCCACACCCTGGGAACTACCATTCTACTTTCTCTACTTCTGTGTTCAACTTTTTTAGATTCCACATCTAAGTAAGATCATGCAATATTTGGCTTTTTCTGCCTGACTTATTTCACTTCACATAATGAACTCCAGATTTATATATGTTCTCAAATGACAGAATTTCCTCCTTTTTTAATGCAGAATAGTATTCCACTGTGTGTGTGTGTGTGTGTGTGTGCGCGCACCACATTTTCTTTATCCATTCATCCATCGATGGACACTTAGACTGATTCCATATCTTGGCTATTACGAGTACTGCTGCAGTGAACATTGGAGTATAGATATCTCTTCAACATATTCCTTCAGATATATATCCAGTACTGGGATTGCTAGATCATATGATAGTTCTATTTTTAAGTTTTGGTAGTTCTATGTTTAATTTTTTGAGGAAACTTCATACCATGTGCCATGATGGCTATACTAATTTACATTCCTGCCAACCATGTGCAATTTCTCTATACCATCTCCAATGCTTGTTATCTTACAACATTTTAATAATAGCCATTCTAACTTCATAGCACTTTAATGCTGTAGTGAACATCAGTGTGGATATCTCTTTAACATTGTTTTAGACATCCAGACACCCAGTTCTGGAGTTGCTGGATCATACAGGTAGTTCTATTTTTAACTTTTTGAGGAAGCTTTATACTATTTCCCATAAAGGCTGTACTGCTTTACATTCCTACCAACCATGGGCAAGGATTCTCTTTTCTTCATATTCTCTCCAACACTTATCTTTCATCATGTTGATAATAGCCATTCTAATTTCATGGAACTTATCAATATCTATTTGTCATGTATTGATTTTTTAATGCAAATGTCTCCTATTAGCATAGACGTTCCATGAAACAAGAACTTTGTCTTCCTTGTTCAATATGGCATTCCTAGTAGTACGTAGAGAAATACTGACACATAGTGGGTGCTCAATAATATTGTATAGAATAGTTGTTGTTGGCTGAATAAAATGTGCCCCCATAGTATCCTAAGTTAATGCTAAACGTCTATGACTGTCCCTGAGACCCATAAAAATAATGGAGAGCTGAGGCTTGGCTCTGATCATTGTGGAGCTGGCAGAAAATTTAAATCATTTCATGTATCTGTTTTGCCACTTTAGAATCAGTCGAGTCCCTGAAGAACCAAATGGGAGAATGACCAAAACTCGGGATCCCCAAAACTTTTCATATTTGAAGTGTCATTTCTCTGTGAGCTCCCAGGGAACCTATATGTTTGGAGAATAAAGCCTGCACCTTCCTCTTCATCATCTGGGCCAAGTCATTCCCCACTAGGTCTTCCCTTCACCATCTGCATTTAAAGCTTCTTAAAAGCAGGAATATTTCCAAACCTTTATATCTCCAGGACAATAGCAGAAACATAAGCCGTCAATGTGTGTTTGTTGACTTATTGTCCGAAATCAAGTTTCATATCTGCCCAGACTACATTTGATTAGAATCCAATCTGTTCTTTTGACAGCCTTCCCCCAGTACCTAACATCATCACAATCTTCTTTTAAATGCCAACAGAGAGAGAGATTCATCCTGGTCTCTGCCTTCACAAAGTCTAGCATGTAGGAATCTACTGATGATTTACCAGGTTCTAGGCACTTTACTAAAAATTGTATATGTGCTATCTCATTTCAGTCTTCCCCATTTTTGAAAATGGGGAACAAGAGGCTGAGAGTTGTTACTTAACTTACCTAAGGTCATGCCAACAGTATTTAGAGTGAACTCTATCCCATGAATGGCATTTGATGAGATGCTGCATGGGCAATAGAGAGAAAGGACACACACAGCGTGTCAGAAAAGAATCATGAAAACATTGGCTTTGAATTAGGCTTCAGTGGTCCCCAGAAAATGCCCAATGTCCCTTGCCTTCCAGGTTTTACACGTGCTGTGTCCCCTTCCTGGTGTATTCCTCCCTTCAGACCCACTTTATCTTTCTAAACCCTAAATCCTTGACTAATTCTTAATAGTGAATCCCTCCCCTGCCAAAAGAGCCTCTGTCTGTTTTTTAAAGTCTGCATATGTCCCATTGAATTTTAATTGATTTTAATGTCTGTCCATCCTCCAATCCAGACTGTGACCTCCTTGAGAACAGGGGCATGATCCTTCAACCCTATGCCTTAAA
The DNA here is from genome assembly GCF_000001405.40 of Homo sapiens. Classification (NCBI taxonomy): domain Eukaryota; kingdom Metazoa; phylum Chordata; class Mammalia; order Primates; family Hominidae; genus Homo; species Homo sapiens. The sequence goes on along the minus strand of NC_000011.10, from coordinate 4,436,157 downwards.
ATCTAGCATAATCCTTCACATATAACAGATGCTCAGTAAGTGATCGTTACATTTGATAAAATAAGATAAACACTTTTTATTGAGGGCTTAGCAGATACCAGGCAAAATGATAAATGTTTTGTATGTATAATCTAATTTGATCTTCACTGCTTCCCTACTTTATATATGAAGAATTAGTGTTCAAAAAAAATTGTTTTTCCTAAATAAACACCAAGAAGCAAATATTTTATCAGCAGTGTCCAATATTTTGGCTGGGCCACACTGGAAGTTGTCTTAGGCCACAAATAAAATACACTAACACTAATGATAGCTGATGAACTAAAAAAAAAGTCACAAAAAAATTTCATAATGTTTTAAGAAAGCTTACAAATTCGTGTTGGTCTGCAGGTTGGACAAGCTGGTTTTAGAAGGAGGGAGGGGGCCAGGAGAAAAAAACAAAATTGGTAAAACATTCTAAAATATGTTTCTATGCCAAAAAAACCTTTAAGACTATTTATGCTCAAGGACCTTTCCAACTACCCCACCTACCCACACGGAACTCTCAGGATAGATCTCTGCTATCCTATCCTTCCCTCTCCCATCAGGGCCTGTATTTCCAGCTTTCAATTTGCTGCCTCTTTCCAGCATCCCAGGGGTCTTTTTAGCATCTTTATCCTCCAGAGAATTGCTACCCTCATGTAGGATGCTAATAAGAGGACAAATACCCCAGCTCTTTTGCTTCCCACACTCTAACCCCTGTAGGACCAGATTCCACTATCACAACCTGCCTCAGACCTGGTAAGTTTGTCTCTCTGTCTGTTTGGTCTTCTCAGTGTGCCTATTATATGGTTGAACAAAGATAGGACTGCCACTAAGGTAATTTTTTCACTGAGGTTGTCCTCTACTTCAGATTAAAAGGACTTACAAATGAATCACACTTTTGACCACTGTTTTGTGGCCATGTACTTTAATTGGCTCTTCAGATAACTGTCTCCCCTAGTAATCGCCATAGTAGCCTATGAAGTAGGAATCAACCTCTCCAGGTTACACGGATAGGGAAACAGTTTGAGAGAGTTTAGGTGGCTTGACTGAGATCACACAGCTGGTGAGTTGTAAAGCTGGGATTTGAATCTGGCTGCCCTTGGACATCCATGAGTGAGTGCTAAATTCTAGGTTGGTCACTTCCAGATGCTCATGAGCACCTACAGGATAAAGAACTTGCTCCTTTCCTTGTGAGACAGCCTTGTTCCTGGCATTTGAACTCCTATTCTTATATATTTTAGGTAAGGCCTTTCTTATACCAAGTGCTAAAATAAATAAGAACAAAGCAGGGGAATGAGGGGCATGAAGGAGAGCTATTATTATGGAGAGCTATCTGGAGGAGGCTGGGAGTCTTCCTTGCCTGATCTCAGTAGGCAGATGAGTCAGAGGAAAATAACACTAGAGTATAGGCATAAAAGGGTTCATGGCAGAGAGTAGAAAGCTTTAAGAGTCTCTAGACATTCACCATGGAGAGGGCTCTGCAGCCATGCCACCTACTCCCAGCCTATACATCACTGAATCAGACTAAAGTGGCAAAGGTTCCTTTGAACATGGTGATGATAACCCATCTTCTGCCTTGCATACTTTCCCAGTGCCCTAAAATCTCATCCTGAGTGTTTTTCATGAGGTCTAACCTCAAATATTAGTAGGAAAGTCAAAAAGTGAAGACCTCCAAGGCTCTCACCTCAACCTTGACCTCTTTCCTAAAATTCAGGAATATTATACTCAACATATGCTCTTCCAACTTCATTTTCCCCATCTGTGCAAAGTGGGTGAGACAAGGGGAAATTGTGATCATTATGCTGTGTAGTTCCAGATCAAGGGTGGAGCAAAAGTTTTTTGAGTAGCAGTTTAAGGCCTGAGAAAATCTGATTCAATTATTAAAAGACTGAGATGGAAGAAGAAAAGAAGGGAGGGAAAGAAAGTAGGGCTGTCTCATTCATGACTGGATTATTCAGCTCTCAATTTTCTCCACAAAGGGTACTGAAGCAGGGACACTCCAAAAACAATGTCTTACATAAATGTATGTCCCTGTGTCTTCTGAGTACAGGCTTGCTCATGCATCTTGCACAATAACGTATATAGATACACACAATCACATGCCCAGCCAAACACTGCATTCTCATCAAATGGAACAGTTTTACATGCATCATTTCACAAGGTTCTTCACACTCTGATTTCTCTATCCCAGACCTTTCAGCTACCATGAAGGCTAAAATCTCTTCTAGGCTTGCTTGGGCCCCGGCTGGATGGTGGAAATTCAGGGAGATATCATAGAAGAGAAAAACAGGAAATACATGAAGGCATGATAAGACAGAAAGGAACAAGATGATTTGCTCAATATGAGAGTGACAGCCACGGTTGACACTGGGATGGAAAGGAGGCATCCTGGACCACAGTTCTTTCCTGCAGATCACATTAGAAGACCTTACCCTCCTCCTTCCTGCTCCTACATCTTTCCCCAAAGCAGTTTCCTATGATCTCTGGGTATGGGTAGCTGATACTAAGGATTGCAAGGAGCAGTGCATTTTAAGATTAGGAATACAGATGAGCAACACTATAGGGAACAATTGGGTCCACTATCTCTGTTTCAATTAGCAGTTGGAGCACAGTCACATACAATTATATTAGAAGCTCTTTTCTTTCGATAGAGGTACTTTTCTTTCTACTCTCTCCTATGTCTATTTCTGGTTCTTGTTCTCATCTTTTTTATCTCACCACCTCTCCCTCTACTGTCCCCTTTGCCTTTTTTTTGTTTAATCTTTCCTTTCTCTCAAATTCCCAATTACTACCTGGTTAGATAAGAAAAAAATGAGATAAAAATATATTTTAAAATGTAGGTGAGGGAAGATCAGGAGGGTGTTTGAGGGTAATAGACAGGAGATATGGGGAGATGTATGGAAGCACAGTACTGTCATTTGGTCAAACTTGGGTCTCCATTTTTGCTTTCAGGGAATGATTCCATGTTCCCAGTTACTAAAATTTACTTCTTACCTCTTTCTTTTATGTACTTTTGATTTTTATGAGAGAAAATGCCTTGTATTCAATCATTTCTCAATGACCTTAACAGATTCTTTTTATAGCCAAATTAGCCTGATCCCTACCACTGATCAATTGTGCATGATCACAGCTGTTTCTACCAGCATCCATATAGGACACTTGAGGCAAGTGCAGGATCCTTGTACTAAACATAAGCCAGGCAATCTTATGCCTGTATGAGACTACCAGAGACTCAGCCTATCACCTCTGTTTTGCTGTTCCTGGTCAGAACCTAGGTTCTGAGCCTCATCTATGGGTTATTATAGGCTCAATGGCTTGAAAAATCCATCCAAGATCTCTCCTCCTTCCTATCAATTCCCTTCAGACCTGATCTTTCCATCTCGAAAAGTAACCACATTTGAGTCTTCCATTGAATCTGCCTGACTTTTTATTATTAATATTACTTTTATATTTTCACACAGGCAGATGAATCCAAAGAAAAAAAATATTAGACTATAAGCAAAAGATGGCTCACAGGTAGAAGAAAACTGTAAAATTCTCTAGCCCACAGCCTGTCACCATAGAGAAGTTTCTACAGCCATGCCACTTGCCCACCACCCACAGCCTGGACATCATTGAAACAGATACAAGTGTGAAGGGCTCCTTTGAACCTTGAAGACAGTAACCCACCTCCTGCCTTGCATTATCTCCCAGTGCCCTACCATCTTCCCATCCTGGATGCTTTTCATGAAGCCTAATGCAAATACTTCCTGCTGCTGTTCAGCCATAGCATAATGATGAATCCCAGTTGCTTCATCTCTCAGGGATTCCTAGGACTCAGAGCAAGGCAGTGAGGTCTTCTCTAACCACCTTACTTGGCCATGAAACTCATAAACCATACCATCAGAACCCAACCTCCTTTCTGCTCATGGGAATTCCAGGCCCGGAGGCATCCCACTTTTGGATTGCTTTTCCCTTCTGCTCCATGTATGCCCTGGCAGTGCTGGGAAACATGGTGGTGCTGCTAGTGGTACATTCAGAGCCTGTATTGCACCAGCCCATGTACCTGTTCCTCTGCATGCTATCCACCATTGACCTGGTCCTCTGCACCTCCACTGTGCCCAAGCTCCTTGCACTTTTTTGGGCAAAGGATGCTGAGATCAACTTTGGGGCCTGTGCTGCCCAGATGTTCTTTATCCATGGCTTCTCAGCTGTAGAATCTGGTATACTGCTAGCAATGGCCTTTGACCGCTACTTAGCCATTTGCTGGCCTCTGCACTATGGGTCATTGCTCTCCCCAGAGTCTGTAGGCAAGCTGGGGGCTGCAGCCGTGCTTCGTGGTTTGGGACTCATGACCCCACTCACCTGCTTACTGGCAAGACTGAGCTACTGCAGTCGAGTGGTGGCCCACTCCTACTGTGAACACATGGCTGTGGTAAAGCTGGCTTGTGGAGGAACACAGCCAAACAACATCTATGGCATCACTGCTGCCACACTGGTGGTGGGCACTGACTCCATCTGTATTGCTGTCTCCTATGCACTCATCCTCCGAGCTGTGTTAGGTCTTTCCTCCAAGGAGGCAAGGGCTAAGACCTTTGGCACTTGTGGCTCCCACCTGGGTGTCATACTTCTCTTCTACACACCAGGACTCTTCTCCTTCTACACACAGCGGTTTGGCCAGCACGTGCCCCGGCACATCCACATCCTTCTAGCTGACCTCTACCTGGTTGTGCCACCCATGCTCAACCCCATCATCTATGGCATGAAGACCAAACAGATCTGGGATGGGGCCCTCCGGCTTCTGAAGTGGGGCCCTGCTCAGTCATAAAGTCTTCAACCCCACCCTGAAACCTTTATCTTCTTTGCCCCTCAGCCCTCGGGGGACTGGTGGCTCCCAACATGATAGGACACAGAAACTCATGCTCAATGGTACCCGTACTTCGATAAGGAGCAACAGCAAAGTCAGATGGTGGAAGATCTGTCAGGTGTTTACTTATGTTGTAGATATGGTTACAAAGCTCAGGGAGCCCCTGTCTAATGGGAAATATGGCTACCAAACTGATGATGGCCTCCCAGGGAATCCAATTCTGCATCTGACATTGTTCCTACCTTCCAGAAGATATTGATAAAATGGGAAAGATATAGCTACTGGTCTAACAAGGAGAAATAACCCTCATCCACAGGCAGGTGTTCCTACTCTGATAGGAATACATACATGCCTCCCTTAGCAAGTTCTAACACACCCACACCCATACATAGACTCAGGCAGAGAGGCAGAGACAAGGCACTTAGCAATTAGCCATAGGGATGATAACAACGAAAGGAGGAGAATCCTGGGCAAACTGTCCAGTGTACACAAGAATAAGTAACAAGGTATAATGTCAATCTAGGAAGGTTCTCTGGAGTAGTTTTTATCTTTTCACTGAGCATGAACTATGGGCCAAATATTTTGCTAAAATCTAGGGCAAATTAAGTCAAAGGGCCTCCTCTTGTGATAACTGCTCACTGTTAGAGGAAACACACATAAGGAGACAGTGGCCAAACTGAATCATACTATTTCAGTTGTCCCTCCGTATATGCGGGAGGATTGGTTCCAGGAACCCCATATAAACCAAAATCTGTGCATATTCCAAGTGAGACCTAAGAACAGAAATATACAAAAAGTTGGCTCTCCTTATTTTCAGATTTTATATCCTGCAATTCTGATATTTTTATCTGTGTTTGGTTAAAAATAATCTGCCTATAAGTGGACCTGCATATTTCAAACCCATGTCGTTCAAAGGTCAAACTAATATGATTAGGGTAAACACAGAGACCGTGGGTGTAAGAACACCAACTTGCTCAGAAGAAATGAGGCCCCAGGCCACACCTCATCTCACCCCATCTCTGTATGCAGGTAAGGCCACGCCTGGGTGTAAGTTGCAAGAGCAAAGCCTGATGCGAGATGACATCCTAAGTATTTCCTTCTATGCCCTGGGAGTGGCCTTGTGCAGATTCCACTAAGCATCAAAGTTCCAGGGAAAGACCAAGAATGTAGTAAAAGTCTGATCCAAGGGTGAGAGGATAATTTTCCTAACATCACTGACATTTCTGAGAACATGAAATATGCCAAATGCTATTCTAGGTGTTGGACATACAGTGATTCAGGAAGATAAATTTTTGACAACTTGAATATGGGACCCCAGCAAAACTCCCCTATGTACTCTCAGTGACTCTCCTATTACTCAACCTGAAGCCATCCAAATAATTCTTCCTTCACCCCAGGTCTCACCACAAACGAGTTTAGTAGTCTTAATTTGCCCACAGACACCCCAGGTTGTCAGACAGAGGCCACAGATTAGCCAGTAAATTCTATTCTCCAGGGTCCTTAACTCAAACTGTAGGGGAAGTCAAGAAAACTTACTACATCCTATTTGGGACTATATTGGCTATGGCTGGATTATTTTTTCCAAAGCTCTTTTTTTTAAATGAGGTATAATTTACATAAAATACATCTCTGATAAATACATACACGTCAGTATACACACCATCTTAATCAAGATGCAAAGTATCAGCTGGGCATAGTGGCTCATGCCTGTAATCCCAGCAGTTTGGGAGATTCAGGCCAACAGATTGCTTGAGCCCCACAGTTCGAGATCAGCCTGGACAATATAGCAAGACTTCGTCTACAAAAAAATACAAAAATTAGCCTGTAGTCCCAGCTACTCAGGAGGCTGAGAGGTGGGAGGATCGCTTGAGCCTGGCTGAGTTGAGGCTGCAGTGAGCTGTGATTGCACCACTGCTCTACAGCCTGGGTGACAGAGTGAGATCTTGTCTCAAAAAAAAAAAAAAAAAAATTCACAATCACAAAAGATTCCCTTGTGCTCCTTCCCAGCAATACCTCGACCCTTCATGGAGATAACCATTGTTCTACTGTTTAATTTTTGATCACCTTGGATTAAATTTAATTTACCACTCTAGAAATTCACATAAATGGAATTATACAATATGTATACTTTGTCCGACTTCTTTGGCTCAACATAATGTTTTTGAGATTCATGTTGTGTCCATCAACTGTTAATTTCTTCTTATTGCTAAGTAATTTTCCATTGTATGAACATATCAAAGTTTACTTCTGGATACCTGAGTTTCCCATATTTTACTATTATGAATAAAACTGCTATGAATATTTCTTAACCTAGCAGTGAAATGGCTGGGTCAGAGGTTAATAGAACCTGCTTTTCCAAAATAATCACACCATTTTCTAATCTCACCAGTGATGTATAACAGTTCCCAGCTGTTCTACATCCTGGTCAGTCCTTAATATTGTCATTCTTTTTTTCATTTTAGCCAGTCCATTGACTAAAAGTAAGCTAGTAACTTGTGATTTTAATTTGCATTTCTCTGATGTTGAGCAACTTCTCACATGTTTTCTGTTCATGCATGTGCCTTCTGTAGAATGTTTGTTAAAGTCTTTTGCCCACTTCTAATAAATTTTTTATTTTGTTGATTTGTACTAGCTGTTTATATATTCTGGATTTAAGTCATTTGCCAGACATACATAGTGAAAATATTTTATTCAATTTTGTGACTTGCCTTTTGATTTTTTTTTTAATTTTTTGATACAGGGTCTCACTCTGTTACCCTGGTGGGAGTGCAGTTGGTGCGACCTTGGCTCACTACAACCTCAACCTCCCAGGCTCCAAGTAATCCTCCCACCTCAGCTTCCCAAGTAGCTGGGACTACAGGCATGAGCCACCACACCCAGCTATTCTTTCTTTCTTTCTTTTTTTTTTTTTTTTTTGTAGAGATGCGGTTTTGCCACGTTCCCCAGGCTGGTCTCAAACTCCAGGGCTCAAGTGATCCAACCACCTCAGCCTTCCAAGTGCTGGGATTACAGGCATGACCCACAGCTCCTGACCTCCATTTTCTTACTAGTATCTTTTGATTACAGGAAATTTTTAGTTATGATGAAGTCCAAATAATCAATTTCATTCATGGTTAGTGCTTTGTTTTATGGATTTAGCTTTTAATTTGAGGCCTATGATCCAACATGAATAAAAATTGTGTATGTTATAACCTAGAGTTGAAGATTTATTTTTCACATGAATATTCCATTGTTTCAGAATTATTTGTTAAAGATTTTCTTTTCCAAATTGACTTGCCTTGGCAACTGGATCAAGAAAGTGATCAAGAAAGTGTCAATGCTATACTTTCTTAATAATAGTATTAATAGTAAGTCTCAAAATGGAGTAGTGTAAGTCTTCTAACACTACACTTCCACAGTGGGTCTTATTATTCTGGGTTCTTCGTATTCCCATATATATTTTAAAATCAATTTGTTCATTTCTACAAAAATTGCTAGAGTTTTGATTGTTTGATATTTAATTTTTTAAATTTTATTGTAATGGCTAGGAACTCCAATATATCGTTGAATAAAACTAGTAAAGCAGACATCCTTGTCTTGTTTCTGATATTTTTCTTTTGTTAACACCTCTATTGAGATGATTCAAATATTATACAGTTCACCCATTTAAAGTGTGCAGTTCAGTGGTTTCTAGCATATCCACAGATACATGCAACTGTCACCACAGTAAATTTTAAAACATTTTCCTTACCTCAAAACCAAACCTCATACCCTATAGTTATCACCCTCATATTCTCCTGCCCCACCAGCCCTAAGAAACCACTAGTCTGCTTCCTCCTGCCTCTCTAGATTTCCCTACTCCAGACTTTCATATGAATGAAAACATAATGTACGGTACTTTGGGACTGACTGCTTTCACTTAGCATAATGCTTTGTAGGTTCATCCATGTTGTAGCATATCAGTATGTCATTCCTTTTTCTAGCTGAATAATATTCCATTGTATGAATATATACCACATTTTGTTTATCTATTGATGAGCTGACAGATATTTAGGTTGTTTCCACCTTTTGGCGATTACAGATAATGTGACTATAACATCGTGTACAACTGTTTGTGTGGACATATGTTTTCATTTCTCTTGGGAATATACCTAGAAGTACATTTACTGGTCATGTGGTAACTCTGTTTAACCATTTGAGGAACTGCCAAAGTTATTCTAGAGCAGCTGCACAATTTTACTTTTCTCATACCAGAAGTGTAGGAGAGTTTCAATATGTTCACATCCTAATGCCTGCTATGGTCTCTCACTCTTATATTAACAGCGTTATTGTGAGGTATAATTGATATGCAAAAACTTGTACCTATTTTGTGTAGACAGTTTGAGTTTGGACATATGCCTATATCCACGGGCTTGTTTCTGAAGTCTGGAGGATAGTTTTCAGTCTTTCATGATGAAATACGTTCACGATACACTTCTCACAGATGCCATGTTGAAAAAGTACACACCTATTGAAATTTGTTGCAAGTTTTCATCAAGAGTTGTGTTGAATTTGGTAAATTATTTTTCTTCACATACTTAGGTAACCATCTGGTTTTTCTCCCTTATGCTGCTGATGCAGTATACTATACTTGCTTGTTTTTATTTTTATTTTACTATTTTTTTTTTGAAACGGAGCCTCGCTCTGTTGCCCAGGCTGGAGTGCAGTGGCACAATCTCAGCTCACTGCAACCTCCACCTCCTGGGTTCAAGCAATTCTCCTACCTCAGCCTCCCGAGTAGCTGGGACTACAGGCTTGCACCACCACACCCAGCTAATTTTTGTATTTTTAGTAGACACGGAGTTTTGCCACATTGACCAGGCTGGTCTCAAACTCCTGACCTCAGGTTAACTGTTCCCCTCGGCCTCCCAAAGTGCTGCAAAATACTGCTTATTTTTAAATGTTAAGCTACCTTGCATTCCTGGAATAAATCCCACTTGGTCATGATGTATCATCATATTTATATATTGCTGGATTCAGTTTACTAATATTTTCATAAGGATAGTTACGTTTATGTTCATGATAGGTATTGCTCTTTTAATTTTCTTGTAATTCCATATCAGGTTTTTATATCAGGGTTTTGCTTGTCTCACAAAAATATACTGGAAACTAATCTGTTATACTCTATTTTCTGATAATATTCATGTAACATTTATTTTATTTTTTTAAATATTTGATAGAATTCTGCATGAAAGAAACCTGGGTGTGAAGGGGGGTTTCTTTTTATTTCATGTTCAATTTTTAATGGATAGAGATTTATTAAGGTTTGTATTTTCAAAATTTTTCTATTTGCTCCAAAGTTTCCTCTAAATATAACTGTCAAAATAATATACCAATGTTAGTATAAATGTTCATAATATCCCCTTATTATCCTTTCATTTCTATAGGACTTGTCATGTCTTTTAATTCTTGGTTATTTGTGTGTGCCTTGTCCTGTTCTGTAATGCTAGTTTGTGCAGGAAGGTGTATCCATTTTGTTAATTTTTAGAACCAAATTATGGCTTTTAAAATTTTTGTGTCCATTTTTCTTTGCTTTCTGCTGTTCCCTTTTCTGAATCTCCTCTCATCTGTTTACATTTAATTTGTTCTTCTATTTCTACTTAAGGTGGTAAGTTAGCTTCGATGAGGTCATTTCATGATTTTCAAGCAAAGAGAAACTATTCTCTTTTGTCATTGGGAAGATGGTGCTTCTGCAAGCCTAGAAAGTTCAGAGAAAATATAAAATCCATTGTGTTAGGCTCATATACCCAAATGTCTCATTTCCAGCTCTTAAACTCTCATATTTTCTCTACTATGGAATTTGTTTTGACATAGATGACCTATGGAGGCTGCACATTCAGTCTTCCATATATTTCTGTTGCCCTTAATATCATATTCTGGGCCTGATTTTTCATCAGTCTGTCCTCTGGCTTCAGGAAATTAGTCTCTTTTGAAGCTACTGTGGAGGACTGCCTTTAGCATCATGTTTTAAGTTAAGGGAGTTGAATGGCATGAGCTTATTTTCTTTTTGCAATGCTCCAAATGCCATCAAAATCAGCCACCCACACCACAATCCATAATATTACCATATTCCCAGGCTGATCAAGCATTCATTCTTCCATCTCCTTCCACCTTTACCTCATCCCAATTAACAGTAGGACATCTTTAGTAAATGTACATCACTGTGACAGATGTTTTCACTACTCTGTTTACCATCAGCAGTGTGATCCCTGTTGCTTTCAGACTGGTAGACAGTCAAATGACAAATCCTACCATGAGAGTTTTCTTTCAAGGACCATTCCTCATATTGTTCTTCTTAGCTTGGATTCTCTAGAAAACAGAGCCTGAGACAAAACCACACGTGCAAGCATTATACTGGAGAGTGTATTATCTTTCCAAGAGTGAGAGAAAAAGGGAGTGAGGCAGGGAAGGAATGCATTATTGAGCTGCCACCAACTTAGCCACAAGCTGACTGCTCAGTGCCCCAGATGTCTTCCAAAGGGCTCTCTGGAGCTGCTACACCTCAACACAGACCATATCGGGGGGAAAAGAAACGCAATTTATCCAATGATTCCTTATCTTCCATTAGTTAAAGTCCACACCTATGGTGAATTAATTCCCTTGCACTTCCAAGTTACAAATGTGTCAGTGACCAAGCAAAGCCATAATATTTCATTCCTCAGAAGCAACAGGGAAGCTGTTAAAGCTAAAGGGTGTTACAAACTGAAAGTTTCACACAAAATTCATGTGTGAAAGCCCTTACTCCCAATGTATGTGACTGTATTTGAAGACAGGGCCTTTAGCAAAGTAATTAGGGTCAGATGAGGTCATGATAGTAGGGACTTCATGATGGGATTACTGTCCTTATAAAAAGAGACACCAGAAAGCTTGCTGGTGCTTTCTCCCCACCACATGAGGACATGGTGAGAAGGTGACCATCTGCAAGCCAGGAAAAGAACCCATTCTGGCAAATCACAGACTCAGATTTCCAGCCTCCAGAACTGTGAGAACACAAATTTCAACTGTTTAAGTCACAAAGTCTATGGTATTTTGTTACAGCAGCCTGAGCTGACTAATACAGACAGACATGCAACAATACCAGCAAAGGCATGAGGTACAGTGTATTCACTCATTCTCACAATGTTATAAAGATACCACCAGTGACTGGGTAATTTATAAAAGAAAGTTTAATTGACTCACAGTTCTGCGTGGCTGAGGAGGCCTCAGGAAACTTACAATCATGGTGGAAGGCAAAGGGGAAGCAGGTACCTTCTTCACAAGAAAGCAGGAGAGAGAGCACTATCATGAGAATAGCATGGGGGAAACTGCCTCCATGATCTAATCACCTTCCACCAGGTCCTTCCCTCAACACATGGGGATTACAATTTGAGATGAGATTTGGGTGGGGACACAGACAAACTACATCATACAGCAATGTTAGGATGTGTCAGGAACCATATGAGAGACTGAGAACAGTCACTGCAACTGGACCTGTAGCCTGGGGCAAATACAGAAGCAGTAACAAGAGCAGTTTGGCTCTGCAATCGCAACAGTAGCACAAGCAACACCTAGGGGCCTCTGGCTGCCCAGGTAGCCATCAAGGCAAGTATATGGATCCAAGTTAACACAAACTGAGTTTGGTACCATGAGGAAACAGCTAAAGAGTTTGAGAATGAAAAAAAGTGAGGTAACAGGGGAAAGCAGAAGTACAAAATCTTGGAGAAGTAGTGGTGTTGGGAGTGATCAACAGTGTCAAATGCTACAGCTATAGCAATGGATTGGGTATTGATGTGGTCTGACTCTGTGTCCCCACCCAAATTTCACCTTGAATTGTAATCCGAATTATAATCACCATGTGTTGGGGGAGGGATCTTGCAGGAGGTGATTAGATCATGGGGGTGGTTCCTCCATGCTGTTTTCATTACAGTAAGTAAGTTCTCACGAGATCTGATGGTTTTATAAGGAGCTTTTTCCCCCTTCACTTGGCAGTTTTCTCTCTTGCCATCATGGGAAGGACGTATTTGTTTCCCCTTCCACCATGATTGTAAGTTTCCTGAGGCCTCCCCAGACATGTGGAACTGTCAGACAATCAAACTTCTTTATAAATCACCCAGTCTCAGGTATTTCTTCATAGCAGCATGAGAACAGACTAATACACGTATTAACAAATGGAACTGGCAATATATAGTTCATTGGAACATTGACAAAAGCCATTTCAGTGGAGCTATAGGGCCAAACACCTGATTGGTATGAACACAAGAGACGGTCAAGGAAAGAACTGGTGCAAGTATAGAAAATTATTTCTTTCCAAGTTGTGAGTAAAATTCTTTTGAGTTTTTGTCGTAGGTGAGTTAAAAAGCATGAATAAGACCTACTATTTGATAGCACAACAGGGTGACTATAGTCAATAACTGTACATTTTAGAATAACTAAAAGAGTGTAATTGGATTTTTTGCAACTCAATGGATAAATGCCTGAGGGGACGGATACCCCATTCTTCATGATGTGCTTATTTCACATTGCATACCTATATCAAAACATTTTATTTCTCATAAATAATAAACACCTGTGTACCCACAAAAATAAAAAATAAAATTTAAAAATTCGACTGACTTCTGTCCTATCTCCCTCAAAAGTATTCTCTTATACTGGTCCATGGAAGGAAGTGGTAGGACATAACTTTACTCAAAGGGGCATTTTTCCTTATATTCTTCTAATCCACAAAGCATTCCAATATAAATAAATTTGCATTCATCATAACTTCACATCACTCTGAGTGAATTCACAGCAATTGCTCATTGAATCAGTCACTGTAGGTTTCCTTTTTTTTTCTCTGTAAAGGGAAAAATAGCTCTGTTTTACAGAGGACTATTAGGAAATCATTTTTTCCATGGCCAATCCATGAACAATGTAGGCCATTCTCGGGAAGACTTGGCTTTGAAGAACTTGGGACATGCATCCTGATTTTTATAAGCCTTCTCCTCTTCCTCCTCTTGTCTAGGACCATCCTCCCCTCCAATCCATTGTTAGTAGCCAGGCCTAGCATAAGTGTATGCAAAAAACTTTTCCTTGATCCAAAAATATATAAGGTGAGTCAGTCACTCATTCCCAGTCACCAAAGACCCCACTCAGCTCTAGAGTGTTGCAGACTCAGCATATACTGTCCAGTTAACCCAGGACAAGCGTTGGTAGCTGGAATTATATACATGGAACTTCTTAGACCAGATTTGGATCTTCCCTTTGGAACCTAAAGTCCTTGAGAGGTTCAGTTATGAATTAATAAACCCAGGGCTTCTATAGAGCAGTGTAACCGTGAACAAAATATTTGCATTTGCAACCAACCACACAATTGGCTTTTTCCTCCCAAAATCAAAGTTACCTTATACAAAGTATATAATTACATATAATAATTACATTAATATGTGCTCCCATCTATTGAGCTCAACAAAAAATTATACAATCAATTGCCTTTACCATTTTTGAGGAATTCAGTCTTTCATTTATTCATTCATTTAACACATAAATGGCTTACCATTCTCAGGGCCATGTTAAGCACTAGAGTTAGACAACTCAGGAAAAACAAACATCGTCATCGTGTTTGCAGTGAACAGGCAAGATGGGCACTAATCAAATAACCACACAAACATACATAAAATGGGTTCTCTGTCGGTTTTAGTGCTTTATATATATTTGTATTTAAATCCTCACAACCTCTCTATGAGGTAAGTATCCCCACATTATAACGATGAGAAAATGGAGACTCAGAGAGAGAAAGTGACTAACTTAAGATCACACAGTTGGTATGGGCTGGAGCTGAGATTTTTTTAACTGAGGTTTTCTGCATGGGTGGGTGGCAGTCTGATTAGCATAAGAATTTAGAGCAGGAGCTTTAGATTTATATACACTGACGTTTTAAAAAAAAAATTCCGAAATCTAAAATCCACTGTATATCATACCCTAATAATCTTTAACTGGGTAAACTAGTAGCAAAGCTTTTTAGAGACCATCTCAGGACTCCCTTTGTGTCACTCTCAGATACTACAGTACTGTAGCTATTTGGCCTGTGAGGCAAAAGAAGGCATTATGAGACATGCCGAGATGCCTGCACACTGAAAGTAAAGTTGTAGAGGCATAGACCCCCATATCCCTTCCAGCTCTTGAGGTCAATGCAGTCATGAAATGGCCAGCAAGGAAAATGGTCATGCATGGGGATAGAGATTAAGGGTGGGTGGGAGCAGTGTCCAAGCTCAGAGCTGTTGTGGATAAAAGACAAATATGACAACGCCCAAGATCCCTACAATGCTAGATCGGATATCTAATATCCAAGCTTTATTCTGGTAATCCTCTGAATGGGAATTGTCCAGCCTGAGCTCAGGGCTCTGTATTCTTTTAACTGTGAAGGATGCCTGTGGTCTTGAATACCATCATATCAGCCTAAGGTTTCTGATAGAGGTTGGAGGGAACCTCAGTGAGATGGACATGCTGGCTCCCTGATCAGAAACTTTGTTATTGGGGTGGTAAGTGAAGCAGACAGAAGGGCCTGAATAACACTCTTGCTTATTCAGCTTAAGATCTGTGGCCCTGATAAAAAAAAAAAAAAACCTTGCTGTGTAAATGTACAAGATATCTTTTCAAGTGACCTCCTTTTCCAAAGTGGCTGGTCAAACTGGATATAATGAAACTTTTTGTTGGCTACTACTAGATACCATGATAACTTTAAATTCATGATTTGCTATCCTTGTTACTTGAGCTCTATGGGCAGGATCTGTGACTTCAGATATATCTATCTGCATTGGCAGTGGCCTCCTAGTTTCTGATAGGCACAGGACCCTGAGTTCCTTGGAACCCATACTACAACGGCCAATGAAATACAATCCAGCAGGGGAAACAACCATTCCAACTAGAGCTGCTTGCACAGGATTCACAGCTCCCACCCTGCCTTCTTGCCTCCAAATTCCTCATTCTCTCTTGTCTGAATTCATTAAAATTACACACAAAAATGACCACAATCATTAAATTCCCATTTGTCTGGATGGCCATAGAAATAGACACTGTACCTTCTAACAGCTCTATCATCACTTCTTTTAAATTCGAGTGGTTTTCCACTAGGAATATCCCTATTTCAATTCTTCAAGAAACTTACAAATATTTTAGAACTGAGCAGGCCAAGGGATATGATAGTGCTGAAGTGAGACATCCTTCAGTTTCTGGGTAAACTTCCTTCTAGAAGTTTGGAAGCAGCTTTGGAAAAAGCACCACAATAAACACAGCTCTCCTCTCTGAGCTGCATCCTTAGAGAAAGTCTTCGACCATGTGTTATAGAGAATTACACCTTGTCCCCAGTCTCTCTGACATCCATCTTTATCTCATTCCATTCTAGTTTATCAACTGCGTGTTATCCCCACAGGCCTCAGACATTCAGATGGCTCAGTCCCCTACCTTCCTGAGGATCCACTGTCAAGAATTTTTTGCTCCTGCATCTACCCTACCCATTTATTCTACAATATGTATTGAGCACCTACTGTATGATAGACATTGAACTTGGAGCTGGGAATATATCAGTGCACAAAATAGCCCTGCATCCCTGGACTCATGGAGCTGACATCCTAGCAGATCATCAACTGTGAAAGTGGACTACTAGTCCACCCTTATCATTGGTACCTGAGAAACTAGCACTATCCAGAAATTATAGTGAGCAACTTCCCTAGGCTTGGCAATGCCAAACTTTCTGTAATGCACGATCAGAAATGCATAAAGAATCAAGAGGAAACTACCACTCCTTAATCTGTAAATAACTGCAAATAAATTTGGCATGTACACTGTTGCCATACATGTTTCCCTACCACCCACCACCCTTTTTCTGATTCTTGTTATATGAGCTGGTTAAAATTAAATTTGGGAAAAGAAGGCCAGTATTAAGGTGAATATAGTTTACTATAGCTCTTCCTTAGGCTTATAAATCAAATGAGAAAGAAAAATCCAGGGGAGGGGAGGGAAGGAGAGAGGTGCCTGTACAGGTAGATACACACACACATTCTCTCGGTTTGGTTAAGCCCTCTGGATAAGAAGATATTACAGCATATATGAGTTTGAGATAGTTCAGCTCTAATCAGAGCAATGAGAAGATTATCAAGGTGATACTTGAATAAGGCTTACAACACTTTTAGTCTCCAAAAACTGTAACACAGCTGAATCACTCAAAAACCTCAAAAATTAACTCTCCGCAACCACTCCTCCCCTACCCCAAATCTCAGGGTCATGTGTCAGGGTCCTTCTGCTATTCTAGAAAGCATCAATCCTCTTCTGCTGGAAGTGCTTTAGGAGGCTCTGACGGATCTGCCTAGACTTGATGCAATACACAATGGGGTTCATGAAGGGTGGGACCAAGAAGTGTAGGTTGGCCATGAGCACTGCCAGAGCAGGGTAGTCATGCTTCTTTACTCGGTGCAAGACAGACAGCCCGTTTGGGCAAATAAAAGATGAGAACAATGCAGAGGTGTGAGACACACGTGTTGAGTGCCTTGAGCCGCTCCCCAGGTGATGCAATGCCCAGCACAGTTCATAGGATCAGGGCATATGAAAGCATGATGAGGAAGGAGTCAAGGCACAGTGAGAAGAGGATGGAAACCAGGCCAACCAGGCTATTGATCTGGGTGTCTGAGCAGGCCAACCCCACAAGGTCACAGTGCAGGCAGTAGCAGTGACAGAGAGCGCTGATCTTGGGAAAGAGCAGCTGCTGCAGGAGGATAGGTCCCGGGAGGTTGAGCAGAACAGCCCTCACCAGAATGGCAGTTCCCACCTCGGCTGTGACTGAGCAGGTAATGATTATGGCATAATGCAGAGGGTCCCGGATGGCAATAAAGCGATCGAAGGCCATGGCCAGCAGTACACCGGACTCCACATAGGTGAAGGTATGGATGAAGAACATCTGTGCTGCACAGAGATCAAAGGGCAGCTCACGAGCTCCCAGCCAGAAGAGACGCACCATAGTGGGGAAGGTAGAGGCACAGAGGCCCAGATCAGAGGCTGCCAACATGGACAGGAAGATATACATGGGTTCATGTAAGGCTGGATCTGTGTGGATCAGGAAGAGGATGATATTATTACCCAGGATGGAAACCACACAGAAGAGGTTGATGGGGATGGAAACCCAATGATGAGAGGCTTCCAGGCCTGGAAAACCAGTGAGGAGGAAGGTAGACTGACCAGAAGTGCTGGTGTTGCAGGAGAACATAGAGATTCCAGGCAGTAGTTGTCCACCCTAGGAGTAAGAAGCATTGTTCATTTGATCATTACTTATAAAGTCCCTAGTAAGTGTGGGCTTGAGAAAGAAGAGCTACCTCATAACCCTTTCTTAGGCTATGAAACAAACTCCATTCATTTTAGGAGCTCTATTTCCTTCTGTTTCCTGAGCTTTTGGGCTTGAATAAAATGATATAGCACTTTATTCTATTTTTATTCAAAAAGAGAAAGTTTCTGAGTTGATCTCTGCTTACTGCTTATGGCTATTTCATTAGCCACTATTTTCCCTTTGGCCTAAACAATCTTTTTTTTTCATTTGTTAAACCTAAAAGTCTCCCACTCCAGAGTGTCTTCTCAGACTAAAAACTGAAGAAAGGAGAATAATTTTATGTAGAAATTTAAAATTATATTAGAAACAAGTTTAAAATCCACTTCTACTTATTCTTAGAGGTGAGTTTTCCAGTCTGACAGATCTGTTAACAAATACACCATAAAAGCCAAACTCAAACAAATGAGGTATTTTCAAAACCATCCTCTTAGAAGGCTGGTTGCATATTCCTCTAGTGCGGTCATAGAACCAATATTTTCTGTATTTCTTTTCTAGAAATGCCTTTGGGGCCCAAAACAGGTTCTTTAAATGTGCTTAATGATGAAATTTATTTCCTATGAAGATGAACTGGCTTAAAGGAAGTAGTCAATAGTTCTTGATATTAAGAACTGGTAAACAAGATAGTAGTTTACCAGACACATTCAATTTTGTTAATCTGCTTCTTTACCAACTCTACTTTCACTTTATAAGCTGCTTAAAGCTTGCATGTTTTATTCTGGCCCTACCTTCAAAACAGTCCTGTGGCCATAAACTCAATTAGAAGGAACTTTCCTCTTAAATATCTCTTCTTCAGCCCTCCTACTATGAAACTTGTTATGATAGGGCCAAGTACTCTGAAGTACTCCCACATTGGGGGCAGAAGGTGGAGGCTGACATATCTTGAGGCGCATCCCCTGAAGGGTCAGGCAGAGCATCATAAACTTCCAGAACCCCAGGGTTAATCATGTTATTCCATGGAGGTCAAAGTGCAGTGTGTGAGCTCATCTGTTCTAATAAACTCACATAGCACTTTCAGGCTACACTTTCTTTCCAACTTCTCTCCTTAAAACAGGACTACATCTCCATTTATCTCCTAAGCATCTCACATGGTGACTCTGCAAGATATTAAATCTATATTGCAAACCAAACTCTAATTCCCCCACATCTCCCCAAAGCTCACCATTCAGCACTTGTTGGCTAGTGCCTCCCTTCCTTTCCTGTTATCTGTGAAATACCAAAAAACTAAGACAACTTTGTATATCCTTTTACTTGTAACATATTCTCCAAATCGACTATCTTTAAACTATTCCTTCCTTTTAGATCCCAGTGAAACTAATCTGGCTGAATAATCACCATTTTCCTGGATATTATAGCAGCTTAACTGTCTCACTTTCTTCTGTCTTTCTGCATTCTGACAAAAGTCCAAATTTCCATACTTGTCATTTCATAAATATTTCTAAGTTGTCAGCAAAATATTTATGAAATGACAAATATGGACATTTAAGCTAGTATATGTATACAGAGAAAAAATGGTGATCAAATTTATATTAGGAAGATGTTTTCTATCATAACTGTGTTTATGATCACTGGTAGTTTCCTGATACCTGCAGGATCAGATCTAAGCAAGAGCTTTATACTAAATCCAGAAGAGGAAAGGCCTTGTCCATTCGGCATGTCTAGTCTTTTCAATCACCTCTTCCCTAAGTATTAGGAACTCTATTCTTAAGACATCTTTTGACTCACCAAATTCACCATATTTGACCATTTCAAAAATATTTTTATTTAAATGTAGCATACACATAGAAAAGTATGCATACCATAAATGTAAATCTTAATGAATTTCCACAAAGTGAATACACCCATGTGATAAACACCCAGATCTATAAACAGGATATTGTCATCCCCCCCCCCCAAAAAAAACCCATGAATTCTTTCAGTCAATCTATCCCCTCAGTGATAATCACTATTTAATCCCACAGATTAACTTTGCCTATTTTTGAACTTTCTATAATTAGAACCATAGAGTAGGTACTCATTTGTCATTCACTAAACTTTGTCTGTGAGATTCATCCATATTGCTTCATATAGCTATAATGTATTCATTCCCATTGCTGCATAATTTTTCCTTGGATGAATATACCACTATATATTTATCCATTCTATCATTAATAGATATTTAGGTCATTTCAAGTGTGGAACTATTATAAATAGTGTTGCTGTGAACACTCAAATATATATCTTTTATGAATGCGTTTGCAGTTCTGTTGAGTATTACCTAGGAATGAAATTGATTTATCATAAGCTATGCATACATTCAGCTTTCACATATTCTTCCAAACAGCTTTCAAAAGTGATTTACCAATTTATACCCACACCAACACTGTAGGAGAGTTTGATTATTCCACATCCTCATCAATACTTTGGTTGGTCTTTTTAATTACAGCTATTCTATGGGTGTGTAATGGTATTTTCTTGTGGTTTTAACGTATATTTCCTTGATTTCTAATAAAGTAAGCAGCTTTCCATATGTTTACTATTTGAATATATTCTTTTAGGAAGTTTTCAGTCTTTTACTCATTTTTCTATTGGGTCGCCTGCATTTTTCATATTGCTTGTATGTGTTCTCTATTCTGAATAACCACTGTACATTTTATGTGTTTAAGTGGCTGGGCCACTTTCTAATTGCCATTTTATGAAAGTTATATAACCTTGACAGGTTTCTATTTCCTGAGTCTGTTTTCAATAGCTTTGTGCATGAACCAGCTTAATCCTGTAGTTACAGGCCTCACATAATGCCTAACACTTAGTGTATTCATCACAGTATTAGTTCGCTTCACTTTTATATTCAGTGAAAGTCTAAGACTCCTTCAGGGCACTTGTTTATAAAGGAAAGATAAGCCATTGGACAATATCAAAATTCCATCATTCCCTCTTCTGCACCTGTCCTTCAGACATGTCTTCTGAGTAAACTGTGGGGATACAACTGGCTAAGGAAGTGTTCCTAGAGGGAGTCATTTACCTGTCGGCATCCTCCAGTGTCCCCAAGCTGGGTTCAGTGCATGTCTCCATCAAACACAAGTCACACCACAGTCTAATTATTATACATTGGAGCAATTATCAAGGTCAGGGCATTGTGTAATACTGCTGCTTTCTGTTAGTTATGATGATTATTAACGTTGTTAATGCTGAAAATATCCATCCCTAAGCAAGATGAAATAGGAAGAAGTATTTACAAGATGTTCTCCTATACCACTCCTGCCTCCTCCCTGACCACTTACATGCATCTGTCCTTGAGGGTCCCCAGAGAAAAGTCCTAAGACTGTAACGGGCCCATGTGCTTATTGACCGTCCCTGTGTTGCATACTGTGTGAGTTTAATTAAAGACTCATAGCTTAGGAAGAAAAAATTCTCCTCAAAGCTGTAATCTCCTGAGAGAACAATAGAAAAACATGATAAACTGTGGAAAGAAAAAACAATGGAGATAGATGGAGATAGAGGATACATGGATGATGAATAGATTGATAGATGGATCAATAGATAGATTGATGGATGGATAGGTAGATGGATGGTAGCTAAGTAGTTGCATGATAGGTAGGTGGGTGATAGGTAGATAGATAGACTAAACAGACCCCTCTAAGGAGATGGAATAAAATTAAACTACAGTCTCTGCCCCTGTACCATCTTACTCATCCAGTTTCCAAAAGACCATGAATAGTGCAAAGACTATTTCTTTCTCTAATCAGGTGAAATCTATCCCCAAGAGCCAAGATAGGAGTCACTACAAGGAGATGACCCAGATTAGAGAAGGTTGGGGACCCTCCTCCACCAAGAAGCTTTCTATGGCAACCAGTACTCAAGGGAATGTGAGGCTTTTAAGCCTCTGGCCTTGCCAGCTGAGTCCTGGGGCCAAGAAGAAAGTTACAGAAAAATGGGCCCTAGAACTGCATCCCTAGCCTAGCTAAGACTGTCAGGAGCTGGGAGCCCACATTTTCCCCAAGCCCATGACGCTGTTGTGCGTTAGCCAAAATTAGGTCTAATCCTGCTCTGCTCAGAAATAAGCTTAGCATAAACCTGCCCAGGCCAAGTACCTGTATCCAGGAAGTCACAAGCTCTCCACAGGGTCCCCAGCTCCCTCCAGAACAACTCAGACCCCCTCCACCCATGTTGCTTCAAACAGACAGCTTTATGTCATAGGGATGAACGCAGGATGTGTGGGGAAGGTTCCTTTTCTCCACAGCTCCTTCCTCCCCACACCATTTAAAAACTGAGAAATACTAAGGAGTTGCCATTGGGTTTTAACACAGGACTTGGATCCTGAAAGCTATCAATGAAATCGCAGTGAGATCTGACTAAAATAAAACTGGAGCTTCTCCAAGGGTTTTAGTTTATGTATAGAATTAAGATCCATATAGAAAAAAAATCATTATTAAATAAATCTGAACCTATTTTGTTAAATTCTGTGCTTTAATCTCTTTAAATATTTTTAAACAGTAGATCCTCTTTAAATCTGACCATAGAAATATTGTCTCACTTTCATAGTTGGCAACCAAAATCCTTGATTAAATTTAACTGGTGAAGCCAGGGTCTGGAGTGGATCAGGAATATCTCTAGTATTGAAAGACATTAAATTTTAAGTGACAGATGGGTGGATGGATGGATAGATAGATAGATAAATAGACTCAGCCTCGTACAGAGGCCTTTGTATGTAAATCACTGGCTCCTGTGAATTTTTGTAACCTGGCCTTCTGTCATCTTCCCTCCAGAGTACAGATACTGCTAATCTATCTATTAGCTGCTGAGATATTTGCAAATGTAATCTCTCTTTAACTTCCTTGAATATTTTTAATAGCACAAATAATGTGTAGTTTATTAAAAGCATGCATCTCATATTGGCATTTCAAAGGTTGGGACAGGTTGGTATATTTTATATATTTTATCCTAGGTAGGCAGCACAGGGTTAGAAGTGTGTGCTCTAGACCCAAACTGTCTGAGTTTAAATCCTGGCTTTACTACTTATTAATTGTAAGACGGTGGGCAAATTTATTAACTCTTCTATGTCCTGTGTTCTTGTCCTGAGGGAAATAAGAGAACTTCTGTCATTGAGTGGCGGTGAGGTTAAAGGAGCTCATGAAGAAATCCTAAGACCTGAATAAGTGGTAACAATGATCAGCTATTACATAGCTGACAGCCTTCTGACTTGAGTTAGCCTAGGATAAGATGGAGGGTGGCTCCCCTCTGTCCCTCCTCAAACTAGTCAGAATATGTCATCGAAGGGGAGGTTTCATCAAAGCAGCTAGACCCAAGGTTGAGGCAGAGTCCATACTGTAGGCCTGTTTCTGTCCCACAAGCAGAAGTCCCACAGTAGGATTCAGGACACCTATCAAATTCAGCCTATGCTACGAGCAGCCACCGCAGATGAACCTGGAGGACCATAGATACATTGTTTTTCTCATATTTGACCAGTTGGTTGAGGATTGAAGAGGAACATCGTTGCCTTTAATCATGAGATGACCATGTTCCTGGATCATCAAGGAATAGTCCAGCCCAAAAAAGGTAATGTTGTGATAACAGTCCATCACAAATACCCACCCAAACTCATTATTTTATAAGAAGGAGGATCAGTAAAGGCCTTAAGTAACTCTCTCTTCTCAGGTTATGGAAGGACCCGAAGCTGCCCACCCTAAACAGATTCCATTCAGGCCAGTGGTCCAAGGCCTCAGAGCTCAGGCTCCCCAGCCCAGACCCCAGATTTGACACTCTAGCCCCTGAACTTACCACACCTCCAGAGCTTGTATCTCCTCTCATCTGTTTCTCTGTGAAAGTAATTCTTGCTGTGTCAGTAAAAGTCAACACTTTATAATCCTCTTGATGGAGGTAGGGAAATAACAGGTCTGCTGGGATCCAGGTGCAAATCCAAGAGATTTCCACAATTTAACTTCCTGAACCCCCTGAGTTCTGAGCCAGGCAGCTCTGGGACATGGAAGGATGCATCAGGCAGTGTATCCTAATGATTCACACCTGAGGATTTTTCTTAGAGGGCACCAGAAGGATATTAAGATGTCCCATGGCTGGAGGCAGTGGCTCACACCTGTAATCCCAGCACTTTGGGAGGCTGAGGCGGGCAGATCACAATGTCAGGATATCGAGGCCATGCTGGCTAACACAGTGAAACCCCGTCTCTACTAAAAATAGAAAAAATTAGCCAGGCGTGGTGGCAGGTGCCTGTAGTCCCAGCTACTTGGGAGGCTGAGGCAGGAGAATGGCGTGAACCCGGGAGGCAGAGCTTGCAGTGAGCCAAGATTGTGCCACTGCACTCCAGCCTGGGTGACAGAGCGAGACTCTGTCTCAAAAAAAAAAAAAAAAAAAAAAAAAAAGATGTCCCATACTGCGTACCTCCTCTTTCCAAAGAGCCAGGCTATGAATTGCCTGGTGGCAAATGGAGGCTAGTTGGGGGAAAGAGGATGGTTAGAGACTGAGACACACTCTGTCCTTTAGGGATAACAGAGGCCATGAGTAATTCCTGCTTCTAGAAAGAATGAACACAGGCTCTTTTCAAATTCTGCCAAAGAGATATCAGGCAGTGTAGCCAAAGAGATGTGCATGAGTGCTTTAAACACAAGAGCAAGTTAGCGAAGAGAAAAGAGCTTCTCTGTCTAACTTTATGCCTGTACCTAGAGAATGTAGGTGACTGAAAATCTATATTGATAAAGCAATATCCCTTTCTCCCAGTAACACCTTTGGAGATTATTTATCAAGCATAATATAGTGAAAAAGCCACGATCTATTTCAGAATCTGTCACTTGTCAACTGTGAGCAAATTATCTCCTTGAGCCTCTTATTCTTTATTCATAAACTAGGGATGATGGTTATTTCATGAGATCATTGTTAGTATTATATTAGAATATACAAAGGGTGCAAAAAAAAAAAAAAGCTTGCAAGCTCCACACATAACTTCCTCTCCAATAGGAAACTGAGAACTGGTTCAATAACCTGTCTGGATTCCTCTATGGCCAGCATGTCATACTAACCCTCCCCCACAATTCATGGTCAGAGCTTGTTTTTGTTTTTTTTTTAATAAGTTTTATTCTGGAATAATTTTAGATTTACAAAAAAGTTACAAATATAGTTTACGGAGTTTCTGAATGTCCTTCACCCATTTTCCTTAATGTTAACATCTTACAGAACCATAGTACATTAGTCAAAACCAAAGGACTAATATTGGTACATCGCTATTAACTAAAGTCCACACTTTATTTGGATTTCACCTGCTTTTCCAATGTCTTTCTTCTGTTCCAGGATCCAATCCAGGATATCAAATTGCATTTACTCATTATTTCTCCTTAGTGTCCTCTGGTCTGAGATGGAAGTTTCTCAGTTTTTCCAAGGTTTCCATGACCTTGAGAGTCTTGAAGAACACTGGCTAGGTATTTTACAGAAGATCAGAGCATTTAATTAACCAACTTCAGCTATCACTTCCTCCTCCATTTCTAGGATGGAGAGGACAATCTAGAGTTGAAAGGCTTTGCTACAGATGTCCTTTGTTTCACTGCAGGTCCCAGTGTGTCCTGGAGATTAGGGAAGAGAAAATTTCAAAGTTCAGTCTGCTCAAGTCCCTTAGTTCCTGAGATCATCCAAGTTGTCCTTCCAACCTGGAGACCAATCTCAGACCTCCGTGGGCTGCAACCCAATACAGGCATTCTCGTATCTGTCACACATCCTATGTTCATGCATTGAAATTTAAGTCAGAAATTTCACAGGTTCTTAACAAGTTTCAGTCTCTAAAGTTAATAAGAAATTTTTAAAGGATTTGTATGTGTATTTTGCTGAAATACTTCAGAAGTATTTAACTTCTCTCTGATGAAATATTTTCTTTAGCTTCTCTACAGCCTGTCTCTAGAATCCTTCATTTGCCTTAAAACTAATAAATGTGGCCACAGTCAGATTGTCTGTCACATCTGGGATATGAGAGAAAATGATAAATGGAAGTAGACAGGTGAAACACAAGATCAATTCTATCTGCTCGTATGGAGACTACTGCCATTCACCCACTTCAGCCATCCCCTCGTCCTCAATCTCCAACATAGAGAGGGTAGCCTACAGGTGAAAGGCTCAGTTACAGATGTCCTGGAACTCTGCAGTTCTCTCTGTTTCACTGCAGTCCCAGTGTGTTTTCTTCATTCTAAAATCTACATTTTCAATAGTCTTTTCAGTGGTTCACAAAATTGGGGTTTCTTTATGCACTGTGCTTTACTTAGAGGTTAACCAGGTACCAATTCTGTTCTCAAGCAGCTATGACCCTAAAACACAGTAAACCATATGTGAAAACTGAATTGCTACATTACACTACACCCTAGCCAATAACAGAGAAATAAGACTTTGTGTAAGAGAGGATGGTATTGGAGACTTTGAGGATGTGTTAGCCTTAAATATATAGACATAAAAGTCTTGCCAGCATTGTAGTTAACTGGATATGAAATCAGACAGAACTAAAACTCCTTATTAGCCAAGTGGCCCCAGAATAGATACTGAGCCTCTAAAAGTATCAGTTTCCACTCTATAAAATTGAGATACTAAAACAATCTGGAGCGGTTTAAGTGACATGTTATATACAAAACAGTGGGCCTTATTTTTCACTGTTTCAGCATCTTTTTTATTATACTTTATTTTAAGTTCTGGGATACATGTGTAGACCATGCAGGTTTGTTACATAGGTATACATATGCCATGGTGGTTTGCTGCACCCATCAACCCATCATCTACATTAGGTTTTTCTCCTAATGCTATCCCTCCCCTAGCCCCTCACCCCCAGACAGGCCCCTGTATTGATGTTTCCCTCCCTGTTGCCATGTGTTCTCCTTGTTCAACTCCCACTGATGAGTGAGAACATGTGGTGTTTGGTTTTCTGTTCCTGTGTTAGTTTGCCGAGAATGATGGTTTCCAGCTTCATCCATGTCCCTGCAAAGAACATGAACTCATCCTTTTTTATGGCTGCATAGTATTCCTCGGTGTATATGTGCCACATTTTCTTTCTCCAGTCTATTACTGATGGGCATTTGGGTTGGTTCCAAGTCTTTGCTATTGTGAATAGTGCCACAATAAACATATGTGTGCATGTGTCTTTATAGTAGAATGATTTATAATCCTTTGAGTATATACCCAGTAATGGGATTGCTGGGTCAAATGGTATTTCTGGTTCTAGATCCTTGAGGAATCACCACACTGTCTTCCACTAATTTACACTCCCACCAACAGTGTAAAAGCGTTCCTGTTTCTCCACATCCTCTCCAGCATCTGTTGTTTCCTGACTTTTTAATGATCAGCATTCTAAGTGAGATGGTATCTCACTGGGGTTTTGATTTGCATTCCTCTAATGACCAGTGATGATGAGCTTTTTTTCATATGTTTGTTGGCCACATAAATGTCTTCTTTTGAGACATTTATATCCTTCTGTCTGTTCATATCCTTTGCCAACTTTTTAATGGGGTTGTTTTTTCTTACAAATTTAAGTTCCTTGCATATTCTGGATATTAGCCCTTTGTCAGATGGATAGATTAAAAAAATTTTCTCCCATTCTGTAGGTTGCCTGTTCACTCTGATGATTGATAGTTTCCTTTGCTGTGCAGAAGCTCTTTAGTTTAATTAAATCACATTTGTCAATTTTGGCTTTTGTTGCCATTGCTTTGGTGTTTTATTCATGAAGTCTTTGCCCATACCTATGTCCTGAGTGGTATTGCCTAGGTTTTCTTTTAGGGTTTTTAATGTTTTTAGGTCTTACCTTTAAGTCTTTCCTTTATCTTGAGTTAATTTTTGTAAAAGGTGTAAGGAAGGGATCCAGTTTCAGTTTTCTACATATGGCTAGCCAGTTTTCCCAACACCATTTATTAAATAGGGAATCCTTTCCCCTTCCCCATTGCTTGTTTTTGTCAGGTTTGTCAAAGAGCAGATGGTTGTAGATGTGTGGGATTATTTCTGAGGGCTCTGTTCTGTTCCATTGGTCTATATCTCTGTTTTGGTACCAGTACCATGCTGTTTTGGTTACGGTAGCCTTGTAGTACAGTTTGAAGTCAGGTACCATGAGGCCTCCAGCTTTGTTCTTTTTGCTTAAGATTGTCTTGGTTATACAGGGTCATTTTGGTTGCATATGAACTTTAGTTATTTCTAATTCTATGAAGAAAGTCAAGGGTAGCTTGATGGGAATAGCACTGAATCTGTAAATTACTTCGGGCAGTATGGCCATTTTCACAATACTGATTCTTCCTACCCATGAGCATGGAATATTTGTCCATTTGTTTGTGTCCTCTCTTATTTTCTTGAGCAGTGGTTTGTAGTTCTCCTTGAAGAGGTCCTTCACATCCCTTGTAAGTTGGATTCCTAGGTATTTTATCCTCTTTGTAGCAATTGTAAATGGGAGTTCACTCATGATTTGGCTCTCTGTTTGTCTGTTCTTGGTGTATAGGAATGCTTGTGATTTTTGCACATTGCTTTTATATCCTGAGACTTTGCTGAAGTTGCTTATCAGCTTAAGGAGATTTTGGGCAGAGACGATGGGGTTTTCTAAATATCCAATCATGTCATCTGCAAACAGAGACAATTTGACTTCCTCTTTTCCTAATTGAATACCCTTTATTTCTTTCTCTTGTCTGATTGCCCTGGCCAGAACTTCCAATACTATGTTGAATAAGAGTGGTGAGGGCATCCTTGTCTTGTACCAGTTTTCAAAGGGTATGTTTCCAGCTTTTGCCCATTCAGTATTATATTGGCTGTGGGTTTGTCATAAATAGCTTTCATTATTTTGAGATACGTTCCATCAATACCTAACTTATTAAGAGTTTTTAGCATAAAGGGTGTTAAATTTTATCATAGGCCTTTTCTGCATCTATTGAGATAATCATGTGGTTTTGTCGTTGGTTCTGAAAGAGATACAGACGCAAAAAACCCTTCAAAAAATCAATGCATACAGGATCTGTTTTTTAAAAATAACAAAATAGTTAGACTGCTAGCCAGAGTAATAAAGAAATGAGAGGGGGGTGGAGCCAAGATGGCCAAATAGGAACAGCTCCAGTCTACAGCTCCCAGCATGAGTGACGCAGAAGACGGGTGATTTCTGCATTTTCAACTGAGGTACCAGGTTCATGTCACCAGGGAGTGTCGGAAAGTGGGTGCAGGACAGTGGGTACAGTGCACCCAGCATGAGCTGAACCAGGGCAAGGCATAGCCTTACCCAGGAAGCCCAAGGGGTCAGGGAATTCCCTTTCCTAGTTGAAGAAAGGGGTGACAGACGGCACCTGGAAAATCGGGTCACTCCCACTCTAATACTGTGCTTTTCCAATGGTCTTAGCAAATGGCATACCAGGAGATTATATCCCGTGCCTGGCTTGGAGGGTCCTATGCCCACGGAGCCTCACTCATTGCTAGCACAGCAGTCTGAGATCAAACTGCAAGGTGGCAGTGAGGCTGGGGGAGGGGCGCCCGCCATTGCCGAGGCTTGAGTAGGTAAACAAAGCCGCCAGGAAGCTCAATCTGGGTGGAGCCCACTGCAGCTCAAGGAGGCCTGCCTGCCTTTGTAGACTCCACCTCTGGGGGCAGGACATTGCCAAACACAAGGCAGTAGAATCCTCTGCAGACTTAAATGTCCCTGTCTGACAGCTTTGAAGAGAGTAGTGGTTCTCCCAGCATGCAGCTGGAGATCTGAGAATGGACAGACTGCCTCCTCAAGTTGGGTCCCTGACCCCCAAGTAGCCTAACTGGGAGGCACCCCCCAGTAGGGGCGGACTGACACCTCACATGGCTGGGTACTCCTCTGAGACAAAACTTCCAGAGGAACGATCAGGCAGCAACATTTGCTGTTCACCAATATCTGCTGTTCTGCAGCCACCGCTGGTGATACCCAGGCAAACACGGTCTGTAGTGGACCTCCAGCAAACTCCAACAGACCTGCAGCTGAGGGTCCTGACTGCTAGAAGGAAAACTAACAAACAGAAAGGACATCCACACCAAAATCCCATCTGTACATCACCATCATCAAAGACCAAAGGTAGATAAAACCACAAAGATGGGGAAAAACAGAGCAGAAAAACTGGAAACTCTAAAAATCAGAGTGCCTCTCCTCCTCCAAAGGAACACAGCTCCTCATCAGCAATGGAACAAAGCTGGATGGAGAATGACTTTCATGAGTTGAGACAAGAAGCCTTCAGACTATCAAACTACTCCAAGCTAAAGGAGGAAGTTCAAACCCATGGCAAAGAAGTTAAAAACCTTAAAAAAATTAGACGAATGGCTAATTAGAATAAACAATGCAGATAAGCCCTTAAAGGACCTGAAGGAGCTGAAAACCAAGGCATGAGAACTACATGACGAATGCACAAGCCTCAGTAGCTGATTCGATCAACTGGAAGAAAGGGTATCAGTGATGGAAGATCAAATGAATGATATGAAGCGAGAAGTTTAGAGAAAAAAGAATAAAAAGAAATAAACAAAGCCTCCAAGAAATATGGGACTACGTGAAAAGACCAAATGTACGTCTGACTGGTGTACCTGAAAGTGACAGGGAGAATGGAACCAAGTTGGAAAACACTCTGCAGGATATTATCTAGGAGAACTTCCCCAATCTAGCAAGGCAGCCCAACATTCAAATTCAGGAAATACAGAGAATGCCATAAAGATACTCCTCGAGAACAGCAACTCCAAGACACATAATTGTCAGATTCACCAAAGTTGAAATGAAGGAAAAAATGTTAAGGACAGCCAGAGAGAAAAGCCAGGTTACCCACAAAGGGAAGCCCATCAGACTAACAGCTGATCTCTCAGCAGAAACTCTACAAGCCAGAAGAGAGTGGGGGCCAATATTCAACATTCTTAAAGAAAAGAATTTTCAACCCAGAATTTCATATCCAGCCAAACTAAGCTTCATAAGTGAAGGAGAAATAAAATACTTTACAGACAAGCAAATGCTGAGAGATTTTTGTCACCACCGGACTGCTCTAAAAGAGCTCCTGAAGGAAGCACTAAACATGGAAAGGAACAACCAGTACCAGCCACTGCAAAAACATGCCAAATTGTAAAGACCATCAAGGCTAGAAAGAAACTGCATCAACTAATGAGCAAAATAACCAGCTAACATCATAATGACAGGATCAAATTCACACATGACAATATTAACCTTAAATGTAAATGGGCTAAGTGCTTCAATTAAAAGACACAGACTGGAAAATTGGATAAACAGTGAAGACCTATCAGTGTGCTCTATTCAAGAAACCCATCTCATGTGCAGAGACACACATAGGCTCAAAATAAAGGGATGGAGGAAGATCTACCAAGCAAACGGAAAACAAAAAAAGGCAGGAGTTGCAATCTAAGTCTGATAAAACAGACTTTAACCCAACAAAAATCAAAAGAGACAAAGAAGATAATGGTAAAGGGATCAATTCAACAAGAAGAGTTAACTATCCTAAATATATATGCACCCAATACAGGAGGACCCAGATTCATAAAGCAAGTCCTTAGAGACCTACAAAGAGACTTAGACTCCCACACAATAATAATGGCAGACTTTAACACCCCACTGTCAACATTAGACAGATCAACGAGACAGAAAGTTAACAAGGATGTTCAGGAATTGAACTCAGCTCTGCACCAAGTGGACCTAATAGACATCTACAGAACTCTCCACCCCAAATCAACAGAATATATATTCTTCTCAGCACCACACTGCACTTATTCCAAAATTGACCACATAGTTGGAAGTAAAGCACTCCTCAGCAAATGTAAAAGAACAGAAATTATAACAAACTGTCTCTCAGACCACAGTGCAATCAAACTAGAATTCAGGGCTAAGAAACTCACTCAAAACTGCTCAACTACGTGGAAACTGAACAACCTGCTCCACAATGACTACTGTACATAACGAAATGAAGGCAGAAATAAAGATGTTCTTTGAAACCAGTGAGAACAAAGACACAACATACCAGAATCTCTGGGACACATTCAAAGCAGTGTGTAGACGGAAATTTATAGCACTAAATGCCCACAAGAGAAAGCAGGAAAGATCTAAAATTGACACCCTAACATCACAATTAAAAGAACTAGAGAAGCAAGAGCAAACACATTCAAAAGCTAGCAGAAGGCAAGAAATAACTAAGATCAGAGCAGAACTGAAGCAAATAGAGACACAAAAAAACCCTTCAAAAAATCAATGAATCCAGGAGCTGGTTTTTTGAAAAGATCAACACAATTGATAGACTGCTAGCAAGACTAATAAAGAAAAAAAGAGAGAAGAATCAAATAGCAGCAATAAAAAATGATAAAGGGGATATCAACACCGATCCCACAGAAATACAAACTACCATTAGAGAAAACCATAAACACCTCTATGCAAATAAACTAGAAAACCTAGAAGAAATGGATAATTCCTTGACACATACACCCTCCCAAGACTAAACCAGGAAGACGTTCAATCTCTGAATATACCAATAACAGGCTCTGAAATTAAGGCAATAATTAATAGCTTACCAACCAAAAAAAGTCCAAGACCAGATGGATTCACAGCCAAATTCTACCAGAGGTACAAGGAGGAGCTGGTACCATTCCTTCTGAAACTATTCCAATCAATAGAAAAAGAGAGAATCCTCCCTAACTCATTTGATGAGGCCAGCATCATCGTGCTACCAAAGCCTGGCAGAGACACAACAAAAAAAAAGAGAATTTTAGACCAATATCCCTGATGAACATCGATGCACAAATCCTCAATAAAACACTGGCAAACCGAATCCAGCAGCACATCAAAAAGCTTATCCACCATGATCAAGTGGGCTTCATCCCTGGGATGCAAGGCTGGTTCAACATACACAAATCAATAAATGCAATCCAGCATATAAACAGAACCAAAGACAAAAACCACATGATTATCTCAATAGATGCAGAAAAGGCCTTTGACAAAATTCAACAACTCTTCATGCTAAAAACTCTCAATCAATTAGGTATTGATGGGACGTATCTCAAAATAATAAGAGCTATCTATGACAAACCCACAGCCAATATCATACTGAATGGGCAAAAACTGGAATCATTCCCTTTGAAAACTGGCACAAGACAGGGATGCCCTCTCTCACCACTCCTATTCAACATAGTGTTGGAAGTTCTGGCCAGGGCAATCAGGCAGAAGAAGGAAAGAGTATTCAAGCAGGAAAAGAGGAAGTCAAATTGTCCCTGTTTGCAGATGACATGATTGTATATCTAGAAAACCCCATCATCTCAGCCCAAAATCTCCTTAAGCTGATAAGCAACTTCAGCAAAGTCTCAGGATACAAAATCAATGTGCAAAAATCACAAGCATTCTTATACACCAATAACAGACAAACAGCCAAATCATGAGTGAATTCCCATTCACAATTGCTTCAAAGAGAATAAAATACCTAGGAATCCAACTTACAAGGGATGTGAAGGACCTCTTCAAGGAGAACTACAAACCACTGCTCAAGGAAATAAAAGAGGATACAAACAAATGGAAGAACATTCCATGCTCATGGGTAGGAAGAATCAATATCGTGAAAATGGCCATACTGCCCAAGGTAATTTATACATTCAATGCCATCCCCATCAAGTTACCAATGACTTTCTTCACAGAATTGGAAAAAACTACTTTAAAGTTCATATGGAACCAAAAAAGAGCCCCCATCAGCAAGGCAATCCTAAGCCAAAAGAACAAAGCTGGAGGCATCATGGTACCTGACTTCAAACTATACTACAAGGCAACAGTAACCAAAACAGCATGGTACTGGTACCAAAACACAGATATAGACCAATGGAACAGAACAGAGCCCTCAGAAATAACGCCACATATCTACAACTATCTGATCTTTGACAAAACTGATAAAAACAAGCAATGGGGAAAGGATTCCCTATTTAATAAATGGTGTTGGGAAAACTGGCTAGCCATATGTAGAAAGCTGAAGCTGGATCCCTTCCTTACACCTTATACAAAAATTAATTCAAGATGGATTAAAGACTTAAATGTTAGACCCAAAACCATAAAAACCCTAGAAGAAAACCTAGGCAATACCATTCAGGACATAGGCAGGGGCAAGGACTTCATGTCTAAAACACCAAAAGCAATGGCAACGAAAGCAAAAATTGACAAATGGGATCTAATTAAACTAAAGACAGTCTGCACAGCAAAAGAAAC
Organism: Homo sapiens; assembly: GCF_000001405.40. Lineage (NCBI taxonomy): Eukaryota > Metazoa > Chordata > Mammalia > Primates > Hominidae > Homo > Homo sapiens. The sequence continues at coordinate 4,401,783 of NC_000011.10, read as the reverse complement.
TACCATCAGAGTGAACAGGCAACCTACAGAATGGGAGAAAATGTTTGCAATCTACTCATCTGACAAAGGGCTAATATCCACAATCTACAATGAACTCCAGCAACTTTACAAGAAAAAAACCCATCAAAAAGTGGGCGAAGGATATGAACAGACACTTCTCAAAAGAAGACCTTTATACAGCCAAAAGACACATGGAAAAATGCTCATCATCACTGGCCATCAGAGAAATGCAAATCAAAACCACAATGAGATACCATCTCACACCAGTTAGAATGGCAATCATTAAAAAGTCAGGAAACAACAGGTGCTGGAGAGGATGTGGAGGAATAGGAACACTTTTACACTGTTGGTGGGACTGTAAACTAGTTCAACCATTGTGGAAGTCAGTGTGGCAATTCCTCAGGGATGTAGAACTAGAAATACCATTTGACCCAGCCATCCCATTACTGGGTATATACCCAAAGGATTATAAATCATGCTGCTATAAAGACACATGCACACGTACGTTTATTGTGGCACTATTCACAATAGCAAAGACTTGGAACCAACCCAAATGTCCAACAATGATAGACTGGATTAAGAAAATGTGGCACATATACACCATGGAATACTATGCAGCCATAAAAAAGGATGAGTTCATGTGCTTTGTAGGGACATGGATGAAGCTGGCAATCATCATTCTCAGCAAACTATCGCAAGGACAAAAAACCAAACACCGCATATTCTCACTCATAGGTGGGAATTGAACAATAAGAACGTTTGGACACAGGAAGGGGAACATCACACACTGAGGCCTGTTGTGGGGTGGGGGGGAGGGGGGAGGGATAGCATTTGGAGATATACCTAATGTTAAATGACGAGTTACTGGGTGCAGCACACAAACATGGCACATGTATACATATGTAACTAACCTGCATGTTGTGCATATGTAACCTAAAATTAAAGTATAATTTAAAAAATGAGAGAAGAATTAAATAGATACAATAAAAAATAATAAAGGGGATATCAGCGCTGATCCCACAGAAATACAAACTACCATCAGAGAATATTAATGTGTGATGGGTTATGTTTACTGATTTGTGTATGTTGAACCAACCTTGCATCCCAGGGATGCAGCCAACTTGATCATGGTGGATAAGCTTTTTGATGTGCTGCTGGATTTGGTTTATAAGTATTTTACTAAGGATTTTCTCATTGATGTTCATCAGGGTATTGGCCTGAAATTTTTTTTTTGTTGTTTCTCTGCCAGGTTTTGGTATCAGGATGATGCTGGCCTCACAAAATGAGTTAGGGAGGAGTTCCCCTTTTTCTAATGTTTGGGATAGTTTCAGAAGAATGATACCAGCTCCTCTTTGTACCTCTGGTGTAATTCAGCTGTGACTCCATCTGGTCCTGGGCTTTTTTTGGTTGGTAGGCTACTAATTACTGCCTCAATTTCAGAACTTGTTATTGGTCTATTCAGGGATTCGACTTCTTCCTGGTTTAGTCTTGGGATGGTGTATGTGTCCAGGAATTTATCCATTTCTTGTAGATTTTTTAGTTTATTTGCATAGCGGTGTTTACAATATTCTCTGATAGTACTTTGTATTTCTGTGGGATCAGTGGTGATAGCCCCTTAATCATTTTTTATTGCATCTGTTTGATTCTTCTCTCTTTTCTTCTTTATTAGTCTGGCTAGCAGTTTATCTATTTTGTTAATCTTTTCAAGAAAACCAGCTCCTGGACTCACTGATTTTTTTTGAAGGGTTTTTCATGTCTCTATCTCCTTCAGTTCTTCTCTGATCTTAGTTATTTCTTGCCTCTGCTAGCTTTTGAATTTGTTTGCTCTTGCTTCTCTAGTTATTTTCAATGTGATGTTAAGGTGTCAATTTTAGATCTTTTCTGCTTTCTCCTGTGGGCATTTTAGTGCTATAAATTTGCCTCAAACACTGCTTTAGCTGTGTCCCAGAGATTCTGGTACTTTGTGTCTTTGTTCACATTGGTTTCAAAGAACTTATTTATTTCTGACTTAATTTCATTATTTACCCAGTATTCATTCAGGAGCAGTTTGTTCAGTGTCCATGTAGTTGGGTGGTTTTGAGTGAGTTTCTTAATCCTGAGTACTAATTTGACTGCACTGTGGTCTGAGAGACTGTTATGATTTCCATGCTTTTGCATTTCCTGAGGAGTGTTTTACTTCCAATTATGTGGTAAATTTTAGAATAGTACAATCAATGTGGTGCAGGGAAGAATGTATATTCTCTGATTTGGGGTGGAGAGTTCTGTAGATGTCTATTAGGTCTGCTTGGTCCAGAGCTGAGTACAAGTCCTGAATATCCTTGTTGATTTCCTGTCTCCTTGATCTGTCTAATATTGACAGTGGGGTGTTAAAGTCTCCCACTATCATTGTGTGGGAGTCTAAGTCTTTTTGTAAGTCTCTAAGAACTTGCTTTATGAATCTGGGTGCTCCTGTATTGGGTGCATATATATTAATGATAGCTCTTTTTGTTGCATTGATGCCTTTACCATTATGTAATGCCCTTCTTTTTCTTTTTTGTTCTTTGTTGGTTTAAAGTCTGTTTTGTCAGAGACTAGGATTGCACCCTCTGCTTTTTTTTTTTTTGCTTTCTATTTCCTTGGTAAATATTCCTCCATCCCTTTATTTTGAGCCTATGTGTGTCGTCGCACATGAGATGGGTCTCCTGAATACAGCACACCAATGGTTCTTGACTCTTTATCCAATTTGTCAGTCTGTGTCTTTTAATTGGGGCATTTAGCCTGTTTACATTGAAGGTTAATATTGATCTGTGTGAATTTGATCCCGTCATTATGATGCTAGCTGGGTATTTTGCCTGTTAGTTGAGGCAGTTTCTTCATAGTGTCAATGGTCTTTACAATTTGGTATATTTTTGCAGTGGCTGGTACCAGCTTTTCCTTTTCATATTTAGAGCTTCCTTCAGGAGCTCTTGTAAGGCAGGCCTGGTGGTGACAAAAATCTCTCAGCATTTGCTTGTCTATAAAGGTTTGTATTTCTTCTTTGCTTCTGAAGCTTAGTTTGGCTGGATATGAAATTCTGGGCTGAAAATTCTTTTCTTTAAGAATGTTGATATTGGCACCCACTCTCTTCTGGCTTGTAGGGTTTCTGCAGAGAGATCCGCTGTTAGTCTGTTGGGCTTCCCTGTGTGGACAGACACTTCTCTCTGGCTGCCCTTAACATTTTTTCCTTCATTTCAACCTTGGTGAATCTGACTATTGTGTCTTAAGATTGCTCTTCTTGATGAGTATCTTTGTGGTGTTCTCTGTATTTCCCAAATTTGAATGTTGGCCTGTCTTGCTAGGTTGGGGAAGTTCTCCTGGACAGTATCATGAAGACTGTTTTCCAACTTGGTTCCATTCTCCCTGTCACTTTCAGGTACACCAATCAAATGGAGGTTTGGTCTTTTCACATAGTCCATATTTCTTGGAGGTTTTGCTTGTTCCTTTTCATTCTTTTTTCTCTAATCTTGTCTTGATGCTTTATTTCATTAAGTTGATCTTCAATCTCTGATATCCTTTCTTCCTCTTGATCAATTCGGCTATTGATTCTTGTGTATGCTTCATGAAGTTCTCATGCTATGTTTTTCAACTCCATCAGGTCATTTATCTTCTTCTCTAAACTGATGATTCTAGTTAGCAATTCCTCTAACCTTTTTTCAAGTTTCTTAGCTTCCTTGCATTGGGTTAGAACATGCTCCTTTAGCACAGAGGAGTTTCTTATTACCCACCTTCTGAAGCCTACTTCTGTCAATTCATCAAACTCATTTTCCATCCAGTTTTGTTCCCTTGCTGGCAAGGAGTTGTGATTCTTTGCAGGAGAAGAGGTGTGCTGTTTTTTGGAATTTTCAGCCTTTTTGCACTGGTTTTTCCTCATCTTCATGGATTTATCTACCTTTGGTCTTTGATATTGGTGACCTCTGGATGGGGTTTTTGTGTGGACATTCTTTTTGTTGAGGTTGACGCTATTGCTTTCTGTTTGTTAGTTTTCCTTCTAACAGGTCCCTCTGCTACAGGTCTGCTGGAGGTCCACTCCAGACCCTGTTTGCCTGGGTATCACCAGCAGAGGCTGCAGAACAGCAAAGATTGCTGCCTGTTCCTTCCTCTGGAAGCTTTGTCCCAGAGGGGCACCCGCCAGATGCCAACCAGAGCTCTCCTGTATGAGGTGTCTGTTGACCCCTCCTGGGAAGTGTCTCCCAGTCTGGAGGCACAGGGGTCAGGGACCCACTTGAGGAGGCAGTCTGTGCCTTATCAGAGCTCAAGCACTGTCCTGGGAGATCCACTGCTCTCTTCAGAGCTGGCAAGCAAGAATGTTTAAGGCTGTTGAAGCTGTGCTCACCGCCACCCCTTCCCCCAGATGCTCTGTCCCAGGGAGATGGGAGTTTTAGCTATAAGCCCCTGACTGGGGCTGCTGCCTTTCTTTCAAGATGTCATGCCCAGAGAGGAGGAATCTAGAGAGGCAGTCTGGCTACAGCAGGTTTGCGAAGCTTTGGTGGGCTCCACCCAATTCGAACTTCCCAGCAGTTTTGTTTACACTGTGAGGGGAAAACCGCCTACTCAAGCCTCAGTAATGGTGGATGCCCCTCACTCCACCAAGCTCAAGCATCTCAGGTCAATTTCAGATTGCTGCACTGGCAGCAAGAATTTCAAACCCGTGGATCTTAGCTTGCTGGGCTCCATGGGGGTGGGATCCACTGAGCTAGACCACTTGGCTCCCTGGCTTCAGCCCCCTTTCCAAGGGAGTGAACAGTTCTGTCTTGCTGGTGTTCCAGACGCCACTGGGGCATGAAAAATCCTGCCGCTAGCTCAGTGTCTGCCCAAACAGCCACCCAGTTTTGTGCTTCAAACCCAGGGTCCTGGTGGTGTAGGCATCCAAGGGAATCTCCTGGTCCGTGGGTTGCATAGACCATGGGAAAAGCATAGTATCTGGGCTGGATAGCACCATTCCATCAGGTCCTTTAAGGACTTCTCTGCATTGGTTATTCTGACCTAAAACCACAAAAACCCTAGAAGAAAACCTAGGCAATACCATTCAGGACATAGGCATGGGCAAGGACTACATGTCTTAAACACCAAAAGCAATGGCAACAAAAGACAAAATTGACAAATGGGATCTAATTAAAGAGCTTCTGCACAGCAAAAGAAACTACCATCAGAGTGAATGGGCAACCTATAGAATAGGAGAAAAATTTTGCAATTTACTCATCTGACAAAGGGCTAATATCCAGAATCTACAAAGATCTCAAACAAATTTACAAGAAAAAAACAACCCCATCAAAAAGTGGGCAAAGGATATGAACAGACACTTCTCAAAAGAAGATATTTATGCAGCCAACAGACACATGGAAAAATGCTCATCATCACTGGCCATCAGAGAAATGCAAATCAAAACCACAATGAGATACTATCTCACAGCAGTTAGAATGGCGATCATTAAAAAGTCAGGAAACAATGGGTGATAGACAGGATATGGAGAAACAGGAGCACTTTTACACTGTTGGTGGGACTGTCAACGAGTTCATCCATTGTGGAAGACAGTATGGTGATTCCTCAAGGATCTAGAACTAGAAATACCATTTGACCCAGCCATCCCATTACTGGGTATATATCCAAAAGATTATAAATCATACTGATATAAAGACACATGCACACATATGTTTATTGTGGCACTATTCACAATAGCAAAGACTTGGAACCAACCCAAATGTCCAACAATGATAGACTGGATGAAGAAAATGTGGCACATATACACCATGGAATGCTATGCAGCCATAAAAAAGGATGAGCTCATGTCCTTTGTAGGGACATGGATGAAAGTGGAAACCATCATTCTCAGAAAACTATTGCAAGGACAAGAAAACCAAACACCGCATGTTCTCACTCATAGGTGGGAATTGAACAATGAGAACACATGGACACAGGAAGGGGAACATCACACACTGAGGCCTGTCCTGGGGTGGGGGGAGGGGGGAGGGATAGCATCAGGAGATATATCCAATGTAAATGAGTTAATGGGTGCAGCACACCAACATGGCACGTGTATACATATGTAACAAACCTGCATGTTGTGCACATGTACCCTAGAACTTAAAGTATAATTTAAAAAAAAATCTAAGGCCTCAAACTATGAAACTACTACAAGAAAATATTGGGGAAACTCTCCAGGACATTGGACTGGGCAAAAATTTCTTTCAAATATTCCATAAGCACAGGCAACCAAAGCAAAACTGGACAAATGAGATCACATCAAGTTAAAAAGCTTCTGCACAGCAAAGGAAACAATGAAGTAGAGAGATAACCCACAGAATTGGAGTAAATATTTGCAAACTATCCATCTGACAAGGGATTAATAACCAGAATATACAAAGAACTCAAACAACTCTATAGGAAAAAAATATAATAATCTGATTCAAAAATGGACAAACGATCTGAATAGACATTCCTCAGAAGAAGACATACAAGTGGCAAATGGATATATGAAAATGTGTTCAACACCACTGATCATCAGAGAAATGCAAATCAAAACTACGAGATATTATCTCACCTCAGTTAAAATGTCTTTTAACCAAAAGAAAGGCAATAACAAATGCTGGCAAGGATATGTAGAAAAGGGAACCCTCATACACTGTCAATGGGAATGGAAATTAGTACAAACACTATGGCAAACAATTTGAAGGTTCCTCAAAAAAAAAAAAAAACCTGAAAATAGAGCTACCATGTAATCTAGCAATCCTACTGGATACTGCTAGGTATATACCCAGAAGAAATACTGTTAGGTATATATCCAAGAGAAAGGAAATCAGTATATCAAAGAGATATCTGCACTCCCATGTTTATCGCAGCACTATTCACAATAGCCAAGATTTGGAAGCAACGTAAGTGTCCATCAACAGATAAATGGATAAGGAAAGTGTGGTACACATACACAATGGAGCACTATTCAGCCATAAAAAGAAGGAGAACCTTTCATTTGCTACAAGATGGATGGAATTGGGGATTATTATGTTAAGTAAAATAAACCAAACACAGGCAAACAAACAAATTGTTATGTTCTCACTTATTTGTGGGAGTTAAAAATTAAAACAATCCAACTCATGAAGATAGAGAGGATGATGGTTACCAAAGGCTGGGAAGGGTAGTGGGGAATGATTAATGGGTTCAAAAATACATGAGAGAGAATGAATAAGATCTAGTATTTTATAGCATAACAAGGTGAATACAGTCAATGATAATTTATCATTTTAAAATAACTAAAAGCATATAACTGGATTGTATATAACACAAATGATAAGTGCTTGAGGTGATGGATAGATACCCCACTTACCCTGATATGATTATTACGGATTGTATGCTCTACCTGTATCAAAATATTTCATGTACCCCACAAATATATACACCTACTATAGACACACAAGATTGAAAATTAAAAAAATTACTTTGGTAAATTTTATGTTCTATATTTTTACGATTAAAAATAAAAATAATATAACCTGAGAATGTCCCTAGCTCAGTGACAAGAACACAGTTGGTTGTCAAATGTCAATTTCCTTCTCACCACTCACTGGTGGGACACTCACCTTGGGGTCATGCGAAATAAATCACTCACCTGCAGGCGTTAAAAAATATTAGTCACATCAGTCACATGAAAATAATTAGCTTCTGGAAGTAAGCAGATGGTGGCACGCGAGGAAGAGCACCGGCCACTCTTCTCTGCATCAAAACTTCCTTAAAAGCATCTTCCAGACATGGACATAGCGTCTAGGTGTGGAGTGATGACCAGTGTCAAAGAAAGCAGCCCGGACTCCCCCGTCTTGTAGATATTTTACCAAATCAGATAATGAAGACATGGGAGGGAGCGCGCAACCAGGACCACGGGCTACTGAGTTTCCACTCCTTCCCAGTCTCAGAGAAGCCTCCTGGGCATGCAGAGCCTCTGAAGCCTCCCCCAGCTCAACTCTGACTTCTCTTCTCAGCCGCATTTCTCCACACACCCTTTCAAGGCTCTGCTCCTCCCACTGCTCCTCCCTCACTCCTCCCACGGCTCCTCCTCCTCCCTCCCCTTTCCTCTCAGACTTGCTTCTGAGCGGAAACTGAAAGTGAAATAGGGAGCTGGCTACCAGCGTTGAGTCCCCTGTAAAGGTGAGTGAACCCCACTAGATCAAGGGACCCCTGCCCTCCTAGGGGACCTCTCTCCCCTGCCCCAGGGTTGCAGAGCCCCTTCCAGTCTCCATCCTTGAGCCGGTCCCATTTGCCCCTTCTCCCACCAGGGATCCCTCAACCCAAGACCAGCTGCGCTTCCGGTGCTGGCCCCCTGCTTGGGAGGAGGCTGGGGTGTGGACCTGACTGCCGAGTTACCCAGAAGGGGAAGGGGCCCGGCTGCCCCCTACCTGGGAGGAGGCTGGGTTGTGGACGTGACTGTGGAGTTACCCAGAAGGGGAAGGGGCCCGGCTGCCCCCATGCTGGCACCTGACCTAGGATGACGGCTGGGTGTGGCTGGGATAGCCAGGACTACAGCCTAGCCAGGAGGGTAGGGAGCCCAGTGTCGGGGAGGTCTGCAATTCTGGAGACTCCCAGGTCCAAAAGTCCTCCAGAGGTGAGAGGGGCAGGCTGTTTAGGATGTTCAACCAGAAATGTATAGGCCTTCAGAATTATTCTTTGTCCTAGAATAAGTGTTGTCAGGAACTAAACTAAGTTTGGAGCAGCTGAGAAAAGAGCCCAGGGAGTGCTGGCCACGGTTCCTGTTACTCTGTGTGTATACATACATATACACCTACATACATATATGCAACTGACTTCCGCCGTTATAGGAGGGATTAATGAAGATATATTCAAAGCATGAAGTATCTCTGGCACATGGAAGGTACATGGTAAAAAGTAGCTATAATTTCTCAGCAACATGGAGGCCTGTTGGTACCCGACAGGAGATGGATGAGCACTGAGGGTTTAAGCAGGAATGGACATGATGAGAGTAGAACTGTCAACAGCTTTATGAGGTTCTTGCCAATTTTCATTCCCTCTTTTAGGGACTCAGTTTCTCCTTCTGTCTCACTGGATCAATGGACCAAACAATGGAGGAGTTCTTGTTATTCAGAACAGGAATAAACTTATTCAACAAACTGTTTGATCGGTGCAAAAGTAATTACTGTTTTTGACATTAATTGTTTTGCCATTAATTTTATGCCTTGTTTTGTTTTGTTTTGTTTTTGAGAGGGAGTCTCGCCGTGTCACCCAGGCTGGAGTGCAATGGCACAATCTTGGCTCACTGCAACCTCTGCCTCCCAGGTTCAAGCAATTCTCCTGCCTCAGCCTCCCAAGTAGCTGGGATTACAGGTGCCCACCACCACTCCCAGCTAATTTTTGTATTTTTAGTAGAGACAGGGTTTTACCATATTGGTCAGGCTGGTCTTGAACTCCTGACCTAAGGTGATCCACCCACCTCGGCCTCCCAAAGTGCTGGGATTACAGGTGTGAGCCACCGTGCCTGACCCATTATTTTTATTCTTATTTTTTATTTTCCTTTGCATCATTTTGTTTTTCTTTTTTTAGTATATTTTTAATTTTTGTGGGCACATAGTAGGTATATTTATGGGTATATGGAATATTGTGATACAGGTATACAATGTGTAATAATCACATCAGGGTAAGTGGGGCATCTATCACCTCAAGCATTGATCATCTGTAATACAAACTATGCAATTATACTCTTATTTTTAATGTACAATTAAATTATTGACTATAGTCACCCTGTTGTACTATCAAATACTAGATCTAATTCACTCCACTTTTGTACCCATTAACCATCCCATCTTCTCCCCCACACACAGACCCTCCCTATTACTCTTCCCAGCCTCTGGTAACCATCTTTCTATTATCTAACTCCATGAGTTCAATTGTTTTAATTTTTAGCTTCTACAAATGAGTGAGACCATACAATGTTTGTGTTTCTGTGCCTGGCTTATTTCACCTAACATAATGACCTCCAGTTCCATTCATGTTGTTGTGAATGACAGGATCTCATTATATTTTATGACTGAACAGTACTCCATTGTGTATACATACCACATTTTCTTTATCCATATATCTGTTGATGGACTCTTAGATTGCTTCCAAATCTTGGCTATTGTGAAACGTGCTGCAGTAAACATGGAAGTGTGGATATCTCTTTGATATACTGATTTCCTTTCTTTGGGGTATATGCTAGCAGTGGGATTGATGGATCATATGGTAGCTCTATCTTCAGTATTTTGAAGAACCTCCAAACTGTTCTCTGTAGTGATTGTACTAATTTACCTTCCCACCAACAGCATATGAGTGTACCCTTTTCTCCACACCCTCACCAGCATTTGTTATAGCCTGTCTTTTGGAGAAAAGACATTTTAACTGAGATGAGATTATATCTCATTGTAGTTTTGATTTGCATTTTTCTGATAATCAATGATGTTGAGCAACTGTTCATATGCCTGTTTGTCATTTGTATGACTTCTTTTGAGAAATGTCTGTTCAGATCTTTTGTCCATTTTTGAGTCAGATTATTATTTTTTTTCCTATAGAGTTGTTTGAGCTCCTTATATATTCTGGTTATTCATCCCTTGTCAGATGGATAGTTTACAAATATTTACTCCAATTCTGTGGGCTGTCTCTTCACTTTGTGGATTGTTTCTTTTGCTGTGCAGCACCTTTTCAACATGATGTGATCCCATTTGTCCAAGTTTGCTTTGGCTGCCTGTGCTTGTGGGATATTTGAAAGAAATCTTTGCCCAGTCCAATGTCCTAGAGAGTTTTCCCAATGTTTTCTTATAATAGTTTCATAGTTTGAGGCCTTAGATTTAAGTCTTTAATCCATTTTGATTTGATTTCTGTATACGGTGAGACATAGGAGTGTAGTTTCATTCTTCTGCATGTGGATATCCAGTTTTCCCAGCAGCATTTATTGAAGAGACTGTCCTTTCCTCACTGTATGTTCTTGGTAGCTTTGTTGAAAATGTGCTCACTGTGGATGTACAGATTTGTTTCTGGGTTCTTTATTCTACTGGTCTATGTGTCTGTTTTTATGCCAGTACCATGCTGTTTGGGTTACTTTAGCTCTACAGTATAATTTGACGTCAGATGATGTGATTCCTCCAGTTTTGTTCTTTTTGCTCAGGATAGCTTTGGCTATTCTGAGTCTTTTGTGATTCCATATAAATTTTAGGATTGTTTTTTCCTATTTTTGTGAAGAATGTCATTGGTATTTTGATAGGGATTATGTTGACTTTTTGTTTTTCTTACACAGACTTTCTCATATTCTCTTTTCCCTTTCTTCTTCTCTCCCAGCCAAACCCCCTAAAGGTCTCCACACTGCTGTTTAACGGCACACTTGACAATGGCTTCAGCAGCACGCTTGACAATGATGTGGGAGGAGGTCACATGCCCTATCTGCCTGGACCCCTTCGTGGAGCCTGTGAGCATCGAGTGTGGCCACAGCTTCTGCCAGGAATGCATCTCTCAGGTTGGGAAAGGTGGGGGCAGCGTCTGTCCTGTGTGCCGGCAGCGCTTTCTGCTCAAGAATCTCCGGCCCAATCGACAGCTAGCCAACATGGTGAACAACCTTAAAGAAATCAGCCAGGAGGCCAGAGAGGGCACACAGGGGGAACGGTGTGCAGTGCATGGAGAGAGACTTCACCTGTTCTGTGAGAAAGATGGGAAGGCCCTTTGCTGGGTATGTGCCCAGTCTCGGAAACACCGTGACCACGCCATGGTCCCTCTTGAGGAGGCTGCACAGGAGTACCAGGTGAGGCCTAAGAGACACCTGGTGAGTGCTTCGTTTTCAGAGCAGGGAATGGGAGAGGACCACCTCTGGATTGGAGGGGTTAGAGAAAGGAGGGGTTTACCTCTCTCCATGTCTAATGTAGGAGGAGAATTATAAGTTAAACCCAACCTCATTCCCCAGGCGTAGGAGATATGCATGAGAAAATGCTGCAAGGATTACCCCACCCTATTACTTGGTTTGCATGGGGGACGAATAAGCTGTCTTTCTCTGCAGGAGAAGCTCCAGGTGGCATTAGGGGAACTGAGAAGAAAGCAGGAGTTGGCTGAGAAGTTGGAAGTGGAAATTGCAATAAAGAGAGCAGACTGGAAGGTAAGAATGACATCCTGAAGGAGATCTTAGGCTGGAAGGCTGGGCAGGGTCCAGAGTCCTCAACTCACAGCCTTAACCGTAGCTGTGCCTCTCTGAGCAGTGATAGAGTTGGTCCGTCTCACTCTCCAGAAGCCAGCTGCTCTCTAGGTTTACAAATAGAGGGGAATAAAAATGATGCAGGTTCAAAGGGGAGCTCCCCATCAGGCCTGAAGATCAAGAATCCTGGAAGAAGGTGCTGAGAGGATCTAGCTATACCCTAAAGTTTCGAGCTCCTCTGAGTCTAGTCTCAGAGGTGTGATGGCGTCAGCACCTGGATGTGTGAGACAAATATCCTAGTAGAAACCCAACTGCTAGCTAAGCCTTTCAGGAAATGACAAGGGCTGTGAGGAATAAACTTAAGGAAACCATCTGACCAGGTGGTTACTTGACCATGACCAGATCTCTGGTCCAAAATATAATGAAGAATCAATGTTTGTTCTGCACTGATGATTTCCTAGGAGAGGTGGGGCATGTCAGGGATGAGAGGGGAGAAGAAGGAGCCCATCCCCAGTAGATCACAGAAGAGGAAGATTTGGGATTGAGGTAGGGTGTGAGTTGGGTTGTGGTGACAAAACAGACCCTCATGTGTCATCGAGTGACCTTCCAGTTACTAACAGGAGAGGAAAAGCAAAGAATGTCCCCAAGCCCCCTTTCCCAGGACTTAGAGGTGGTGGCGTGAGCCTGGCTTTGTGAGGTTGTTGGAGGTGGGAACAGGTGATTTTTTTCTCAGTAACTCACTGAGACAGGAAGACACAGGGGCACATTTGAGTGGTGACTGGGCTTGGAAGAGAGGTTGGAAAAAGTCCCCAATGCCATATATTCGTGTAGCTGTCGTTGTAGGCCAGCTACAGTGTGCCCTCACCAAGTCCATTCCCCTCACTGTCCCAGAAACCTCAACCACCTACCTCCCAAGCAAAATTGTGTGTGTGTGTGTGTGCGCGCGTGTGCGTGTGCATGTGTGTGTGTTTTCCCAGACAGCACAGAGTGGAGTCTCTTGGGGATAGGAATAGGTACCAATACCTCCATTCCCAAAGCTTGGGAGATTTTCATAAAAACCACCTCTCCCTTTCCCTTGACACTAAAGAAAACAGTGGAAACACAGAAATCTAGGATTCACGCAGAGTTTGTGCAGCAAAAAAACTTCCTGGTTGAAGAAGAACAGAGGCAGCTGCAGGAGCTGGAGAAGGATGAGAGGGAGCAGCTGAGAATCCTGGGGGAGAAAGAGGCCAAGCTGGCCCAGCAGAGCCAGGCCCTACAGGAGCTCATCTCAGAGCTAGATCGAAGGTGCCACAGCTCAGCACTGGAACTGCTGCAGGTGAGACAGGGAGGGGTTTCCTTCTACAATTCAGGGAATAACTGAAAAAGACCAGAGCTATCTGGAACTGCCATTTGAATAAATGGACACCTGGTCCCTGGAATGTTCTTAAATGAAGTAGAATTCAAACCCATGAAAGGTTCGCGTTCAAGACGCAAAGTAAAGATGAAAATAAGTACAGGACCTTTTTAAAAATCAATTTATGTTGCACTTAGAATCATCTTGCATCCACCAATGATATGTTTGCCTCACTGTAGGAAACTATGGACTAGATGGTCTCACAAGTCCCTTCTGTTCTAACATTCTACAGCTCTTTTCCCACACCTGTTCAGTGTCACTCAGAGTGGTCATGAGCCATTGCTTTCAGGTTTGTGCAGAAAACCTAATTGTATTGGGTTGACTTGACAGGCTCTCTTCTGCCCAACATTGAACCAGGCTTTCTATTTATTTATTTATTTATTTATTTATGAGACAGAGTTTCACTCTTGTTGCCCAGGCTGGAGTGCAATGGTGTGATCTTGGCTCACTGCAACCTCCGCCTCCCGGGTTCAAGCGATTCTCCTGCCTCAGCCTCACATCACCACACCTGGCTAATTTTGCATCCCTAGTAGAGATGGGATTTCTCCATGTTGGTCAGGCTGGTCTCAAACTCCCAACCGTAGGTGATCTGCCCCCCTCAGCCTCCCAAAGTGCTGGGATTACAAGAGTGAGCCACTACACCTGTCTGTAAACCAGGCTTTCCAACACACTTTTGACTGAGTCTAGGAGCCTGCTAGCTCCCATGTAATGGCGCCTAATCCCTACGACAAAAATATTCTCAGTGATTTGGTTTCACATACAGGAAGAGGCAACATTAAGTACCCAAGGGAGCTTTAACTAACCAACCTTTCCTTCCCAAACAATGCTAGCCCACAAGTGGAATAGAGTGGTTTCTGGACACCTGAACTCGGCCATTCTCTGCCTGTGATTGTTTCTGGGCTTAAGCCAAGCTGGGCTATGTGCCCTCTCTGCCCTCCTTTCTTTCTCCCCTGGGGAAAAAAAAAAAAAACTGGTCTTTGAGTCAGAGTCCTGAAACTGATAACCCTTCCCTAGCCATAGGTCACATCCATGCTGGGCTTCTGGTTACCTCACAAGCAGCCACACATCCTTTCTGCTTTGAGCTGGTCAGAATCATCTCTGGGGCCTAGGACCAGAGGAAGGAGAGGAACAGTGCCCCAGGGACCAAAGATGGATCACATCACCCACAGGGCTGATGTCTCAGTGGCGATCCAGCAATCCAGAACTTACTTTCTGTCTCTTTTCTCCTCAGGAGGTGATAATTGTCCTGGAAAGGTAAGGAGGAGTTTTCTTTGTTAGAAGAGGGGCCAGCAGAAAGCATATATGCCTATGACAAAGGTGATTGAATTAGAAGTACATGCACTGAAGTTTTCCCCATCTGGCTTCCTATTCTCAAAAACTTCATTCTCTATAAAATATTTTCTGGTCTCAGAAAGCTAATAAATGGACATCTCAATTGGTGATTGCCCACAGTAGTTGGATCATAACATCTTCACACAGTAAAGTCCTGCCAAACAGGGAAATCCTGGGAAGTTCTGGGTCTTCCCGGAATTCAGACTACTGGGACATGGCCTGCTGGGACTCCTTTTCTCAGTGGAATCTAACCAGTTACCTCCCAAAAAGAGCCATGAGTAAGACCCACAGTGTGGGCAAGACTCCTTGAGGTTCCTTGCAGAAGTGATTCAGCCTGTCTCAGATTGCTTGCCTATAAAATGAAATTGAATGCATTTGCCAGGTGACCTCAGGCTTAGACAGGAGAGACAGACTGTCCACATGCTGCAGAGCCTCCTATAACCAGGAACTCCTGGGTAGAAACTAAATCCTGCATTGTTTGCCTCTCACACCCACTCCTGGAGACTTGAACACCAGAGGTCTTTGTAAATTTGAGTTGAATTAAATTATCGGAGTCCTCCACAATGGAGGTTATAGTGTTAGGGTTTGGGATAGGAGTAGGAGACAGGAGTCTCAAACTCTCTTTCCCCCAGGAGTGAGTCCTGGAACCTGAAGGACCTGGATATTACCTCTCCAGAACTCAGGAGTGTGTGCCATGTGCCAGGGCTGAAGAAGATGCTGAGGACATGTGCAGGTGAGGCAAGTTCTAGTTTTGCGGGGGATAATGGGGTGCAGAGTAGATCCCAGGGTCAGGGAGCCTGGATGGCAACTTGGAGGAGAGATGGCAGGTCAGAGCAGGGGGAACAGAGATGGAGGTAAGGAAGATGGTTTCTTCAGAGGTCAGGACCAAGGCCAGAACTGGCTGATGGTCATTTCCTCACACAGGGAGGTTCACCCCTCATGCTTACCCTGGAGTTTACACAAAATCCCCCCACCACAGGCACAGACTTAGTGAACTCCCCCCATGCAAGGCCTGACTGTGGTCCTCTCTCTGCAGTCCACATCACTCTGGATCCAGACACAGCCAATCCGTGGCTGATACTTTCAGAAGATCGGAGACAAGTGAGGCTTGGAGACACCCAGCAGAGCATACCTGGAAATGAAGAGAGATTTGATAGTTATCCTATGGTCCTGGGTGCCCAGCACTTTCACTCTGGAAAACATTACTGGGAGGTAGATGTGACAGGAAAGGAGGCCTGGGACCTGGGTGTCTGCAGAGACTCTGTGCGCAGGAAGGGGCACTTTTTGCTTAGTTCCAAGAGTGGCTTCTGGACAATTTGGTTGTGGAACAAACAAAAATATGAGGCTGGCACCTACCCCCAGACTCCCCTCCACCTTCAGGTGCCTCCATGCCAAGTTGGGATTTTCCTGGACTATGAGGCTGGCATGGTCTCCTTCTACAACATCACTGACCATGGCTCCCTCATCTACTCCTTCTCTGAATGTGCCTTTACAGGACCTCTGCGGCCCTTCTTCAGTCCTGGTTTCAATGATGGAGGAAAAAACACAGCCCCTCTAACCCTCTGTCCACTGAATATTGGATCACAAGGATCCACTGACTATTGATGGCTTTCTCTGGACACTGCCACTCTCCCCATTGGCACCGCTTCTCAGCCACAAACCCTGCCTCTTTTCCCCATGAACTCTGAACCACCTTTGTCTCTGCAGAGGCATCCGGATCCCAGCAAGCGAGCTTTAGCAGGGAAGTCACTTCACCATCAACATTCCTGCCCCAGATGGCTTTGTGATTCCCTCCAGTGAAGCAGCCTCCTTATATTTGGCCCAAACTCATCTTGATCAACCAAAAACATGTTTCTGCCTTCTTTATGGGACTTAAGTTTTTTTTTTCTCCTCTCCATCTCTAGGATGTCGTCTTTGGTGAGATCTCTATTATATCTTGTATGGTTTGCAAAAGGGCTTCCTAAAAATAAAAAATAAAATTTAAAAAACTGTGCCTCCGTCTATCCCATTCAGTCCTTGTTCCTTAATCCTGAAATACTTGAGAACTCTGAATATGATTAATAGTGATGTGTCTTTAACACTGCACGTGCTTTTCATGCCTAGACTGTCCCATTTGAAATGTTTGATCTTGGACTGAAGACCCAGGTCAAGTCAAGTCTTCTGTACTTCCCCATCATTGCCTTCCCCATCATAGCCGCTGTGGTGATAGAAGGCCATTTGGGCTCTGATCGCTGTCCGAGGGGATATTACCTCCTTACCATGAGGGAACACCTGCTTTTGAAATACAAAGTTCTCCTGGGGCTGGAGTAGCTCTGTGACCTCTGCATCTCTGACCCTCACAGACCTGAAGCACCTTCTGTCCATGTTCTCAGTAAGTGACGAGTGACAACATCAAAGTTCTTGGAGCTCTCTGGGGCTTCCCTATGCTTTCAGTGTTCTAGACAACTGGCCAATTCCTGTGCCCCTTGGAATATCCAGTTTTAATGTTATTTCTCTCTGGAATGCACCTTTCTTGGGCAAAGTTTTCGGACTTTTCCAGAAGAGTAAATGTTACATCCGCTAAGGGATAAAGAAAAAGGGGGTGTGTGCTGTGGGTGTGACCACATCCCCAATCATGAGGAAGGGATTTGGAGCCTGAAGAAATGTGTGTCTGTGTCAGCATGTGCTCACATTCGGCAGGTGAGGCCATGAGTATTAGGAAGAAAGGGACCATCTTGTCTTCCAGAAGCTTCCACTGCAGACGATGAGGTATCCTTTCAGGCAAGGTGAGGAGAGACTTTGTGTGGAGGTAAGAAGAGAACACAGCAGCAAAGAGTAAGTGAAGCATGGCTTCATCTTCTTCCTGTCTCTATGACCAGGCTACCTCCCCTAAAACTCCTGCCCCGGGCCCCACGCCTCCTACTTGAATGGTTTGGACGAGGAAAGAAGAGGTTGAAAGGATATGGAAAGAAAGCCAAACAAAGGAGCTGTCTAAGTTCCTGGACACAGCCACTAACAAGCCCTCTCTAACATGTGCAGCTCAGGCCTGTGCCCCAGGGCTGGGGCTTTGGGATGGGAAGACAGACAGACAGAAGAGGAGCAGGAGCTGTAGCAGGGTCAAAGATGCGTCTCTGGGAAGGGAAGGGCCCAGCATCTGACAGCTTCTGCAGACAGATCCAGGAGCGTGGGGGTGGTCTCAGGTGTCGAAGTAAAGGATGAGACATAGACTCCCTCTAGAGTGTCCCCATAAGTGGGTCGTGGCAACTTTCTTCTCCTACCTTCTTTCAAACTCAGAGCATCTCTCATTGTTGCCACTTCCCCCTCGGCTCTCTCTGACAGAAAAAGCCATTCTCCCTGTTCCCATCCCTTTCCTTCCAGATTTAGACTTCTCAGCCCTGGATGATTCTGCCTCATTCCACCCACCCTAACCCCTCTTCCTTTGAACTACTCCCCAACACACACACAGACACGTGCATGCGCACATGACACATCCCTGGCTCTCAACCCACCTTGTTCTTGGCCTCAACTTTGACCTAGATCTCAGAGGGCTACCAGTAGATCCTGTCAAGGTCCCACCATGGGGGTAAAGGTCAAAGCATAGAAGCCTGTGGAGCTGGTCTCCCTAAGTCTCTTGCAGGAATTGTCCAAGCCTGGTGAGGGACCGCAGGTGGGGAGGTTAAGGTGTGGAAGGAGCTAGAGGGAGTTAGTGCCTGCCCAGGGGAGTGTGGGTCACTACTCTTTCATTATCACATTAGCAAATATTTAGTCAGATGATAATACTCAATACTGGCAAGATGGACACATTTATCCTTGCTGGTTGTGATGTAAATGGATGCAAACATTTCTGGAATCATTTTGTCAATATGTAATAAAGGCCTCAGAGATTTCCATATTATTTAATTTAATAATCCCACCTCTGGGAATCTATCCTAAGGAAATAACTTGACATTGGGAAATAGCCCTATGCATAAAGATATTCTTCAATGAATAACAGTGAAAATTGGTTATAGCATTAGTGATCAACAATTAGCACTACTGTCCATCTAGTCAATGGAAGACTACACAGCCATTTCAAAATAAAATTATTAATAACATGGGGGAGATGCCCATGACATATTCAGTGAAGACAGTTACACCAAATTGTATAATTTCAGAAGGTGGGTCATAACTATGTTAAAACAAAATGCAAATAAATTTTTGAAATCGCCTTTATCCTAGCAAACTAATGCAGGAAGAGAAAACCAAATACCACATGTTCTCTCTTATAAGTGGGAGCCAAACACAGGGTACTCATGGACATAAAGATGGCAACAAAGTGGGGTCTACTAGACGAGGGAGGAAGGGAGGAGAGCAAAAGTTGAAAAACTAACTGCTGGGTACTATGCTCAGTACCAGGGTGACAGGATCATTCATACCCAAACCTCAGTATCATGCAGTATACCCAGGTAACAAACTTGCACATATATCCCTGAATCTAAAAAATTGAAGAAAACTCACCTTTGTAAAGATTATGACAGAGAAATCTAATGTGGCTGACTCCGACTTGCTTCTAGCCTCACAGGATGGCTGTCTTCATTCATTCCTGGGCATAGGTCAAGCTAAACATGGGAGGAATTTAGTTTCTAGTTTAACTTGGAAGCAAGGATGATAATAGTCCTTTCTTAAAACTAACCCCCTCCTTGCTCAGGGTCCAAAACCTAAAGAAAGGCCACAAGATTAGGATTATGGGAGGGGCCTGAATTCTGCTAAAATGTGAGTGTCATTTCTATAATTCCTCACTGCTTAGGAGTCTGTGCTGTGCTGACAGCCACCACACCCAACCTTAGGTACCCAAGAGATAATGACATGGGAGATGTCAGCTCCATATGCGCTTGTGGTAGATTGTGGAAGGCCCTACACGCCAGTCTTCTCCCCTACATTGGGAAGTTTTCCTGTTGGCCCAACAGTCTATTCTTACTTCCTTTCCCCAGGAGCCCCATCTTGTATCTTCCTGTCTAAGTTCCTAACTAAACTAACACTTCCCAAGCAGAGATGAACTAAAGTCTTACAGCTCAGATTGCAACTATATTTTAATCCAAAGTCTATGGAAGATCTCACTGGTTACTTGACCCTTATATCTTCTTCTTCTCATCCATGTGTTTTCACTCAACATCCCCCATACTTGCCACATGATATTCATCAACATTCTCCTTGTATCCCTAAAGGTGAAGGAAAGGGCATCCCCTTATTCTTTCCAAAGAGGACATAATGATATGGAACTAGAAGCAGGGGTGAGGGAGTTTAGAGATGTTTGCAACTACCTTAATGTTGTGGGATTTATATTTTAATATTTAAATAGATTATATTAATTACCATAGTATTCAATTATTTGTTGGAGATTCATCTGAATTTAGCAGATGCTTAGTAAAAATGTATGGAGTAAACTTTGGAGACACCTTGCCTGAGATGGTGTGCACAAGAAAGTTAAAAAGTTCTTCAAGAATTTTTGCTCAAAATGAGTTGAGACTTAAATCTAAGACCTGAAACCATACAACTCCTAGAAGAGAACATGGGGTTAGGAATATCAATCTAAATAGGTGTGGTGGTCTTTTGATATGCCACCTTGGTGGCTAGCTATAAGCCCCTAGTTATTCAAACTAACCTAGATGTTGCTGTGAAGGTATTTTGTAGATATGATTGAAGTGCATAATTATTTGACTTTAAGTAAAGGAGATTATCCTATGTAATCTGGGTGGGCCTAATTCAATCAGGCCTTAAAAGCAGAACTGAAGCTTCCCTGAAGATTATATTCCACCTATGAATAACAGCTTTAACTCATGCCTGAGAGTTCCAGCCTACCTTCCATCTGCCTGCCCTATGGATATACGACTTGCTTTCCCAGCCCCCACAGTTGTGCAAGTGAATTCCTTGCAATAAATCTCTTAATATATATCTACTACTCTTTCTGCTTCTCCAGTTGAACCCTGATTGATATGAAAGCCAGGACTGAGGTAACAGCATCACCTGGTGACAGCATACTTTAAGTTTTTAAGGTTGGAACAATAAAGCTCTAAACTTGAATCACAGTAGACTGTGAGAGAGCCCTAGCATTCCAGGAACTCTGATTCCTTATCTAAAATAGAATCTCAGGTTGCCCTCAGCACCATTTCCACTAAATATTTCATGAAAAATTTAGTTACTGTACAAAGAAGTCAGTGACTTTGAAAAGACTTTATTGATCAAAGAGTTGCTTCTAAGGATGAGTAATGGTCTATCTTTTAACATAGGACAGAAAAGAATCCTATGAAGAAAAGATAAAAAGAACAGAAAAGACCCAGGTCTTAAATCCTCAGATGACAACTAAATCAAGATAAATGACAAAGTCGACCAGTTCCTTGGGTAATAAACTGGAGCAGGAATATGGAAGAGAATTCATGCTTATGCAAATGAGATGTACTGGGGAATGGTGGGCTTGTATTTGCTAGGTTCATGGAGAAATATGAAGAAAAAGAAGGGTAGATTATAAAATCAGCTTTTCTGCTTCTCTATGTTTCTGCCTTCGAGCTAACCAGTATAAATGATGGTTTGCTCCCTTTCATTGATATACTGATGAGAGGAGACTGTCAGAATGATATCAACCTAAATAATCTCAGTTCTCAAAATCTGAATACCTTGGGATATCAGGTTACCTTTATACTTGGAGATATACATTATATAGATGATATACTTCCCTTGGTCTCCACCAAAATAAACCAAGTAGTAGAGATTTCATAGAATCTCAACTTTTACCCCCACCAATAGTCACTAACAAGTAATCCAGGTATACCTTTGCATGTCACATAAAAGTTCTCCTGAGAAATGAGGAAAGACTCTATCAGCACTAATTCTAATTCTCATTAATATTGCCCTTTAAAATTCAAACAAACTAGTTGAATTTTCTAATCTCTTTTGATTCTACAACTTCCTTTTGAATTAGGAAAAACAGATATTATACTACAATTTTAAAGATAAAGTCAGTAAAGCAGAAAAGAAAGAAAATTTAAAATGTATCCACTGCTTATTTTGTCTCATGTATATTCAAGGTCCTGTTCATACTTTATTTTATTTATTTTTATCATAGGCCTATGATAAATGTACAATCAAGACAATCAAGAAATGCAATGATTATGATATCCTCCCATATCTAATTTAAAATAATATATTTCAAATGATATCAAATATATCATTTGATTACATTACATTACATTAAGATAGAGTAATCTTAATGTAATCTTAATTACATGAAGATAGAGTCTATCTAAGTGTTTTAACTGTAATGCCCTAGTAAGTAAAGTTTTCTTATGGTTTAATTTGGTTATTTCTGTTTTGATAGTCCTTTTTCTGGCACCCTAAGGATGTGCCAGGAAGAGTCTCTAAGAGAATAAGTAACTTACCCAAGGTCAAACACACTGTTATAAAGGAAGCCAGGATTCAAACCTAATCCTGATCCAAAGCTTATGTTCTTCCCTAAACACTATACTTTTCAAGGTCACATGACAATCTGATTTTCAAAGTCATGATCAGTCACTTTATCCATAGTCAGTGGAATCTTAATTCGTAGGTCTCTGCAAAGTAGGCAAAAAAAAAAAAAAAAAAAAAAAAAAAAAAAAAAAAAAGCAAAGCCCTATAGTGATAAACATACTATCAGATTAGTCAAATCTAGCATCATTTCCTCTGTGAGGACAAAAGACTGAGCACACACTCTTGAATCTGCCTGGTGTTGATCCCATAAATGATGGGGTTCAGCATGGGAGGAGCCAACACGCAGACATTAGCCAGCAGAATGTGTGTATGGAGAGGAACATGGTGCCCAAACCGCTGGGTAATTATGGTAAAAATACCAGGCAAGTAGAACATGGAAATGACTCTGAGGTGGGAGCCACATGTGCCCAGAGCCTTTTGCCGAGCTCCTTGGGGAGGGGAGGTGGAAGCCTGTATACAGGATGAAGCTATAGGACACTAAGATAAGCAAGGCATCTAGCACTACAGTATAGAGAAGGACAGACAAGCCATACCAAACATTGACATGAATATCAGCACAAGCAAACTTGGCAACAGCCATGTGCTCACAGTAGGTATGTGGCAGCAGATTGCTATGGCAGAAAGGCAGCCGCTTTACCAGAAACACATCTGGCATGATCACACAGAAGCTTCTCAGGACCACAGCCAAGCCAATCTTTGTGATTTTTGCACGACTGAGCACTGTGGTATAGTGCAGTGGATCACAGATGGCCACATAGCGGTCAAGTGCCATCGCCAACAGAATTCCTGATTCCTCGATGAAGGTAGCATGGATAAAGAAGATTTGGGTAACACAGCCACCAAGGGATATTGCTCCAGCATAGAACCAAAATATGGCTAGGGCCTTGGGCACAGTGGTAGTAGACAGGATAAGGTCAGCCACAGCCAGCATGCAGAGGAAAAGGTACATGGGTTCGTGGAGGCTGCATTCAGTGATGATGATGAAGATGATGAGGCTGTTCCCAAGGAAAGCAACAAGGTAGGAAATAAAGAAGGGGAGAGACATCCATGTGTGCTGGTCTTCTAAGCCAGGAATGCTCAGCAGAATGAAGAGTGAGTGGCTGCTACCAGTGGAGTTGTGGGTTGTCATGCCCAGGGAAGGTCACCTGAGCATTGGTATGTAGGATTTGGCAGTTACCTCTTCTCTCTTCCCAAGAAGCTGAATGGGGTTGGAGTAGGGAAGGAGGGAACAGATTATTTTTCACTGGATGGAGCAGTGAAAAGGGTCCTGTTGAAGAAGTCAGGGGATGTGGTCTAAAATTCTTTGCCATTCTATTCATGAACTATGTGATCTCAATAAAATTACTTCCCTGTTCTGGATGTCTCTTTTATCACCTTAAAACTAAAGTTAGGGACAGAATGGATTACATTATTCGTAAAAGAGAAATTTTTGGCTCTAGAATTCCATAGATCTCAGTCTCAGGTTGTTGTAAATGCTTACAAGCTGCGAATAACAAGCACTTCAATTTCCACTTTGAACACCAGAATGTGATGTGAATCTCAAAAGGAAAGTGGCAACTGAGTTACCTATCAATTTAATACGCCTTACTGAGTACGTGCCAGGCATGGTTTCTTGAAGACCTACTTGGGACAGTCAGACAATCAAGCAACATGGCTACCTATCTAATATGCACACTGTAGAAGAAAAGCTAAGCACAGGGAGCTGTGGAAAGAGGAAGAACTCCCTAGGCATTCGGAAAAGACTTGCTAGAGTGCTGCCTTGAAGAATAAATAAGAGTTCGCCAAGTAAAGAAACATGATGAGGGAAGAACTTGAATGAAGTCATAGAGATCTGAAAAGACATAGGGTTTGGAGGAAAATTATAATGATGCAGGGTTAGTGCAAAGAGGACATGAGAGGGATAATAAAATTGTAGAAAATAATACAAGGGACTGAAGTAGGGGCCAAATCATTGAGAGATTTGAGTCCTACTCTAAGGGCTTTAGATTGATGTTGAAGTAGTGAGAGTCACTGAAGGATCTGTAGTGAGAGAATGGCATGGTAAATTTACATTTTAGGTAGCTTTCTCTCCGGCAGTATTGTGTAAGATGGATGGGGAACGGAGGAGACTGGAGAATGAGACAGGGATCATTTAGGAGGGGTACTGTGCTGCAGGCTTTATGTGCATTATTACAGTCACCGCAGCCTGAGATAACTGTTGTCATTTCCCCCGTTTTGCTGATAGGGGAGCACACAGAGCTCTGAGAATTTAAGTAGCACCCCTACCCAAGGTCGCTGGGCTAGCAAATGATGGAGCTGGAATTTGCCTTTCCAGACCAGGTTTTAATCACTTCATGTCTGCCCTATGCCACTCGATCCCATTCATCGGGTGATGGTGATTTCCTGACTGCTGGTTCAAGGAGAAAAACAAAGTCGGCAGTTATAAATTCCCTTAAATTCCACCGCCTTTACTCTGCCACCTACAAATTTATTTGTACTCAAGTTGTCCTTTTCCTCTTCCTCCTGCTGGAGGCTAAGCCCTCCATCTGTGCACTGACGCCCAACCCTTCTTTTTTTCTGAGTACCTCTCCCCATTAGTTGGTCTCTCTCCAGTAATTTTAACCTCTCCCTCTCTCTTTGTTCCTCGTTCTTACTGAGCAAATATGTTCGGGTGTCCTGTCTCCCCTTCACCTCAGTGTCACAAAAGGAAGGATGTGCTCTCTCTTCAGTAATCCTCTCACCTCCCTCTTGATCTTCACCCACTGCCATGGTACTGATAGCCCCAACATGCCACAAAAGTTTCTTTCTCTAAATAGTCATGATCTGTCACATGACTATTGCCCAATCTAATGTCACTTTTCATTTCTTATCATTCATAATCTTCAATTTCTGTTACTAATACTTCCTAGCTTTATAATAGCAACCATTAAATACCTACTGCATATCATATATAATTATTATTTCTAATCTTCACATCAAATCTGTGAAATTGAAATTATCACTAGTTTATTCACAAAGAAACTGACAGATAATTTGCCCAAAGTCAAACAACTTGTTAGTAGCTAGCAAAGCTCCCATCAGTATTTAAAACTTCCATTTTGTTATATTGATTACCTAAACCGCCTTTCTTGGGCTTCCACCCCACTCTGCTCCAATTCTCCTATTTATGCCACAACTTCTAAAACATGTAAGACAGTGAACATAGGAAAAATAAGAGCTTTCAAATCAGACCTACCTGGGTCAAATTCCAGCTCTGCCAGCTGAAAATACACACACACACACACACACACACACTCTTCCATTCAGGTGCATATTTCACACATGTTCATTCATACACTCACCATCCCACATATTCACTCTCACAAATTTTAATGAAGATTTACATACGGACATTTTTACAGTTTACACAAACAGCCCTTCACTCTGACACTTCACATACGCATGCTTTTAACATTTCCTGCATATATGTACCCTCACAAATTCACACATAGTCATTAACTAACCAAACTCACTCCCACACGGAGAATTTATGACTTATCTAAGTCATCTCATTTTGACTCCCTCTTACCCCTGCCTCCAGTCTTAAAATCCCTAGCCTATGCCAGAAGAGGGGACTGTCACAGAAACACAATTCACAGGACAACACCCCTGAGCTTCCCCAGTTTCACTCTTGAACCTCCTAACCTTGAGCGAGAGACATAAAATATATGGGCTGGGACTTAATTCCAGGGATCATCAAACTTCAGCCTATGGGCCAATTCCTGCCCATTACCTGCTTTTGTAAATAAAGTTTTATTGGAACACAACCATTCCCATTTGTTTACATATCATCTGTGAGAGCTCTTGTGGAGACCATTTCTGAAGCCTAAAGTATTTACTCTAGGCCTTTACCAAAAATGTTTCCCAACTCCTTCTTTAGAATAATCTTGTCACGTAACTAACTATAAGAGCCCCAGAAAAGAAGGCAATTTTCCCAAGGTTACAGAGGAAATGAGTTAAGGAAGTCTAGAAGCAAGCCTCTTGCCTCTCATTTCAATAGTATTTCCAGGAGGCCACAAATCTTCTGTGGTAACATGTTGGTCCACTCTCTCTGACTCTGTTCTCGGGATAGAGAATTCCAAATATGACCTCTATAGAGTGGCCAAATGATGAAGGCAATTCATCATTGTTTCTCATCAATAAACTCAATATTTCTCTCACCTCCTTTATCCCTACACTCAGTCAAACCCCACTGTTCGTGCCCATGGGTAGGGCCCACAGAAGCACCAGGCTATGCTGTCAGTGCCACCTTATACCTCTCCTCACCCCCAAAGAGCCCATCTCAGTCATCAGGAGTTGCCAACTGGAGCCATGCCCCTGTCTTGATCCCAGAGTGTCCCCACACCATAGACTGTGTGCAGTGACCAGCGGACCAAGCTGGAGGAGGAACTGCAGGACAAACTATTCTTTCTCTCAGCATCTTCAGGGAGCATAGTCCTATCCACGTGACTTTCTTCTCCCCTAGGAGTTCCTCTACTTCCAGTGACATCACTGTAAAGCTCTTAACTCTTTCACTGCATGGATGCTGGGAGCCCACCATGAAAAGCATGCTTGAGAGGCTCCATGAGTCCAGGAGAGAGGATTTGGTGAGAGAGTGGTTTCAGAGGGAGAAGGTCAGGGCAGATAGTGGGAATGTGATTAGAGACCTTCAGCAAGGCCCCAAAGCTCGTTCCATACCATCCTCTTCAACCCTGACTTCCAGAAGGCACAGAAACACTTTAGGAGCTGAAATCCTATAGATTTTCTCAAGCATTCATTTACTCATTCTCCACCAATTCGACCAATATGGGTTAAGTGCTAACTATATTGACAGCACCATAGTAGAATGCTAAACAAAATCAAGCCCATTTAAAATGTATTTATATCATTTTGTCTATGGAACTAATGCTTTGATTCTATAATGCATAGAACATCTTCACTGATAGCCTTCTAAGCTTCCCCCCATTTATTGATTTTTATGTTGTCTTATATTTAGCATGGTCTTTTATTTAATTTCATAATATAGAAATTTTTCATGGAAATAAATGTTCTATGACCCACATAGCTCCTTTATTCTTTCCCATTTCAAGAAGTTGTTCTTACTTTTTGAAATAAATTTTATTGTGTATGTCTAAGTTACACAACATGATGTTATGGAATAAGGATAGATAGTAAAATGGTTACTAAAGTGAAGCAAATTAACATATTTATTAGCTTACATAGTTACTGAATTTTTGCTAGTTTTTGTGGTAAGAGTAGCTAAAATCTACTTGTTTAGCAGAAATCTCAAATACAGTACACTTTTAGCACTACATAGCTTCATTAACACAGCTGCATTTGTCTCCAGTATAGCACAATGCCACGTACATAGTACTCTATACATATTTCTTGAGATAAAATGGGTGACTAAATATTTAACATGGGTGACATACCACAATATGTTTACATCCTTCCCTTATCGTTGAACATTTATATAGCTTCCATTATTCTCTATTAAAAATATTCTGTCATGAATATACTTATATATGAACTTTTGTAGGTGTTCTGGGTTATTCTAATTAAATATTTGATATTCACAAAAAGAAAATTGTTATGGCAACGTTTTCATTTTACGTTGTGTATGGTATTATTGATAGAAATTTTTTATATTTTAATAATTATTTATAAAGCTTTTTTGCAGAGAAATCAAAATTTTTTCAACTTGAAACCTACCCTGTGCCAGGCACACTGATATACAAGAGTGAAGACAGGTGCCGTTGTGGAATTTATGGTACAGAGTGAAAAAATAAATAAATAAAAATGAAAAAGCAAAGCTCCCTCATTAAGTATTTTTCTCCATTAGCACTTTGGTGCCATTTATTTAGAACCTATGGGAGCCCTTAATATTTTAAAGATGTACACCCATTTGGGGAGCATTTTTACTGCAAATGCAAAGCATTTTCCAGGCTTTGTTCTAGACTAATGCTCATTCACTTTCTTTTAGAAGCTGCTACTCCTTTGAAACTCATGTTACTTGCCTTCTCCTACTCCTAATGTTGTCTGTCTGTCTTCCAGATTCCGTCACAAATAAATGTAGGCAAAATATAAATTATTACAGTACAGCTATTATGGAAAACAGTATAGAGGTTTCTGAAAATTTTAAAATAGAGCTACCATATGATCCAATAATCTCACCACTGAGTGTATATTCAAAGGATAGAAAACTGATATTTCAAAAATATATCGGTATGCCCGTGTTTATTGCAGCATTATTCATAGTAGCCAAGATATCAAATCAACATAGGTGACCATCAGCATATGAAAGGATAGTGAAAATGTGGGATATGTACATAATGGAATACTATTTGGCCTTATAAAGGAAGGAAATCCTGTCATTGGCAACAACTTGGATGAACCCGGAGGCCATTATGTTAAGTGAAATAAGGCAGGCACCAAAAGTCAAATACGGCATGATCTCATTACACATAGAATCTAAAAATGTTGAACTCATAAAAGCAAAGAGTGTAATGGTAGTTACTAGAGACCGTGGGGTGGGAAAGACTGGAGAGATGTTGGTCAAAAGACACAAATTTTAGTTAGAGATAATAAGTACAAGAGATCTAGTGTACACCATGGTGTACAATAATTATGATATATTATATATTTGAAAAATGGGAATAGAGTAGATTTCAAGTGTTCTCACTGCAAAAAAAATTTATGTAAGCTAATGCATATATTAATAGCTTAATTCAGCCATTCCACAATGTATATGTATATCAAAGAATCATATTGTATAAAACTACTTGTCAATTTTAAAAATTAATTAGAAAAAGTATCAGCATAAACTACCTAGTATAAGGACGGTTACAACATGCTCTATGAATGAGCTAAGATGTCAGATGATTCTTGAGATCTAAGTACACATCACCAATCAGTCAAAGAAGGAGGAGATTCCTGGCAGAAAAATCAAGAATAAGGACTCAGAGGTAGAAGAGCAGAGAATGACAAAAGGAGGGTAAATGATGAATTATGTTCTGTATTTGAAGAACAGTTGTGAAACATGAAATGGGAAATATTGCTGGAAAGGTCACCTACAGCAAAATGCCTAACTGCCTTAGTTACCGCCCAAAGGTGAAAAAAAATTTTTTTTCAGATGGAGTTTTGCTCTTGTTGCCCAGGCTGGAGTGCAATGGCGCCATCTCGGCTCACTGTAACCTCTGCCTCCCAGGTTCAAGTGATTCTCCTGTCTCAGCCTCCCGAGTAGCTGGGATCACAGGTGCATGCCACCACGCCCGGCTAATTTTTGTATTTTTAGTAGAAACGGGTTTCATCATATTGGTCAGGCTGGTCTCGAACTCCTGACTTCAGGTGATCTGCCCGCTCGGCCTCCCAAAGTGCTGGGATTACAGGTGTAAGCCACTGAGCCCGGCTGGAAATTTTTAAGAAAGGCTTTTCTGCAACTGAACAATGGGATAGGCCCCAAATAGTATCTCCTGGCATCGTCCTACACCATTCAAACATTCCAAAGCTCTACCAGATGTCTCTAGCTGGAGAATCTCCAGGCGTTATGGTACCTAAGCACCTTAAAATTTACATCCAGCAACTGATGTCACATAATTCTATCATTCATAGTATCAGTTTATTTATTCAGTAATATTTTCAGTCAATAAATATTTATTGTGTTCCTATAGTATGCCAAGCAGAATTGAAGTGTACAATGCAAATAAGTAAACAAAGCAAAATCCTTGCCTTTATGGTTGTCAGCTGCTGTGCCTTAGTTGCCCTCAATGGCATCTCTCACCATATGGTCTCTTATTTATTTGTCTGTCATAAGCTATTTAAATGGCTGGTGGCCTAAAAGAGGGCAGAATGGAAGTTACAAGGCCTCTGAAAGCATATGCTCCAGAATTCATATGCATAACTTTGACCTTATTCTATTAGTCAAAGCAAGTCATAAGGCTATCCTAGATTCCAGGAGATGAGTATTAAACAACATGTCATGATGGAGGATTGGCACATGTGTTCAGCAGAGGGAGGAATTGTTAGTGGCCATTTTTGTGGATGCTCAACCACACTTCAACCAAACTATCAAACTGACAAATATTCGAAAGCTTGACAACATACCCTGCTGGTAAGGTCAGGAGGGAAAAGACATGCTCATGAATTGCTGGTGGCAATGAAAAACTGGCACAACCCTGATGGTGTTATATCTTTAATATCTAACAAATCTACAAATGCATTTATCTTTGACCAAGTAGTCCTTTCCTAATAATTAAATATGAGATGCATCAGTAGAATTACCCAACTAAAGAAGTAGGAAAAAAGAACAGAAAAATAAATGAATAGGGCACAGGTACTGGTGAAACAATATCAAAAGGTCTAAAAAAAGTTTGCTTTGGGTCCCAAAGTGAAATGTGAGAGAGAATGGGACAAAAAATTTTAAGAAATAATTACTAAAATTTTCCAAATTAGATAAAAATCATATATTTACAGATTCAAAAAGCTAAGCAAACATCAAGGAGGATAAAAACAAAGAAAGCTATGCCTTGGCACATCACAGTCAAACTGAAAATTAAGAAAAAGTAAAAACAAAAAAAAAACTAAACAGTCAAGACAAACAGTGAAATACAAATGTGTCCAAAATAATCACGACTCACATGTTTTCTACTAACCATTAAGCAGGCACACTTATATATCTTAGGCAACAGAGTTAAGCATCATTATTCATGACGGTGAAAGCTAAAACTTATGAAAGCCAGGGAGATCAGTATAACTTCAACATTATACTTTTCATGAAGAACATACCTTTATAAATCATCAACACATATTAATCATCAGACTTTATATGCCTATTAAAAAATTGGTTTAACATTTGTTTAAATAGGCTGTTGTAAGGCTAGATTAGGTGGGAAAGGATTTGTATCAGAGCATCTTGAGAAAAGCGAAAGAGAAAAGGAGCAGGAGGAAGGGAGGGAGGTGGGAAGTGGTTTTAGAGACTCAGCCCACTTGGGAAGAGGGCAAGGCTGGTGGAAATAGCTCTTTCCCTAGAGAGTGCGGCATAAGTGCTTCCCTCAAGGGTTCTTCTGAAAGAAGATAAACAGCCCAACTCCTGGCCCTCATCAGGCTGAATTTTATCACAGAGCTCGTTTCTGTTCCTGAAGTCTCAGTCTGAGGCCAGTGAGTGAATTAGACATCTATGGGTGGTACTGGCTTCAGAAATAAGGTTAGAACTAGGCTGGTGTTATATCATACAGGCCAGAGGTAAAAGGACTCTTAGAGACTGTTGAAATATGTGGTAAATATATATATATACCAGAGGCACAAGTCTCCACTTATGGCGGAAGTGAAAGATGAGGATCTGAGAAGGGAGGGTGAGAGAACGTGGGCTAGATGGAATTTACTGAAGGGAAGAAAAGAGAAGCAATCCAGTAACTAGTAGGCACCCTAAGAGTTAGACCAGAGATGAGAAAACATAAAATATATTGATGTAGGCTGCAAACAACTCTTGGCATAATATGAAAGGAGCCCTGAAAATGGCAGGGAACTGAGTCACCTGCCCCAAGCCACACATTGGAAGGAGCTTTGTGGAGGCAGCCAGGGCATCCTAGCAGGTGTGAAAAATAACTAAGAGCCAATTATCCTCCCCAGAAAGAAGAGGATGCACCAAGAGTGTGAACTAGAATGGAAGAAAAAATATTACTGATCATAAGATATATCTTAGCCAACAACTAAATATTTTAAGATATTCCTTTATTTAATATCCTCAGAAACCCCATGAAGAGTGTATTTTATTATTTGTTGCCATTTCTTCATTCCATTGAAAATGGGATTCAATATGGCTGTCTTCTCAGAAGGCACTCTCTGAAGCCATTCCACATGGAACATTTAGTAAATCTATTTACTCACAAGCCCACCATTCTCTGAAACCATAAAGCTATTTAGGACTCAGGCACATAGCATGATGCAGGAAAAAATAGTCAATGCTCAAAATATGCCTGTGAATGAATCCACTAATGAGTGAAGAAGAATATTCTAGGAAGTAAATGATGAAGTTACATGTTCATTTCTACCAGCAGAAGAATTTCTCAAATATCAAGAACTGCAACCCCTCTTCATCCCCCAGAAATAACTCTTTACCTAATTTCAGTCACTTCTAAGCCTAGTTCCCTGGGGTGTGAGCACAAAGAGTGCCTCATCTCAGATAAAGAGGTACCTTGACCCTCTTCATAAGTGAGCAAACTGTATGTGGTGAAGTCAGAGGTTTCAAATCTCATTTCTATCAATTGCTGCTTTGTGACAAGTGGCAAGTTATTCACATTGTCTAAGACTCACTTTCCTTAAGTGTGAAATAGGGGTACTATCCAGTTCTAAGAGTGGATGTCTACTCCCTGCATTAAGAACGTACAAAGTGCAAACTACAGCCCGTGGCATAAAGTGATGCTTAATAAACATTAGCTAAATTCTCCTGCGACTGTAATACAATAAGATTTTGTCCACTCCTGGAACACCACTGGCCTTTTAGGCTTTAGTGTCTTCAATCAATCAACGTTCCAACAAATATCAACAGATCATCTTTCTAAACTAATGACTGCCCCTGTGTAAAGGATGGGGCCTAAGAGTGAAGTTGTGATCGAAGCCCTTCACATTCAGGAAAAACCTGCCTATACCATCACCTCCCTTGTTCTCCTCAGTACTCCTTATGCACCAGCCACCCTGGCCTGAAAATATTTCAGAAACATACTGTGCATTGATCTGTACACTCACCTTTTCTTATGCTACTTTCTTTCTCTCTTCATTATTAACTTTACGATAAACTACTCAATTTTAAGTATCACCTTATTCAGCTTTCCCACACAGAAATAATAATTTCCTCTGTATATTCATAATCCTCCATTCATAATTAAAGCGCATACAATAATGTCTCTTATTCTGATTACTTGGAGATATTGTCTGGCTGTCATTCATTAGAGTATAGACCACCACCTTTCATATTTGCATGTTTGTTATTTACATGTTCAAAGAAGACGAAGATTATGGAATATGCCATAAGCTCCTGGTGACATCGCAAAGAATGTTGCAGATTTTATCTTCTTCTACCTCTGTGAGTAGGAGGTGAGGTTCTGAAAGTTCTCCCCAGCTATGCCTACTGTAAACCACAGTGGCACTAGCCACACAGTCTTCCACTTGCTGGGCATCCCTGGCCTACAGGACCAGCACATGTGGATTTCTATCCCATTCTTCATTTCCTATGTCACCGCCCTTCTTGGGAACAGCCTGCTCATCTTCATTATCCTCACAAAGCGCAGCCTCCATGAACCCATGTACCTCTTCCTCTGCATGCTGGCTGGAGCAGACATTGTCCTCTCCACGTGCACCATTCCTCAGGCCTTAGCTATCTTCTGGTTCCGTGCTGGGGACATCTCCCTGGATCGTTGCATCACTCAGCTCTTCTTCATCCATTCCACCTTCATCTCTGAGTCAGGGATCTTGCTGGTGATGGCCTTTGACCACTATATTGCCATATGCTACCCACTGAGGTACACCACCATTCTTACAAATGCTCTGATCAAGAAAATTTGTGTGACTGTCTCTCTGAGAAGTTATGGTACAATTTTCCCTATCATATTTCTTTTAAAAAGATTGACTTTCTGCCAGAATAATATTATTCCACACACCTTTTGTGAACACATTGGCCTAGCCAAATATGCATGTAATGACATTCGAATAAACATTTGGTATGGGTTTTCCATTCTAATGTCGACGGTGGTCTTAGATGTTGTACTAATTTTTATTTCCTATATGCTGATTCTCCATGCTGTCTTCCACATGCCTTCTCCAGATGCTTGCCACAAAGCTCTCAACACATTTGGCTCCCATGTCTGCATCATCATCCTCTTTTATGGGTCTGGCATCTTCACAATCCTTACCCAGAGGTTTGGACGCCACATTCCACCTTGTATCCACATCCCGTTGGCTAATGTCTGCATTCTGGCTCCACCTATGCTGAATCCCATTATTTATGGGATCAAAACCAAGCAAATCCAGGAACAGGTGGTTCAGTTTTTGTTTATAAAACAGAAATAACTTTGGTTTAAGAACTGAGTTTTCAGAATCTCTAGCTATCTGGTAAGTGGGTATGAAAGTGGTAGATGGGAGAGGTCAGCTGATACCGTAGGAAATAACTCAGTGAGTACGATGTCTGGAGCAAGGTCAACTGGGAAGTTACAGGGCTTATTCTTCCATTTTTTAAACAACCTAGGAAAGCAATGCAATGTTTGACTGAACAAACTACCTCCTGCACAGAGCCTGAGAGAGAATAGATTGATTTTTCAGAAGTCATGTATCCTTAACAGGACAACACTATCATAATCTTCGGAAATAAAGTGGGAACAGTGCTCTGGCATTGGAATTTGTTCAGCCATCCTGTACTGAGTTTCTGAAGCTCTGAGACACGTTGTATTCATGTAAAGTCACGTACAAACCTCCATTCTTTTATGTCCTTCATTCTAGCTAAGTGACATTCTTAGAATCAGTGATTCCTAGGTTTTCCATTTATTTCTATTATGTTATAATTTATATCCTATGAACATGAATGTCTATAATAGAGGATTGCAAATAAATTATGTGATTCATATTTTGCAGAACAACCCTTGAGGAACCTGAGTCTGATCATTTTTGTGTTGGGAAATGACATATGGTTTCTGAAGGTGTGGTGTGTGCTGGGGAAATTCTGAAGAAAGGGAACTCCTTCATTCTCAGTGTCAGGCTGTGTTCTTCAATGATCTCCTCCTCAGGAGGACATTCAAGATGTCTATTCACGTGAATTCTGCGTGCTTTTACAACCACACTTCCCAATACCTTCTATGCAACCTGAGCTTTAGATACACCAGGCCATTAATTTGTCCGTTTTCTCAGGTTATACCATACTCTTCGGGTACTCTGCCTTCTCTTGAGATAACCTCCATCAACTTGTGGAAAACTCTTATTCCTCCTTTCATATCTAATTCTCATGTCATCTCCTCTGTGACATTTTCTCCAATCACAATTCCTTCTCAGTGTATTATAGTTGATACTTTTTTATGAGAAAAAAGGCATATTGCTCATATTTTCAACACTTATTTTATTAAAAGCCTATGTTACTTCTGGGAAGCATTAGAAATTATGAAAAAACAAACTTGAAATGGAGCTCATAAAACTATAATCTTAGAGCTCTCAAGCAATTTTACTGTTAAAATTTGTTATACATAGCTATACATCTTTGTTTATAAATTTACATATCTATACATCTGTATCTATATCTGAATCTGTATTTGTATTTATTTTCATCTGTATCAATTCCTATATCTATTTGCTAAATATTATAATATGATAAGTATGTAGAATAGTGACTATACTATAGTTGTAGTCTATAACCTAATTTTTCCCTTTTATAAATTTTAAAAATTTTTTTATTGAAAAATAAAATTATATTTATCAGTACATGTTTTAAAATATGTATACATTGTGGAATGGGTAAATTGAGCTAATTAACATATACGTTACCTCATTTGTTGTGGTAAGAAAATTTAAAACCTGCATTCTTAGCAATTTTCAAGAATGAGATGCATCTATTTTAACTATAATCACCATGTTGTACAATAGATCTCTTGAACTTAGTTCTCTTATCTAACTGAACTTTTGTGTCCTGTGACCAACATCTCTCCATCCTCTACTCCTTACCCCACCCCAGGGTCCAAGCCACAATTCTACTCTACTTCTATGTGTTCAACATGTGAGTAAGATAATGGGGTATTTGTCTTTCTGTGCCTGGCTTACTTCATTTAACATTATGTCCTCTAAGTTCATCCATGTTATTGCAAATGACAGAATTTCTTTCTTTTATAAGACTGAATAGTATTCTATTATGTGTATATACTACATTTTCTATATCCATTCATCCATCGATAGACACTTATTTTGAGTCCATATCTGGGATATTGTGGATAGTGCTGCAATGAACATGAGAATGAATATGTCTTCAACATACTGATTTCATATATTTGGATATATACACAGTAGTGAGATTGCTGGATCATAGCTAGTTCTATTTTTAATTTTTTTATGACTGTCCATACTGTTTTCCATAATAGTTATACTATCTAACATTCCCACCAACAATGTGCAAGGGTTCCCCTTCTCCCCATTCTCTCCAACACTTTTTATCTTTTGTCTTTTCGTTAATAGTCATTCTAACATGTATGAGGTGATATCTCATTGTGGTTTTAATTTGCATTTCCCTGATGATTAATTTTGTTGACCTTTTTCTTTTCTTCATTTACCTATGGGCCATTTGTATGTCTTATTTGAGAATTGCCTATTTAGGTACTTTGCCCATTTTTTAAGAAGTTTATTCCCTACTATTGGGTTGTTGGAATTATTTATCTATTTTGGCTATTAACCCCTTATCAGATAAAGGTTTGCAAATATTTTCTCCCATTCCATAGATTGCCTTTTTCTTCTGTTTTTTCCTGCCTATGCAGAAGTTTTTGTAGTTTTAAATAATTCTGCCAATTTTCATTTTTGTTGCCTATGCTTTTGGATTCTTATTCAAAAAATTATTGCCCAGACCAATGTCATGAAGCTTTTCCCCCATTTTCTACTAGCTGTTTTAGAGTTTCTAGTCTTACAGTTAAGCCTTTAATCCATTTTGATGTAATTTTTGTATGTAGAGTGAGATAAGGATCTAATTTTATTCTTTTGTTTGTGGATATTGAGTTATCCCAATACCATTTATTAAAGAGACTGATTGTCCCCCTTGTCTGTTCTTGCCACCTTTGGCAAAAGTCAATTGACAGTAAATGTGTGGAATTATACCTAGGCTCTTTAGTCTGCTCCATTGGTCTTTGTGTCCTTTTGTTAATGTTAGTACCTTGCTGTTTTAATTACTATAGCTTTATAATATATTTTGTAGTATATTTTGAAGTCAGGTATTATTATACCTCCAGTTTTGGTTTTTGTATTTTATTTTTCATGTTTTACTTGAGAGTGCTTTGGCTATTCAAGGTCTTATATGGTTCCATAATAATTTTAAGGTTGTGTTTTCTACTTCTGTGAAGAATGTCATTGGTATTTTGATAGGGACTACACTGAATCTGTAGATTGCTTTGGGTAGTGTGGATGTTTTAACAATATTAATTCTTCCAATCCATGAACAGAGGCTATCTTCCCATTTATTTGTGTCTTCTTCAGTTTCCTTCATCAATGTTTTACAGTTTTCAGTGTACAGGTTTTTACTTCCTTGGCTAAATATATTCCTAAGTAACTTATTCTTATTAATGCTATCATAAACGAAATTGTGTTCTTGATTTCTTTTTTAGATAGTTTCTTGTTAGTGTATAGAAAAGCTACTAATTTTATGTGTTAATTTTATATCTTGCTAATTTACTGAATTTTTATCAGTGCTAACAGTTTTTTGGTGGAGTCTATAAAGTTTTCTTCATATACAATCATGTCATCTGAAAACCAGGGACAATTTAACTGCTTCCTTTTTGATCTAGAAACCTTTTATTTCTTTCTCCTGCTGAATTGCTCTGGCTAGGACTTCCAGTACTATGCTGACTAGAAGTGGTCAGAGTGCGCATTTTTATTATGTTCCTGACCTTTGAGGAAAAGCTTTAAACTTTTCCTCACTGAGTATGATGTTAGCTGAGGGTATGTCTTATATGGCCTTTATTGTGTTGAGGTGCATTCCTTCTATATGGAATTTGTTGAGAACATTTTTCATGGAAAGAAACGTTGAATTTTGTTAAATACTTTCTCCATCTATTGAGATGACCATATGATTTCTATTCGTCATTCTGTTAATATGGTATATCACATGTGTATGTGGAAACATCTTTACCCTATGGATAAATCTCACTTGATCTTGATGAATGATAATTTTTATATGCTGTGGAATTCAGTTTACTAGTATTGTTGAGGATTTTTGCATCTATGTTTATATTTGTTGAGGATGTTTGCGTGTAATATTTTTGAGACAGTATCTCACTCTGCTGCCCAGGCTGGAATGCAGTGGTGTGATCACGGCTCACTTCAGCCTCAACTCCTGGGCTCCAGCAATCCTCTTACCTCAGCCTCCCAAGTAGCTGGGATTACAGGCATGCACCACCTTGTCTAGCTACCTTTTTCTATTTTTTGTAGAAACACGGTCTCACTATGTTGCCTAGGTTGGTCTCAAACTGCGGGGCTCAAGTGGTCCTCCTGCCTCAGCCTCTCAATGTACCGGGATTATAGGTGTGAGCCACTGCTCTCAGAGTAATTTTCTTTTATTGTATGGTCCTTGTCTGTCTTTCATATCAGAGTAGTCCTACCCTCATGAAATGAGTTTGGAATTTTGCCCTCTTCTTCAGTTTTTTGAAAGAGTTTGAGAAGGACTGGTTTTCTTTCTTCTTTAAGTGTTTTGTAGAATTCATGAGTGAAACCATCAAGTCCTGGACTTTTCTTTTAAACAGCTTTAAAGATATAATTTACATATCATACAATTCATCCATTTAAAGTGTATCATCCAGCCTAAATGCCCATCAACCAACAAGTGGATAAAGAAATGTAGTATATACACCATGGAATACTACTCAGCTATAAAAAGAAATGAAATAATGGCATTTGCAGCAACCTGGATGGAGTTGGAGACCATTGTTCTAAGTGAAGTAACTCAAGAGTGGAAAATTAAATATTGTATGTTCTCACTTACAAGTGGGAGCTAAGCTAGGAGGATGCAAAGGTATGAGAATTATATAATGGACTTTGGGGATGTGGGAGGAAGGGTGGGAGGAGGTGAATGATTAAAGACTACACATTGGGTATAGTATACGCAGCTCTGGTAACCAGTGCCCCAAAATCTCAGAAATCACCACTGCAGAACTTATCTATGTAACCAAAAACCATCTGTTCCCCAAAAACTATTGAAATGTAATAAAAAAGAGAAATAACAAAAATAAATAAAGTCTATAATCCAGTGGTCTTAGTATGTTCACAGAGTTACACAACCATCACCACAATCAATTTTAGAACAGTTTCATCACATAAAAAACTTCATAACCATTAGCAGTCATTCTTCCTTTTCCTCCCCGCTCCCACCTATTGTCTTCCCCTCTTCCCCTAGCCCCAGGCAATTACTTATCTACTTTCTAACTCTATATAATTGCCTATTCTGGACACATGTTTAATATATTATATACATTTCTCCTATATAACTGTAATTACATATCCTTTGACCACCATCTCCCTATCCCTACCTCTCCCTTAACCATCCACACCTCTGGTAACCAACATTCTACTCCCTACTTCTGTGAGATCAAGTTTTTTCTCACTCACATATGAGTGAGATCATCCAACATTTGTCATTTTATGCCTTATCTATTTAACTTAATGTTCTCCAGGTTCAAACATGTTGCAACTAACAGGATTGTGTTCTTTTTGATGGCTGAATAGTATTCCATTGTGTATATATACCACATTTTCTTTATCCATTTTTATCTGTAGATGGGACACTTAGGGTGATTCCATATCTTGGCCTTTGTGCATAGTGCTGCAATAAACCTGGAAGCACAGATATCTCTTTGATATACTGATTTTATTTCCTTTGGATGTATACTCAATAGTGGTGTTACTGAATCATATGATAATTCTATTTTTAATATTTTAAGGACCCTATAGAGTGTTTTCCATAATGTCTGTACTAATTAACCTTCCCACCAACAGTGTGTAAGAGTTCATTTTTCTCCACATCCTTACTATTTGTTCTTTTGTCTTTTTGATAATAGCCCTTAAGATAGGTGCAAAGTGATATCTCATTGTGGTTTTGATTTATATTTCCCTGATCATCAGTGATGTTTAACATTTTTTAATACACCTATTGACCTATTGGCCATTTGTATGTCTTCTTTTGAGAAATGTTTACTCAGGTGTTTTGCCCTTTTTAAAATAGTGTTGTTTGTTTTCTTGTCATTAAGTTGTTTGGATTCCCTATAAATTTTAGATATTAATGCCATATCAGTTGTATAGACTGCAAAGATTTTCTCCCACTTTACAGGTTGTGTTTGCACTTTGTGGATTGTTTTCTCTGCTGTGCAGAATCTTTTTCTTTGAATGTAATCTCATTTGTCTATTTTGCTTTTTGTCATCTTTGATTTTGAGGTCATATCCAAAAAAAAATCCTTACCCACACCAATCTCTGAAGCCTTTCCCCTATATTTTCTTCTAGTAGTTTCATGGTTTCTGGTCTTATGTTTAGGTCTTTAATCTTCTTTGACCTTTTTATACATAAGGTGAGATAAGGGTCTAATTTCATTGTGCATGTGACTATCTACTTCTTCCTATCCTACTTACTGAAGAGACTCCTTTTCCCAATATGTGTTCTTGGTGACTTACTCGATCGAAAATCTATTGTCTCTAAGTGCTTGGAATTATTTCTAGGCTCTCTATTTCTGTTTCATTGGTCAATGTATCTGTTTTTATGCTAGTGCCATGATGTTTTGGTTACTATAGCTTTATTGCATATTTTGCAGCCCCGTAATATGATGTCTTCAACTTTGTTCTTTGTGGTGAAAATTACTTTGGTTATTTGGGGGTTTGTGTGGTTTTATAGGTCTTTTAGGATTGTTTTTCCTATTTCTATAAAAAAGTGTCATTAGTATTTTGATAGTGATTGCATTGAATCTGTATATAGTTTTGAGTAGTATGAATGTTTTAGCAATATTTATTTTTCCAATTTATTCATATGTAATATTCATTTCTTTGTGTCTTCTTCAATTTCTTTAATCAGTTTTTTTGTCATCATAGAGATATTTCACCTTCTTGGTTAAATTTATGTCTGGGTATTTTATTTTATTTTTGCAGCTATTGTAAATGGGATAGTTTTCTTGATTTCTTTTTCAGATAGTTTGCTATTAACATATAAAAAGACTACTAATATTTTTGTTGATTTTTTATCCTTCCACTTTACTGAATTTGCATACTAGTTCTAATAGTTATTGGTGGAGCCTTTAGAGTTTTCTACGTATAAGATGATGTTATTCGCAAACAGGGAAAAATTAACTTCTTCCTTTCCAGTGTGGATGCCTTCTATTTCTTTCTCTTGCCTAATTGCTCTGGCTAGGACTTCCATACTATGTTGAATACAAGTAGTGAAATTAGGCATCCTTGTCTTGTTGCCGATTTCAGTGAAAAAGCTTTCAACTTTTCCCCACTGAGTATAATGTTAGCTGAGGGTTTGTCATATATGACCTTTATTGTGTTGAGATGCATTCCTTCTACACCTAATTTGTTCAGAGTTTTTATCATGAAGAGTGTTGAATTTTGTCAAACACTTTTTCAGCATCTATTAAAATGATTATATTTTTCCTTCATTCTGTTAATTTAATGTATCACATTTATTGATATTCATATTTTGAACCATCCTTGCATTTCTAGGATGTATCTCACTTGATCATGGTGAACAATCTTTTCCACAGACTGTTGAAATCAGTTTGATAGCATTTTATTGAGGATTACTGTATCTATGTTCCTCAGGGATATTGGTCTGTAGTT
This sequence comes from Homo sapiens, assembly GCF_000001405.40. Lineage (NCBI taxonomy): Eukaryota > Metazoa > Chordata > Mammalia > Primates > Hominidae > Homo > Homo sapiens. Next base: position 4,359,868 of record NC_000011.10, on the reverse strand, counting down.
TTTCTTCTTTTGTTTTTGGGACCTTGTCTGGTTTTGGTGCCTGGGTACAGCCGACCTTGTAGAATTAGTTGGGAATAATTCCCTCCTCTTTAGTTTTTTGGAATATTTTGTGAAGAATTGGTAGTAAATCTTCTGTAAATATTTGACAAAATTAAGCTGTGCGGTACTGAGCTTTTTTTGATGGCTTCCTTTTATTATTGATTCAATCTCCTTGCACATTATTGGTCTGTTCAGGTTTCCATTTATTCATAATGCAATTTTGGTAGCTCCTATGTTTCCAGGAATTTATCTATTTCTTCTCGATTTTCCAATTATTTGGTGTATAATTGTTCATAATAGTCTTCAGATCCTCTATGATTTCTGCGATATCAGTTGTAACGTCTCCTTTTTCATCTCTCATTTTATTTATTTGAGTTTTCTCTCTTTTTCTTAGTCTAATTACCGGTTTGTCAATTTTGTTTATCTTTTCAACAAATCAACTCTTCTTTTTATGTCTCTCTTCTATTGTTTGTCTTTAAACAATATAAAGTAGTCTAGTTTTATAGGTAAAATAGGAGTACTAATTTTGCATTTGCTCTTGTTTTTCTATTTTCTTGAGGTAAAATGGTAGGTTGTATATTGGTGCTGTTTCTTCTTTTGTTTTTATTTTTAATTTTTGTGGATAAATAATCGGTGTATATATTTATGGGGTGCATTATATGTTTTGATACAGGCATGTAATGCATAATAATCACATCATGGAGAACGAGGTATACATCTCAAGCGTTTATCTTTTGTGTTACCAACAATTCACTTTTACTCTTTTAGTTGTTTCAAATGTACAATCAAATTATTGTCAACTGTAATCATCCTTTTGTGCTATCAAAGAGTAGGTCTTATTCATTCTACTTTTTGTATCCATTAACCAACCCCACCTCCTCCCCAACCCCCAATACACTTCCCAGCCTCTGGTAACCATCCTTCTACTCTCTATGTCCATGAGCTCAGTTGTTTTGATTTTTAGATCCAGCATAAATGAGAATATGCAATGTTTGTCTTTCTTTGCAAGCTTTATTTCAGTTAACATAGTGATCTCCAGTTATATTCATGTTGTCACAAACAACAGGATCTCATTCTTTGCATGGCTGAATATTACTACTGAATATTAGAATAATAGTAATCCATTGTGTACATTACCAGATTTTCTTTATTCATTCATCTGTTGATGGACACTTGGGTTGCTTCCAAATCTTGGCTACTGTGAATAGTGCTGCAATAAACATAGGAGTGCAGATATCTCTTCCATATGCTGGTTTCCTTTCTTTTGGGTGTATACCCAGCAGTAGGATTGCTGGATCCCATGGTAGCTCCCTTTTCAGTATTTTGAGGAACCTCCAAACTGTTCTCCATAGTGGTTATACTAGTTTGCATTCCCACCAACAGTGTACAAGAGATTGCTTCTCTTCACATCCTCACCAGCATTTGTTATTGCCTGTCTCTTGGATAAAAGCCATTTTAACTGGGGTGAGGTGGTATCTCATTGTAGTTTTAATTTGCATTTCTCTGACGAGCAACGCTATTGCTTTCATAGGAGGCACCTTTTCATAAGCCCATTTGCCATTTGTATGTCTTCTTTTGAGAAATGTCTATTCAAACTTTTGCCTATTTTTTAATCGGATTTTTAGACTTTTTTCCTATAGCATTGTCTGAACTCCTTGTATACTCTGGCTATGAACCCCTTTTCAGATAGGTACTTTGTAAATATTTGCTACCATTCTGTGGGTTGTCTCTTCACTTAGTTGAATGTTTCTTTTGCTGTGCAGAAGTTTTTTAACTTGATGTGATCCTATTTGTCCATTTTGGCTGTGGTTGCCTGTGCTTGTGGGGTATTGCTCAAGAAATTTTTGCCCAGACCATTGCCTGGGAGAGTTTCCCCAATGTTTTCTTGTAGTACTTTCTTAGCTTGAAGTATTAGACTTAACGCTTTAGTCCATTTTGATTTGATTTTTGTATATGGTGAGAGATTCAGTGATACAGCCTAGTTTCTTTTTTTTTTGCATGTGGATATCTAGTTTCCCTAGCACCATCTGTTAAAGAGACTGCCTTTTCCCCAGTGTATGTTCCTGGCACCTTTGTCAAAAATGAGTTTACTGTAGGTGTGTGGATTTGTTTCTGTGTTCTTCATTCTGTTCCATTGGTCTATGTGTCTGTTTTCATGACAATACCATGCTGTTTGGGTTACTATAGCTCTGTAGTATGATTTGAAGTCAGGTAATGTGGCTCTCCCAGTTTCGTTCATTTTGCTTAGGATGGCTTTGGCTATTCTGGGTCTTTTGTGGTTCCGTATACATTTTAGGATTTTTTTTATTTGTGTGAAGAATGCCATTGATATTTTGATAGTGATTGCATTGAATCTGTAGGTTGCTTCGGGTAGTATGGACATTTTAACAATATTGGCTCTTCCAATCCATGAACGTGGAATATCTTTCCATTTTTTTTGGTATCCTCTTCAATTTCTTTCATCAGTTATTTGTTTCTTTCCCCTGCCACTTTCAGAATCTTTATTTTTGAACTTTGACAGTGTGATTATAATTCATATTGGGGTAATCTTACTTGGATTTAATATGACATAGATTATGTATATTAAATACATTTTTACTTTAAATATCTTCAACTTATGATTACTTTATTGGGATGTAACCTCATCATACATCAAGGAACATTCATATGATAAAGCAAGTAGAGTTAAAATTTAATGAAAGAATCTTGGTGGTTGACTATATAATTGGTCATAATTTTTTTTTAATTTTCTGTATATTTGAAACTTTGTATAATAAAATAATAAAAAATTTATTTACTTGAATAAATCATGGTGACTCTTTAAGAATAGCCAATACAGAATAATGGAAATAAAATGATTATAAAGGTTACCAATTCTTGATGTTCTTAGATATCCATTGTTAATAAATTTTAATGTATACTGTTATATGTTTTTCGTGTGTATGAGCATTTGTGTGTGTGAATGTTTGTTGTTTCCCTAGTATCTATTGCATCTACTATCATTACTAACATAATAGTTACTAAATCAAGAAAATAATTTTTCATTTTAAAAAGCAAAAGTATGAAATTCTCATTGTAGACTATTTGGAAAATAAATGTACAAAGGATTTCCTTTTTTACTCTTGTGTTTATGGTACATTCTGTTTATCTCCTACTTGAACTTTTAAATGCATTTGGAAATCAAACATTTTTATTTCAATAATTTATACCCTATTATTTTACACATATTTCTAACAAGTATTTATCATACTTGAAACATATTTCAACTAGCTGCAAATTACAACAATTTAGTTACCAGTGTAACTTTTTCATATTTAACATCTACTGTATTTCACATTTTACAGTTTGCCCAAAAAGTAATCTTTTTTACAAGAATTTCCTTATTTTATCTGTTCTTTAATTCTAGTTATATAGGAGGACCTACATTTTATGTAGTCAAGTCACCAAACATTTTCTCTGGGTGTTTCCCTTCTCTTTTTAACTTCAGGAATTGTTCTGATTCTAATATAAGTCTATTACTTACTCTGTCTTTATTCCATTTATTTTAGATTTTAAATTGATATATGTAATATTTCAACAATATGTTATTTAAAAATATAATGTAATAATATTATAATTACCAACAATTACACTCATAAAAATAATTATTAATATTGAAAACATGTCATTATTTAATCATATTTTCATGTATTTCTATGTTGTATAATGATTAGTATATTATTACTTAACGTTACATGACAAGAATTTCCTTTGGTACAAAATGAACTTCACATATTTATTTAACTTTATTTAATACTGCCTAACAGATTTTCACATAAACAATATATTACAAAATATATCATTTTAGCCAACCTATAGATTCTTATTGAATATTTATTTCAGATGATTTCCCAGTATCAATAAACTTGTCATAAACATGATTATTCATAAATTTTTGTATGTGCTCTATGTTACTTTTTTATATGGGATAGATTCTTAAAGTTTTCTTATTTACATTTGACATGCTCTTGGCCAGGTTGAATATATACAAATTGTTAATACATGTTATGAAAACTAGGATCATTTTTGCTTGTCAACTATACTAAAAATAATTAAATAAAAAATTGTCAAATTAAAGATGCCAGTGCGAGTTATAATTTAAAACATAAATTTTTGTATAATGAAAATTATAATTTCTTAATGGAGAATTTTCTTAATGAGGTGTTATTTCTGCAAAAATGATGGCCTTCTTCCAAGAGCTAGAAGTACATGATCAAAGTACCCAAGGCAATGTTTAGCTTTCAAAAAAAAATTCAGCATGAGTAGAATCCTGAATGGAGTATGTTAGATATCAATGACACTCTCCCAGCCCAATAAATCTATGACTTTAGACAGAAGCATGTCATGCAACAAATTCAGGGTTGTCTTGGTTTTTGTTTTTGTTTTCTAACTAATTGCAAAGAGGGAGACCAGAGGAACAATGGGGTGTCTCAACAAACAAATGAAAGGATTTAGTTATTATAGGATTTAGGGTACAGATTAGTTTTAGGCAAAATAATCAACATTTTAATAAGGTTAAAATAAAGCAGGGGTATCTCTAAAGAGATTAACATAAATACTGAAATCTTATTTTAGAACCCAGCTGCCTGATCTGAGAATGGGTGGCTAAACTCCCCCATTCATCAAAGGTTGGCCTGTGATGTCGTTCTTTTATGAATTTTGGCTTGAAAATCTTTCATTCCCTATTTACGTACATGTACTCAAAATTGGCTAGCCAGAGAACTTTTCACTGAGAACAGGATATGTGGACTGAAACTTACCTAATAAGCAGTAAGCCATAGAAAAATAGGCAGTGAGAGTATTTGGGGCACAGGAAAAAGAAATTTCAAAAAGCCGACTTCTAAAATTAGATGAAGGAGTTCAAAGAATAGAAATGGTTGTAGCAGAGTATTTGTGGAGGTGAAGCAGAAGATAAAGTAGATGAGGTGAATAGAAATCTAATCATGTAGGGTCAAGTATGCAAATGTTAAGATTTGAAGATAGGATTTATGGATTTTTTTCTGATTGAATCTTGGAAAATTGTTGGGGAGGTATAGGAGCAAGTTGATACTATAAAAGCTGAGAAGATAATTCAAGGACAGAACAGTAAAGTATCTTCAAATGCTCCTGAGAGGTTAAAACAAGAGGAGGAGAGAAAAATGATCATTGAAAATATAAAACCACAACTTGCACTATTATTTCCCATGTAAAAAAAAGCTCTATGACATAAAATACATCACATACCACTATACTCTCTTCAGGAGAAGCAACGAAATTGTTGGTTGAAATTGTAGGCTGTTAAAAATCATAGAAATGACTAAATTCACTCTAACAGGATTGATAGAAATAAAAAACTCTGGAAATTTCTGATATTCTTTAAAATCATGTTTTAAACATGAAGTCCTTGCCCATGCCTATGTCCTGAATGGTATTGCCTAGGTTTTCTTCTAGGGTTTTTATGGTTTTAGGTCAGAATAACCAATGCAGAGAAGTCTGTAAAGGACCTGATGGAGCTGAAAACCAAGGCACGAGAACTACATGACGAATGCACAAGCCTCAGTAGCTGATTCGATCAACTGGAAGAAAGGGTATCAGTGACGGAAGATCAAATGAAAGAAATGAGGTGAGAAGAGAAGTTTAGAGAAAAAAGAATAAAAAGAAATCAACAAAGCTTCCAAGAAATATGGGACTATGTGAAAAGACCAAATGTATCTCTATTTGGTGTACCTGAACGTGACGGGGAGAATGGAACCAAGTTGGAAAACACTCGACAGGATATTATCCAGGAGAACTTCCCCAATCTAGCAAGGCAGCCCAACATTCAAATTCAGGAAATACAGAGAATGGCACAAAGATACTCCTCGAGAAGAGTAACTCCAAGACACATAATTGTCAGATTCACCAAAGTTGAAATAAGGAAAAAATGTTAAGGGCAGCCAGAGAGAAAGGTCGGGTTACCAACGAAGGGAAGCCCATCAGACTAACAGCTGATCTCTCGGCAGAAACTCTACAAGCCAGAAGAGAGTGGGGGCCAATATTCAACATTCTTAAAGAAAAGAATTTTCAAACCAGAATTTCATATCCAGCCAAACTAAGCTTCATAAGTGAAGGAGAAATAAAATACTTTACAGACAAGCAAACGCTGAGAGATTTTGTCACCACAAGGCCTGCCCTAAAAGAGCTCCTGAAGGAAGCACTAAACATGGAAAGGAACAACCGGTACCAGCCACTGCAAAAACATGTCAAATTGTAAAGACCATTGAGATTAGGAAGAAACTGCATCAACTAATGAGCAAAATAACCAGCTAACATCATAATGACAGGATCAAATTCACACATAACAATATTAACCCTAAAAATAAATGGGCTAAATGCTCCAATTAAAAGACACAGACTGGCAAATTGGATAAAGAGTCAAGACCCATCCGTGTGCTGTATTCAGGAAACCCATCTCACGTGCAGAGACACACATAGGCTCAAAATAAAGGGATGGAGGAAGATCTACCAAGCAAATGGAAAACAAAAAAATGCAGGTGTTGCAATCTTAGTCTCTGATAAAACAGACTTTAAACCAACAAAGATCAAAAGAGACAAAGAAGACCATTACATAATGGTAAAGGGATCAATTCAACAAGAAGAGCTAACTATCCTAAATATATATGCACCCAATACAGGAGGACCCAGATTCATAAAGCAAGTCCTTAGAGACCTATAAAGAGACTTAGACTCCCACACAATAATAATGGGAGACTTTAACACCCCACTGTCAACATTAGACAGATCAATGAGACAGAAAGTTAACAAGGATATCCAGGAATTGAACTCAGCTCTGCACCAAGTGGACCTAATAGACATCTACAGAACTCTCCACCCCAAATCAACAGAATATACATTCTTCTCAGCACCACACTGCACTTATTCCAAAATTGACCACATAGTTGGAAGTAAAGCACTCCTCAGCAAATGTAAAAGAATAGAAATTATAACAAACTGTCTCTCAGACCACAGTGCAATCAAACTAGAACTCAGGATTAAGAAACTCACTCAAAACCGCTCAACTACATGGAAACTGAACAACCTGCTCCTGAATGACTACTGGGTACATAACGAAACGAAGGCAGAAATAAAGATGTTCTTTGAAACCAACGAGAACAAAGACACAACATTTTCTCTGGGACACATACAAAGCAGTGTGTAGAGGGAAATTTATAGCACTAAATTGCCCACAAGAGAAAGCAGGAAAGATCTAAAATTGACACGCTAACATCACAATGAAAAGAACTAGAGAAGCAAGAGCAAACACATTCAAAAGCTAGCAGAAGGCAAGAGATAACTAAGATCAGAGCAGAACTGAAGGAAACAGAGACACAAAAAAACCCTTCAAAAAATCAATGAATCCAGGAGCTGGTTTTTTGAAAAGATCAACACAATTGATAGACTGCTAGCAAGACTAATAAAGAAGAAAAGAGAGAAGAATCAAATAGATGCAATAAAAAATGATAAAGGGCATATCACCACTGATCTCACAGAAATACAAACTACCATCAGAGAATGCTATAAACACCTCTATGCAAATAAACTAGAAAATCTAGAAGGAATGGATAAATTCCTCGACACATACACCCACCCAAGACTAAACCAGGAAGAAGCTGAATCTCTGAATAGACCAATAACAGGCTCTGAAATTGAGGCAATAATTAATAGCTTACCAACCAAAAAAAAAATCCAGGACCAGATGGATTCACAGCCAAATTCTACCAGAGGTACAAAGAGGAGCTGGTACCATTCCTTCTGAAATTATTCCAATCAATAGAAAAAGAGGGAATCCTCCCTAACTCATTTGATGAGGCCAGCATCATCGTGCTACCAAAGCCTGGCAGAGACACGACAAAAAAAGAGAAGTTTAGACCAACATCCCTGATGAGCATCAACGTGAAAATCCTCAATAAAATACTGGCAAACTGAATCAAGCAGCACATTCAAAAAGCTTAGCCGCCATGATCAAGTGGGCTTCATCCCTGCGATGCAAGGCTGGTTCAACATACGCAAATCAATAAACATAATCCAGCACAGAAACAGAACCAAAGACAAAAACCACATGATTATCTCAATAGATGCAGAAAAGGCCTTTGACAAAATTCAACAACTCTTCATGCTAAAATCTCTCAATCAATTAGGTATTGATGGGACGTATCTCAAAATAATAAGAGCTATCTATGACACGCCCACAGCCAATGTCATACTGAATGGGCAAAGACTGGAAGCATTCCCTTTGAAAACTGGCACAAGACAGGGATGCCCTCTCTCACCACTCCTATTCAACATAGTGTTGGAAGTTCTGGCCAGGGAAATCAGGCAGGAGAAGGAAGTAAAGGGTATTCAATTAGGAAAAGAGGAAGTCAAATTGTCCCTGTTTGCAGACGACATGATTGTATATCTAGAAAACCCCATTGTCTCAGCCCAAAATCTCCTCAAGCTGATAGGCAACTTCAGCAAAGTCTCAGGATACAAAATCAATGTGCAAAAATCACAAGCATTCTTATACACCAGTAACAGACAAACAGAGAGCCAAATCATGAGTGAACTCCATTCACAATTTCTTCAAAGAGAATAAAATACCTAGGAATCCAACTTACAAGGGATGTGAAGGACCTCTTCAAGGAGAACTACAAACCACTGCTCAAGGAAATAAAAGAGGACACAAACAAATGGAAGAACATTCCATGCTCATGGGTAGGAAGAATCAATATCGTGAAAATGGCCATACTGCCCAAGGTAATTTATAGATTCAATGCCATCCCCATCAAGCTACCAATGACTTTCTTCACAGAATTGGAAAAAACTACTTTAAAGTTCATATGGAACCAAAAAAGAGCCCACATCGCCAAGTCAAACCTAAGCCAAAAGAACAAAGCTGGAGGCATCACGCTACCTGACCTCAAACTATACTACAAGGCTACAGTAACCAAAACAGTATGGTACTGGTACCAAAACAGAGATCTAGACCAATGGAACAGAACAAAGCCCTCAGAAGTAATGCTGCATATCTACAACCATCTGATCTTTGACAAACCTGACAAAAACAAGCAATGGGGAAAGGATTCCCTATTTAATCAATGGTGCTGGGAAAACTGGCTAGCCATATGTAGAAAGCTGAAACTGGATCCCTTCCTTACACCTTATACAAAAATTAATTCAAGATGGATTAAAGACTTAAATGTTAGACCTAAAACCATAGAAGAAAACCTAGGCAATACCATTCAGGACATAGGCATGGGCAAGGCCAACACCAAAAGCAATGGCAACAAAAGCCAAAATTGACAAATGGGATCTAATTAAACTCAAGAGCTTCTGCACAGCAAAAGAAACTACCATCAGAGTGAACAGGCAACCTACAGAATGGGAGAACATTTTTGCAATCTACTCATCTGACAAAGGGCTAATATCCACAATCTACAATGAACTCCAACAAATTTACAAGAAAAAAACAAACAACCCCATCAAAAAGTGGGCAAAGGATATGAACAGACACTTCTCAAAAGAAGACATTTATGCAGCCAACAGACACATGGAAAAATGCTCATCGTCACTGGCCATCAGAGAAATGCAAATCAAAACCACAATGAGATACCATCTCACACCAGTTAGAATGGCGATCATTAGAAAGTCAGGAAACAACAGGCGCTAGAGAGGATGTGGAGAAATAGGAACACTTTTACACTGTTGGTGGGACTGTAAACTAGTTCAACCATTGTGGAAGTCAGTGTGGCGATTCCTCAGGGATCTAGAACTAGAAATACCATTTGACCCAGCCATCCCATTACTGGGTATATACCCAAAGGATTATAAATCATGCTGCTATAAAGACACATGCACACGTATGTTTATTGCGGCACTATTCACAATAGCAAAGACTTGGAACCAACCCAAATGTCCAACAATGATAGACTGGATGAAGAAAATGTGGCACATATACACCATGGAATACTATGCAGCCATAAAAAAGGATGAGTTCATGTCCTTTGTAGGGACATGGATGAAGCTGGAAACCATCATTCTCAGCAAACTATCGCAAGGACAAAAAACCAAACACCGAATGTTCTCACTCAGAGGTAGGAATTGAACAATGAGAATACATGGACACAGGAAGGGGAACATCACACACCGGGGCCTGTTTTGGAGTGCGGGGAGGGTGGAGAGGGGAGGGATAGCATTAGGAGATATACCTAATGTTAAATGACCAGTTACTGGGTGCAGCACACCAACACGGCACATGTACACATATGTAACAAACCTGCACGTTGTGCACATGTACCCTGAAACTTAAAGTACAATAAAGAAAGAAAAAGAAGACCTTGTCTTTTGCTAGGCATTCAGCATGGGTATTGATCAATCTAGTCAGGAGTTGAGATGGTTTAGGCTTTGTTTTTGTTATAATGATCCTGAATAAACCACATGTTTAATGGCCTCTAGTGTTACTCTCTTAGTCTATTTCTACTGTTATAACAAAATGCCTGAGACTGGACAATTTATAAATAATAGAAACTTATTCCTCACAGTTTTTGAGCCTGGAACGTGCAAAATCAAGGTGCTTGCAGGTTTGGCATCTGGTGAGGGCCTAGTCTGTTCTTCCAAGATGCCACCTTGAACACTGTATCTTCACAAGACAAAAGAAACAGAAGAGCAAAAAGGGCCTAGGCTAGTTCCCTCCAGCCCTTTGATAAGTTCACTAATTCCATGTAGGAAGGCTCTGCTCTCACGACTTAATCACTTCCTAAAAGCCTTGCCTCTTAATATTATCACATTGGTGGTTGAGTTTTAACATATGAATTTTGGGGAATATCTTCAGACCATAACTTTCCATCCTTAGCCCACCAAATTCATTTCCTTCTCACACACAAAATACGTTCATTCCATCTTAATAGCCCCAAAAAGTTATAACTCATTCCAGTACCAATTCAAAATTCTAAGGTCTAGAGTCTCATCTAAATCAGATATGAGTGAGACCCAAGGTACAATTCATCCTGAGGCAAATTTCTCTCCAGCTGTGAGCCTGTGAAATCAAATAAGTTATGTGTTTCCAAAATACAATGGTGAGACAAGCATAGACTAGACACTTTCATTCTAAAAGGGAGAAATAGCCAAGAAAAAAAAGGGGGGTAATGGGTCCCAAGTAAGCCCAAATCCAAACAAGGTAAATAACATTAAAACTTTAAGCTTGAGAATAATTTTTGACTCCATGCCCTGCCTTCCAGACACACTGGGGTGGCGGTTGGGTCCCAAGGCTTCAGGGGACCCGACCTCCATGTCTTTGCCGGATGCAGCCCATGCTGCAGCTTTCACAGGTTGGAGTTCAGTGCCTGTGGCTCTCTCGAGCTAGAGTTGCACGTTGGTGATTCTACAGGTCTGGAGTGTTGGGAGCAGCCCAGCCCTACAGTTCTCTTGGGCATGACCCAAGTGGAACTGTGAGGTGGCTCCACTACGCATTACCCTCTCTGTGTGACTCTGCCCCTGTGGCAGTTCTCTCTGTGGGCACTGCACTTCAGCCTGGGTGACAGAGACTGTCTCAAAAAAATTAAAAAGGCAAAAGATCTGGACAGACATCTCATCAAAGAAGATACACAGATGGCAAAGAAGCATATGAAAAGGTAGTCAACAACATGTCATTGGAGAATTACAAATTTACACAACATGAGATACCACTACATACCTATTAGAATGGTGAAAATCCAAAACACTGACAACAGTACATGCTGGGGAGGATGTGGAACAGCAGGAGCTCTCATTCACTGCTGATGGGAATGCAAAATGGTACAGCCACTTAAGAAGGCAGCTTGGCAGTTTCTTACAAAACTAAGCATACTCTTACCATACAATCCAGCAATCATGCTCCTGGGTATTTGCCCAAATGAGTTAAAAATGTATGCCCACACGAAAACCTGCAGGAAGATATTTATAGCAGCTTTATTCATAATTGCCAAAATTGGCAATCAAGATGTCCTTCAGTCAGTGTATGCACAAGTAAATTGTAAAAAAAAAAAAAGCAAAAATCAAATAATAACACCTAAATAAAAGATATTCAGGTCAGAAAGGAGGATGTAAACCTGTATTTATTAAGAGATGACATGGCTGCGTATGTAAAAAAAAAATCCTAAGAATCTACACGACACTTGGGATAAATAAATGGATTTAGCAAGGTCAGGGACACCAAGTTTAAAATACAAAAATAAATTATGCTTTATATAAAACCAGCAAATAATTTAAAATACCATTACAAACAATTTTATTTTTCATAACACTAAAACAAAGCATAAAATATCTAAATTTTATGGCTGGGCACAATGACTCTCGTGTGTTATCCCAGCACTTCAGGAGGCCAAGGCAGGCAGATTGCTTGCACTCAGGAGTTCAAGACTAGCCTGGGCAACATGGTGAGCCCCATCTCTACTAAAAATACAAAACAACGTGGCTGGGCATGGTGGTACACGCCTGCAGTCCCAGCCACTCTGGAGGCTGAGGTGGGAGGATCACTTGAAAGCAGGAGGGGTGGCAGGGGCAGTGGTGGAGGTTGCAGGAAGCCAAGAGCTGAGATCGCGCCAGTGCACTCTAGCCTGGGTGACAGAGCAAGACCCTGTCTCAAAAAAAAATCTAAATTTTAGCGGAGCTTAACATTTGAATGTGATCAGAGAAAGAGACATGGCCCAGCGAGCAAGTTGGTCAGTTGAAAACAAGGCAGTTCTGGAATGGCAAAAAAACTGAGGGTCCCACAGGGCACTCTTGGGAGTGCTAATTATTTACAAGAGCCAAAGGATCTTGTGGAACACACCCAAAGGATCTTGGAGGATGCTAAGCAGATGTGGGGCACTTTAACAGTCATGCCAATGGGTCATGCAGTACTAGCAGAATGTTTAGAAAAACCGTTCAGCTCCAAGAAAGACCATCCTCCTATTTAGCCCTCAACTAAATTCACTTGGTGGGTCAAATTCAAAATCCAGCAGAAGGCCTCTAAAAGGTCCTCACGGTAAACAGTTTTCTAGCCTCTGCTCGCAGTTCAACCAAGACCAGAGATGGTCAGAGTCCCCACCAGCCAAATCATTAGCACCCAATTACTATTATTACCACTAAACATGTCCCTGGAAATGAGAAATATTCTGTGACAAACAAAAAGATATTTCTTAAACATAAAACTGTTTCTCCTTTACAAATATGTATATATACACTTACTTGGACTAATTAAATAAAAAGATATGAAAAGGATACATAAAGAAAGAGATAAGTTTATCAGCAGGAAGAAGATTAGTGAATAAGATAACTGAAAATTAAACGTGGATTATTTGGTGGCCAAAGAAAACGAGGGTACAGAATGTTTTTCATAGTTGACCTTGACTTACAGAAGTAGGGAAAATTGATTTTTAAGTGATATTTAGGTATTCCCATGTAAATATTTAAAATATTATTATTACAAATACGAAAGTTTAAATGGCTTTTTTGAAAATGTTATAAACTTAATTCAAGTTCCAAAGAAACACTTTTGATAAAAAGTGTTTCTTAAGTAATTAATATGATTTTCAGGCCGGGCATGGTGGCTCATGCCTGTAATCCCAGCATTTTGGAAAGCCAAGATGAGAGGATCACTTGAGGCCAGGAAATTAAGACCAGCCTGGGCAACATAGGGACACCCCATCTCTACAAAAAAAATTAAAATATGTAAAATTTTAAGAAGAAAATGGGATTAATTTTCTTTTGAAAATTAATCCCAGATCCCATAAAATGGAAACAGGAATAATTGTTGTAGCAATGCTAACACTCTTTTGTTAGGAATAAGTACATGAGCATACTTAAGAAGGGATGGAGATTTAGAGAAAAAGGTGGACTAGGCAGGCTTGGAGAGCCATAATGACTTGGCCAACATGTACGGAATTGAGGAGATGTTGAAAAGATGGTTCTATATTTGGGCTCCCTGGAATAATAGCAGCCCCTCAGGCTTTCAGGCCAACAGATAAAATCTCAGTTCCCTGTCACCCATCACTCTGACAGCCTCGTTGTCACTCACCCCATTCTAGCCCAAGAGAACTCCATTTAAAACAGGTAAGTGATTTTTTTTATTGCTGTGAGTAAAATTACAGTCTAGATAGGAAATGCCCCATCTAGACTAGATGTTATGGGACCTAAAGTAGGTGGCTGAAAATACTAGTACTATTGTCTGGACTTGGGTAGACAGAGTTGGAGAGACTAAAGCAGTGCGGGGTGGAGCCACTTGTACTGGCTCATCTGTGCATATTCCTTGCAAACTTCACATTCAGTGATGTCACGTTGATACCTTGAAAATGACCTTGGTGGGAGTACATACACTGCCAAAACTGGCAAACACTACAATGCAGGGCTTTAATTGATTGACTGATCTTTGTGTGTGTATTTTAGCTGGGTTACCAGCACACCACCAAACCACAGTCATAAATATGGGCTATGCCAGTAGAATGGAAAATGCTGTCTGGGATGGCAGAATGAGGAGACTCTGGGCATGGGGAACCTTTTTACCTCTCAATGTGCCAAAGAACTCTGACCCCGGAGCCCCTCCAAAGAAGGTTCTACATTGGCTCTGATCCTGACTACTGTAACTATCCAAGGTATTAAAGGGACTTATTTACGGCTACCCTGCCCTGATACTTCACACTCACCCAATATTTTGTCATTTGGTTGTTTTGTTAAACATTTTGAGGAGTTGCACTGTGCTGTGATGTACTGAGATCTGGAAAAACACAAAGAAAAACTATAATTCTCAGACCTCAGAAAGTCTTAAATCAGTTAGGGGAAACATTGCCAGGTAATCTAACATACTCCTATTCCTGAGATAGGTCCTCTGATAATCAGACTTTTTGTGAAATCAGAGAGAAGAAATCATTTATGAGGTGAACGTTCTCACAGGCACATTGCTGACACATTCGAGAGATGATTTTTTTTTTTTTTTTTTTTGAGACGGAGCCTCGCTCTGTCGCCCAGGCTGGAGTGCAGTGGCACAATCTTGGCTCACTGCAAGCTCCACCTCCTGGGTTCACGCCATTCTCCTGCCTCAGCCTCCCGAGTAGCTGGGACTACAGGCGCCCGCCACCACACCCGGCTAATTTTTTTTATTTCTAGTAGAGACGGGGTTACACCGTGTTAGCCAGGATGGTCTGGATCTCCTGACCTCCTGATCTGCCCGCCTCGGCCTCCCAAAGTGCTGGGATTACAGGCGTGAGCCACCACACCCGGCCGGAGAGATGATTTTTTAAAATACCCTGAATAAGGGTAATTATCTCACGAACACAAAGAAGGGCAATGGAAGTTAATTCTCTGAGATGCTGAAGATACCTGGACCGAGACAGGAGAACATTCATGAGGCATTTGAGAAGTTGTCTAGATTAGGTTGAGTAGATAAGCAACTACTCAGGTACCCACAATTTCACCCATAGGCCAGGCTCCAGTCATTGGGCTCTTTAACCTCTCTTCTTTGCCTCCCAGAAGCAAAATCCTCTTTACTCTCAAAGTACCAAATGGCCATCCTTAGCTTAGCAGGTCCTCTTCAGGCTTCTCTTTTCTATTTAAGATTTACATTGCTTCATTTGATCTTTTCTTCTGGCTGTTACTTTGTCAGCATAGTGGTGCACACTCTTGGCCATCAACCTCCAATGGCATTTTCATATCTGTTTTGATTTATTCCACCTCCTTCAGAAGGGCGAATTTCTTCGGGGTATTGTATATTTTCATAGTGCTTGTGTGATCACAGGCTGACCTGGTGGTAGTTGCTGTCCACAGCAGGCACATCCTAAGGAGCCTCTATTGGGCTCTTGTCGCATAATTTTATTTTTGAAACAATTTCAGCCATTACTTAGAGGCTACTGCAGGAACCAAAATGGAAGTAAATCTTCCTACTCTGGAAACTGAATTTAGAGATGGGGAGAATGGAACCTGAGAGGCAGGGAAAGAATGATTATGTGTACTTCCTATGTGCTAGATTCTCAGTCAGGCACTGAATAAATACAGACATGCTACAAGTTGTTTATCTATTATACTTCATTATTTCCTGGATCCCTGAACTTCTGCACCACGCTCATCTCCTGAGAATGGGGAAGGGCGTTACACAATAGTAAAGGGTTCAGTTCAACCTGAAGACCTAACTATCCTAAATATATATGCACTCAACACAGGAGCACCCAGATTCATAATGCAAGTTCTTAGAAACCTACAAAGAGACTTAGAATCCCACACAAACATAGTGGGAGACTTCAACACTCCACTGACAGCATTAGATAGATCATCAAGGCAGAAAAAGAGCAAAGATATTCAGGACCTAAACTCAATATTGGACCAAGTGGATCTAATAGACCTTTTTATTATTTATTTTTGAGACACAGTCTGCCTCTGTCACCCAGGCTGGAGTGCAGTGGCATGGTCTCAACTCACTGCAAAGTCCACCTCCCAGGCTCAAGCAATTCTCATGCCTCAGCCTCCCAAGTAGCTGGGATTACTATTACAATTTTATGAGATGGCAATTAGAAAAAAGTCTAAAAAGGCTCCATAACTGGGGATCGATGAAAAAATGGAGAAATACTGGACTAGAGTGAAGAGAAATAAGAAACACTGAGGCATCTGCTAGTAAAAATTTTGAACTCTAAGGAGAAAGAGAAAAATCTTACAAACATCCACTTAAAAAGAACATATTTCCAGCTTCATCCATGTCCCTACAAAGGACATGAACTCATCCTTTTTTATGGCTGCATAGTATTCCATGGTGTATATGTGCCACATTTTCTTCATCCAGTCTATCATTGATGGACATCTGGGTTGGTTCCAAGTCTTTGCTATTGTGAATAGCAATAAACATACGTGTGCATGTGCCTTTACAGAAGCCTGATTTATAATCCTTTGGGTATATACCCAGTAATGGGATGGCTGGGTCAAATGGTATTTCTAGTTCCATCATGCAAACTATCGCAAGAACAAAAAACCAAACACCACAGGTTCTCACTCATAGGTGGGAATTGAACAATGAGAACACTTGGACACAGGAAGGGGAAGATCACACACCGAGGCCTGTTGTGGGGCGGGCGGGGGGTGCAGAGGGAAAGCATCAGGAGATATACCTAATGTAAATGACGAGTTAACGGGTGCAGCACACCAACATGGCACATGTATACATGTGTAACAAACCTGCACGCTGTGCACATGCACCCTAGAACTCAACTATAATAAATATATATATATATTTTAAAAAAAGAGCATATTATCTACAGGAGAAGAATGATGCTGGAATTAGACTTTTTATCTCCAACGCTGGAACGGACAGTGGCATAGCAGTTAAGGACTACTGAGAGAAAGGACTACAGCCCAACAATCCTGTACCCAGCCAAGATGTGGCCCCTCTGTCAGGGTGAAGGAAAGATACACAGCAATTCAGTTTATCTCCTGTGTCCCCCACAGAGAAACCTACTTGAGAGAAGACTTTCCAAACATTATCACTTATGTGAACCTGAACAACAATTCATGGAAATGTAAAGGAAAGAACACAAATCTCTGGGCTTCACCACTAGAGGTTGTGGTTCAGTGGTTTGCGGTCTAAATTTTCATTTTTTACAAGTTCCCAATTAATGCTAATGCTGCTAGTCTGGGAACACACTTTGAGAAACTTTCAGGTGTTTACTAATTTGTTTGTTTGTTTGTTTGTTTGGAGATGGAGTTTCACTCTTCTCGCCCAGGCTGGAGTGCAATGGCATGATCTCTGCTCACTGCAACCTCCGCCTCCCGGATTCAAACAATTCTCCTGCCTCAGCCCTCCAGAGTAGCCAGAATTACAGGCACCCGCCACCACGCCTGGAACATTTTTTGTATTTCTTTAGTAGAGACAGGCTTTCACCATGTTGGCCAGACTGGTCTCGAACTCTGGACCTCAGGTGATCCACCCGCCTCAGCCTCCCAAAGTGCTGGGATTACAGGTATGAGCCACCGCGCCCAAAACGATGACTTCAAGTGAAATGCTGTATAATAAAATTAATTTTATCATAGGCTAGTTGATATGAACAAGAGTCACAAAAACATCACCAAACGTCTAAATAAAGATTCAACACACTTAGAGTATTAAACTTAGAAATAAATGTGAGCTGTACATACAATTAAGAAAGCCTAATAAAACCTAGTAAGATTATTATTCACCCAATTTTTGGTGAGTCAGTGAGTGATGGCGGTCGTAGTTGTGGTAAGTTAAATCAAGGAATAAATGCTTGCAGAGAAAAAATTGTAAGGAGCACCTCCTACTACTACACAGTTAAAAAATCAATAATGACAGACACGGCAGGCTGGCTGATCTATCTTGTACTTTCATCGTTATTGTCTTGCATTTGTATGATTACCACGTTTTATGAATTTTTATTTTTCAATAATTTGTATTCATTCCTTCATTTTCCAACCTGCTGATTCCAGTTCAGAGTGGCAGGTGGCTGGAACCTATCGGCAGCTCAAGGTGTGAGGCAGGAACCAACGCTGGACAGGACCCCATCCGGGGCTCAGGGCACACCCCCATACTGGGACCATAGAGATGTCACTTCATCTAATGTGCACATCTTCGGGACGTGGGAAGAAACAAGAGTATCCAGAGAAAAAACACAAAGACATGGAGAGAATATGCAAACCCCACGCAGACATTGGCCTGCCAGAAGTCAATTTTTTAAGTTAATATTATAATAAAATGATATTATTTGAGGCTGGACACAGTGGCTCATGCCTGTAATCCCAGCACTTTGGGAGACCAAAGCGGGTGGATCACTTGAGCCCAGGAATTTGAGACCAGCCTGGGTAACATGGTGAAACCCCACCCTCTACAAAAAAAAAAAAAAAAATTAGCCAGGCGTGGTGGTACACACCTGTAGTTCCAGCTACTCAGGAGGCTGAGGTGGGAGGATTGATTAAGCCCAGGAGTTTGAGGCTGCAGTGAGCCATGATGGCACCACTGCACTCCAGCCAGGGTGACAGAGCAAAACTGTGTCTCAAAAAAGAAAAAAAAAAAAAAAAGATGTTCTTTGACAACCTGCTGTATTTGCCATGTAAGAATCACCTTAAGAGGGACATAGAAAAATACAATATGTTCCTTTATAGATAGATTTTGTCCCTGCATCAAGGACAAAAGTGATGTCTCTGATCTGATTTATATTGAAATAAATGTGAGCTATACATACATTTAAGAAGGATTACTAAAAACAAGTAAAATTGGGCCGGGTGAGGTGGCTCATAGCAGTAATCTCAGCACTTTGGGAGGCCAAAGCGGGCAGATCACTTGAGGTCGGAAGTACAAAACCAGCCTGACCAACATGGTGAAACCCCATCTCTACTAAAAATACAAACATTAACCGGGTGTGGTGCCGCGTGCCTGTAGTCTTCAGCTACTTGAGAGGCTCAGACAGGAGAATCCCTTGAACCTCGGAGGTAGAGGTTGCAGTGAGCCAATATTGTACCATTGCACTCCAGCCTAGGTGACAGAGCGAGACTCCTCCAAAATAAAAAAATTATTATTTACCCAATATTTGGTAAATCAGTGAGCGACAGAAAACAGAGCGCACCTATAAATCAATCTTGACTGGGTGGGGCCACCTTTGTGGAGAGTTACTGAATTAGGAATGTAATCATTTTGATTGTTCTTGCAATTACTTAGCAGTCCATTATCATAATCTAATCAATCTAAAAGTGACATGATTGTCTTATTTTTTGAAACCCCATTCATAATTTTAAAATCTCGTTTATTTTCTTGATAAATTACACAACTACGAAAAAAATTCTAAACATTGCATTTAAGTATAGAAAAGCTCAAACATAGCTGTACTTGGAGGCAGAGGATTGCATCAATTCCTGCATTCCCTGAAGAATCATTATGATTTCAGTAATATCAAATTCACAAAATGTTGTGTTGAATAACTCTTAAAATACCATAAGCAGATATGTTGTTGAGAATGGGATTTTTTTTGTATTGGTGAAAAATTTTGTGGATTTCCGGACAAAACTATATACAGTGGTCCTGTGATTTATGCAATTGCATTTCTCGAACACTATGAAAATTAAAACAAGCAACAACACTTATAATTTATAATTAAATAGGGTACAGCCTTGCACATCGTGAACATGTTTATCATCCAATTTCATGTCTGGAGGTCACTGGAGAGTCCTATGACATGCTTGCAGGTAGCTTGTCTTGGCCATTGTCCATAGCAGCCCCCATTCACTAGGAGAACCACCAGAGCAAACTCCAGATTTTAAATGAATCCAGACTGGGTGGTGCCACCTTTGTGGAGAGTTACTGCTTTAGGTAATTTAATCATCTTGATTGTTCTTGTGATGAGTTAGGAGATGATTATCACAACCTAATCAATCCAGAAGTCATGAAGTCTCCACCCACTCATTAAGGTGACTCAATATAAACCTGCCTCCTGTGCCTCCACATTAGCTCGTTTGGAAGACCTGGATATAGGTGGTCGTCTCCTCGGCTCCGAGTCCCTGCAGCAGCTGAGGTGCCTGTGTCTCTCTGGTTCCCAGTGGCCGCCATCATGCTCTCCTCCACACTCAGGGTGGCTGTGGTGTGCGTGAGCAATGTCAACAGGAGCATGGAGGCCCACAGCATCCTCAGGAGAAAAGGGCTAAGTGTCCGGTCTTTTGGAACTGAATCTCATGTGAGGCTACCAGGACCAAGACCCAATCGTCCTGTAGTTTACGATTTTGCAACAACATATAAGGAGATGTACAATGACCTCCTCAGGAAAGATAGAGAACGCTACACCCGCAACGGAATCCTACACATCTTGGGAAGAAATGAGAGAATCAAGCCCGGTCCAGAAAGATTTCAGGAGTGCACTGATTTCTTTGATGTCATCTTCACCTGTGAGGAGAGTGTCTATGACACAGTGGTGGAAGATCTGTGTTCCAGAGAACAGCAGACCTTTCAGCCTGTGCACGTGATCAACATGGAAATCCAAGATACCCTGGAAGATGCCACCCTGGGAGCTTTCCTCATCTGTGAGATTTGCCAGTGCCTGCAGCAGTCAGACGACATGGAAGACAATCTGGAAGAGCTGCTGTTGCAAATGGAGGAGAAGGCAGGAAAAAGCTTTCTTCACACCGTCTGCTTCTACTGAACACCTGGGCTGGCTTTGTCCCCTTCCTCAGTAAGAACTTAGGCATGGGACTTTAGTCCGGATTTATTGTGAGAAGCATCTGCAAAGACCTTCCACTGAGTACTGTTTGTGTTACTTTTGTACACATCACCTGGAAAGAGACTATTACCAAGAAAATATTTTATGGGAAATGAGAAGGACTAACATTTTTAAAAGCACTGAAAAATGCTTGGCATTGTGCTAGGTGCATTACATGGCATAACTAATTTCATGCTTATATCATTCTACAAGAAAGCTAGCCCACCATGACGCCATTTTCCAGATGAGCAAACCGAGCTGATAATGGACTGCTGGAAAAATGATTTGTTTAAGGGTATTCAGCAGATAAATAACATTGTATAGATAAGCACCTTTTAAATAAACTTCCTTTTCTCAATTTGAGTGGTTTTTTTTAATTTTTAAATTTTTTAAGTTACTTGAGACCAGTGAAGTGTGGTATGTTAACTTAAATGTTCTTCTTTAATAAGAGTATAATATTACATGTTTGAACAGATCAATGTTTTTACATATAGATTATATCTTTTTTACTAATGCTCACTTTAATAGGTAAAATCCAAGTTGGGTAATGAACTACATATGATTGTAACATTTGGAATTATCTGCTCAAATCATAGGTCATCAAATTAAATGAAATAAAAAATGTAAATAAAAAGTATATTCTTATTTCTGTTTGGGGGATGCATTTCAAGCCACTAAGCGACATGCTTTTGTTTAAACCTTACGAATTACACTGAAAAAAAAGGGATCTTTCATAGTGAAAATTTTATTAGGTTTAAAATATTCATTGGTATGAACACTGAGAACATCAGGTGATAAACCTAATGATGTTTTCAAGGAGAAACAATTGAAACTCTTTTTCATAATCCTTGGTAGTGGCACTAAACCATGTTTACTAATAGGAGAAAAATAGATCAGAAGTAGTTGTTCATAGTTAAATTAATTGACATGTTATCTATTGAACTAGACTTATTACGGCAACCTAAAATAACAGCAGAGATTAGCTCTCAAAATGAGTTTATTTGAATGAAGGACTGGAATCAGGAATATACCGGGTATAACAAGTCACAGGTGTATCCTGAGAGGTTAGGGTAAGGGGAAACTTTTAAAGGCAAAAAGAAGTCCACAGAAGCTGCTTTGAAATAAATTTATTGGTCACAGAAGCTCATTGCAGGAGTCGGCATTAGCTTCTTGGTGGAGACAGCCATTGTTAGGCATGTGTTCTTGTGAGAACATTTTATCTGGAATGCTGCAGTCTTGAAGATATTGCAGTTATAGAAATATGTGTGGCCATGCAGAATGAGCAAAGTGTGTAAGACCTGCTGATGGTGTAAAGCATGTAAGATGTGCCATAATCTCTTGTGGGTTTTAGAGAGTCCTTGTGATAGTTCTTATCTCAAGTACACAAGCATGGGCTCCCCTCCTTCATGACCTTCCAGCTCCACTTCATCAGCCTTCTCCACTGTGAATTTACCCTTTTTCCCATTTTCCATGCTGGACTATTTGGAAAAAGTCCCTATGTGCAGCCCACATTTAAGGAGTGGGGACTTGTGCCCTACTTCCTTGTGGGTGGATTATCCATTTAAATTATATGGACTTACTCCTCACAGATGTGTCTATTCTCCCCCTCATTAATGAATTTATTCAATTATTTCTTCATAGCAGTATGGAATCTTGGATATTTATTTTTCTATGTGGGGTTACAATTCGATCCTGCTTTGTTTTGTTGCTCAAACTTTCTGTTTTGGCCATCGCAAGCACTTTCAGTTGCCTCCTGGGCCCTTTCATGTGCCCCATCGTGGTGTTTGTTTGGTTTTACTTCATTTTTCATGGAAAAGGAAACACTCTGGCATTATGAGATGCCCCAGGTTCATCTTATATATTTCCAGCCTCAGAATCAACAATTTCTCCAAATAATCCTGTTTGTATTACTGGAGGACGATGAGAGTAATCAAAATCAAGTGTGCTTGATGCTACTAAGGTACCAGTGTTTTCTGTCCTGCCTCCTTCGGCTACATTTAAATTTTTTCCCTTTGTCTTAATTTTCAGTTTGATTGTGAGGCATCTACATACAACTTTCTTTGTTTTTAGGCCTCCTTGAAGTTCTGTGAACTTTTTCAATCTGTAATATTTTAGCTTTTTCCCTAATTTGAATAATTTCACAATTATTGCCTCAAAAACAAAAATCAGTCCCATTCTTTCTCTCATTTCATTTTGAGACCCAAACTACACATCTGGTAGACCTTTTGATATTGTTCCTCAAGTACCTGAGGATCTCTTTCTTTTCTTTTTTGTTCTTTTTTTCTCACTTCTTCAGTTGGATAATTCTGCTGATAGACCTTATGGTTAATTTTTAGAAGTAGGATTACTGTGGTCAAAGAGATGTATAGGCCAGAAACAGTGGCTGATGCCTATAATCCCAGCACCTTGAGAGGCTGAGGCAGGAGAATCGCCTTGAGGCCAGGAGTTCAAGACCAGCCTGAGCAACACAGTGAAGCCCTATCTCTACAAAAAAATTAAAAATAGAAATTAGCGAAGTGTGGTGGCACACACCTGAGTCCTAGCTACTTATAAGGCTACTTGGAAGACAGAGTAAACATGTTTTTAGATTTATTAGATATTCAAGATGCCCTCCATAGAGCTTGTAACATTTTTCATTATGACGGGAAAACATGCCTTTTCCCTCACAAACTTGCCAGCAGGGTATAGTGTCAAGCTTTTGAACATTTATCAATCTGATAGTTTATCAGGTATGGTTGCGCATCTGTTAACATAGCTGCCAGCCATTCTCTCTGCTGAACACTCGTGCCATTCCCCCATCATGATGTGCAGTCTATTACCCATCCCCTTCTATCCAGGGACATTGCCTTATGACTCGCTTCAACCAACAGACTGAGCTTGAAGTATTACATGCTCTGCTTCATGGATTAGACTTGTGTAAAACCACAAACAAGCCACATGGTGATTACACAATCCAGGTCAGACCTTGGGGTAGATCGGACATGGGGCCGGGAGCTGTGGCTCACACCAGTAATCCAAAATACAAAAATTAACCAAGTGTGGTGCTGTGCACCTGTACTCCCAGCTACTTGGGAGGCTGAGGCAGGAGAATTGCTTGAACATGGGAGGCGGATGTTGCAGTGAGTGAGCCAAGATCGCACCACTGCACTCCAGCCTGGGCAACAGAGCGAGACTCTGTCTCAAAAAAGAAGAAGAAGAAGGAGGCTCTCCCTCTCCCTCTCCCTCTCCACGGTCTCCCTCTCCCTCTCCCTGGTCTCCCTCTGATGCCAAGCTGAGGCTGGACTGTACTGCCGCCATCTCGGCTCACTGCAACCTCCCTGCCTGATTCTCCTGCCTCAGCCTGCCCAGTGCCTGGGATTGCAGGCTCGCGCCGCCACGCCTGACTGGTTTTTGTGTTTTTTGGTGGAGAAGGGGTTTCGCCGTGTTGGCCGGGCTGGTCTCCAGCTCCTGACCGCGAGTGATCTGCCCGCCTCGGCCTCCCAAGGTGCCGGGATTGCGGATGGAGTCTCGCTCACTCAGTGCTCAATGTTGCCCAGGCTGGAGTGCAGTGGCGTGATCTCGGCTCGCTACAACCTGCACCTCCCAGCCGCCTGCCTTGGCCTCCCAAAGTGCCGAGATTGCAGCCTCCGCCCGGCCGCCACCCCGTCTGGGAAGTGAGGAGCGTCTCTGCCTGGCCGCCCATCGTCTGGGATGTGAGGAGCCCCTCTGCACAGCCGCCCAATCTGAGATGTGAATAGCGCTTCTGCCCGGCCGCTACCCCGTCTGGAAACTGAGGAGTGTCTCTGCCCGGCCGCCCAGTCTGGGAAGTGAGGAGCGCCTCTTCCTGGCAGCCATCCGGTCTGGGAAGTGAGGAGCGTCTCTGCCCGGCCGCCCATCGTCTGAGATACGCGGAGCCCCTCTGCCAGGCCGTGACCTCGTGTGGGAACTGAGGAGTGTCTCTGCCCGACCGCCACCCCGTCTGGGAGGTGAGGAGTGTCTCTGCCCCGCCGCCCCTTCTGAGAAGTAAGGAGCCCCTCCGCCCAGCAGCCGCCCCTCCTGGGAGGGAGGTGGGTGGCAGCCCCCTCCCGGCAGCCGCGCCGTCCGGGAAGTGGGGGGCGCTTCTGCCCGGCTGCCCCGTCTGGGAAGTGGGGGGCGCCTCTGCCAGGCCACCACCACGTCTTGGAGGTGTGCTCAACAGCTCATTGGGAATGGGCCATGATGACGATGGCGGTTTTGTCGAATAGAAAGGGGGGAAATGTGGGGAAAAGAAAGACAAATCAGATTGTTGCGGTGTCTGTGTAGAAAGAAGTAGACATAGGAAACTCCATTTTGTTCTGTACTAAGAAAAATTCTTCTGCCTTGGGATGATGTTAATCTATAACCTTACCCCCAACCCCGTGCTCTCTGAAACATGTGCTGTGTCCACTCAAGGTTAAATGGATTAAGGGCGGTGCAAGATGTGCTTTGTTAAACAGATGCTTGAAGGCAGCATGCTCGTTAAGAGTCATCACCACTCCCTAATCTCAAGTACCCAGGGACACAAACACTGTGGAAGGCCACAGGGTCCTCTGCCTAGGAAAACCAGAGACCCTTGTTCACATGTTTATCTGCTGACCTTCCCTCCACTATTGTCCTATGACCCTGCCAAATCCCCCTCTCTGAGAAACACCCAAGAATGATCAATAAATACAAAAAAAAAAAAAAAAAAGAAGAAGAAGAAGGAGAATGAGAAGATTGGACGTGGGAAGTGAGGAGGGAGAGGAAGTAAAAGAGAGGAAATAAAACAATTACAAATAAAGCTATTAACATACTTATAATGTTAAGTTTTTTTATGAAACAAAGTATTTCCCTCATTTTTTGAGTGTTTTGTTAGTCTTCTTATGGTAATTTTAAAACGGAAGAAAAAACACACATACACAAATACAGAAAACCAAACAAAAATAAAGGAGTTGCTTAAGAAATTATTATAAGGCATACATCATGTAATCAAGAAATAGAAATTTGTCAGACACACCTAAAGCAATGTTCATTTGACTGGTCCTTATCACAATATCCTTCTTTCTGGCACAACTCACTTTTATAGTTCAGATTCATCTTCAAATCTTCCTGAAATTTGTATCCAAATGTCATTTTTCATCTTCAATAACCATGTGAACACCCATTTGCCTCTTTCTCTGGCTACTTCCTCAAGAAATCATTGTATTTTCATTACAGTAAATCTAAGTCTTTATTTCCCACTCTACATAGTATATAGTCAGATACGCGAGGTCACCATTACGACTTCCAATCAGAGCTCCCCTCCCTCTACCCAATAAACCAATACTAGAGGTGTTCAACAACCTAGAAAGTCTTCTTACCATATCTGCCCAACATATCATCGTGCCCCATACTTCCCACACCCTGGATTTTTAGTGATTATATAAGCTCTCACTTCTCATGCTTCCTCACAACCAACTACTGCCACAGTTCTTAGCAATTCCAGCATCCACACAGATTATCCACCCAGCACCCTCAACACTCTCACTTCTTCTCCAATTGCACTTGTCTACACCCCACCAGACATACCCATGGTCATAGTCATCAAGAACCTCACCACTAGATCAAAATCTGAAACAGTCATGCCCCAACTATAAGACCACATCTTTCCATTCACTTTTGCTTCTTTATTTAAACTATAAGGGCTGTTTGACCATGCATTGTGCCACAACCCATGGATTCCAGCCCAATCCCTACTTATTCACCCTTTCTGGTCCAAAACCAGGTTTCATCGTTTATCACTATAATTACACCCTTTCAAACTCCCGAAGCTTTTCTGCACCTTGCTCTTCTGTCACATTTGCATTGTCCATGTCCAAACAGAGAGAAAAGAGAAACTCAACCACCTTGTCATGTTTTTCCAAATGGATTGGCTGGAAAAAGTAGTATCTATGGGACAGTCTCACTTTTATCTTCAGAAGAGCTCTCACAAAAAACTACACTCAGGTTTGTATTCCCATATTTTAAAACAATTATCTATGCCAAATATCCTCACCCCATCCCCAATCATGATCCTGACTGCCCACTGCCAGCTGATGGCCTTATCTTAAGCCACATTGACAGAATAGAGAGAAACTATCAGTGAGGAAACACCTCACTGCCCTACCACCAAAACCTTCACTTATATATTTGGACCCAGCCACCCTTAAAATCAGAAATCTGAGAGTGATTCAAAAGTCCTCCTTTTCTCATCAAGAAGTCTCTCATGTCAGCTCTAACATCCCTCTCCAATGTGTCCATTCTTCTGCCTTTTGACAGACACTTCCCTCCCCCAAGCTTCCAACCTCTCCTCTGCGAACTACTGTACCAGCTGGGTTCCCCACTTCCACTTGCCTCCTGCTACCCACGCTGCAAGAGGAAAAAGAATATTTTCTTACAACTTTGAAAGTTTCTGATACCAAAAATGTGAAAGTTGTTACTACCAAGATGAAGTCCACTATCGTCAGATCCAGGTGAAGTGGAGCTGCAGGGTCATGAAGGAGGGGAGCCCATGCCTGTATATCTGAGATAAGAGCTATCACGACTCCCTAAAACCCACAAGAGATCATGGCACATCCTACATGCTTTACACCACCAGCAGGTCTTACACACTTTGCTCATTCTGCATGTTCACACATATTTCTGTAACTGCATTATATTCAAGACTGCAGCATTCCAGATAAAATGTTCTCGCAGGAACACATGCCTAGCAATGGCTGTCTCCACCAAGAAGCTAACGCCAACTCCTGCAGTCAGCTTCTGTGACCAATAAACTTTGTTTTAAAGTAGTTTCTGTGGACTTCTTTTTGCCTTTAAAAGTTTCCCCTTACCCCAACCTCTCAGGATGCACCTACAACTTATTATACCTGGTGCATTCCTGTTTGCAATCCTTCATTTAAATAAACTCATTATCTTTGGAAAGCTAATCTCTGCTGTTATTTTAGGTTGCCATAATAAGTCTAATTCAGTAGATAACATGTAAATTAATTCAACTCTGAACAACTACTTGTGATCTATTTTTTCTCCTATTAGTGAACATGTTTTAGTGCCAATACCAAGGATTACGGAAAGTGTTTCACTTGTTTCTCCATGAAAACATCATTAGGTTTATCACCTGATGTTCTCAATGCTCAAATCAATAAACATTTTCAATTTAATACAATTTGAATCTCTCAATATGAGAGATTGCTTATTTCAGTGTAATCTATAAGCCTTAAATAAAAACATGTGGCTTAGTGGTGTGAAATCCATCCCCCAACATAAATAAGAATATACTTTTTTTGAAATTTTTTATTTGATTTGGTGACCTATTATTTGAGGAGATAATTCCAAATTTTACGATAATCTGTGGTTTGTTATCCAACTTGGGTTTTTTTTTTTTTTCAGTGTAATTCATAAGGTTTAAACAAAAGCATGTCGCTTAGTGGCTTGAAATGCATCCCCTAAACAGAAATAAGAATATGCTTTTTATTTACATTTTTTATTTCATTTAATTTGATGACCTATGATTTGAGCTGATAATTCCAAATTTTACAATCATATGTAGTTCATTATCCAACTTGGATTTTACCTATTAAAGTGAGCATTAGTAAAAAAGATATAATCTATATGTAAAAACATTTATCTGTTCAAACATGTAATATTATACTCTTATTAAAGAAGAACAACATTTAAGTTAACATACCACACTCCATTGGTCTCAACTAACTTAAAAAATTAAAAAATTAAAAAGAAACCACTCAAATTGAGAAAAGGAAGTTTATTTAAAAGGTGCTTATCTATACAATGTTATTTATCTGCTGAATACCCTTAAACAAATCATTTTTCCAGCAGTCCATTATCAGCTCGGTTTGCTTATCTGGAAAATGGCGTCATGGTGGGCTAGCTTCCTTGTAGAATGATATAAGCATGAAATTAGTTATCCCATGTAATGCACCTAGCACAATGCCAAGCATTTTTCAGTGCTTTTAAAAATGTTAGTCCTTCTCATTTCCCATAAAATATTTTCTTGGTAATAGTCTCTTTCCAGGTGATGTGTACAAAAGTCACACAAACAGTACTCAGTGGAAGGTCTTTGCAGATGCTTCTCACAATAAATCCGGACTAAAGTCCCATGCCTAAGTTCTTACTGAGGAAGGGGACAAAGCCAGCCCAGATGTTCAGTAGAAGCAGACGGTGTGAAGAAAGCTTTTTCCTGCCTTCTCCTCCATTTGCAACAGCAGCTCCTCCAGATTGTCTTCTATGTCGTCTGACTGCTGCAGGCACTGGCAAATCTCACAGATGAGGAAAGCTCCCAGGGTGGCATCTTCCAGGGTATCTTGGATGTCCATGTTGATCACGTGCACAGGCTGAAAGGTCTGCTGTTCTCTGGAACACAGATCTTCCACCACTGTGTCATAGACACTCTCCTCACAGGTGAAGATGACATCAAAGGAATCAG
This sequence comes from Homo sapiens, assembly GCF_000001405.40. Taxonomy (NCBI): domain Eukaryota; kingdom Metazoa; phylum Chordata; class Mammalia; order Primates; family Hominidae; genus Homo; species Homo sapiens. The sequence goes on along the minus strand of NC_000011.10, from coordinate 4,330,168 downwards.
TGCACTCCTGAAATCTTTCTGGACCGGGCTTGATTCTCTCATTTCTTCCCAAGATGTGTAAGATTCCGTTGCGGGTGTAGCGTTCTCTATCTTTCCTGAGGAGGTCATTGTACATCTGCTTATATGTTGTTGCAAAATCATAAACTACAGGACGATTGGGTCTTGGTCCTGGTAGCCTCACATGAGATTCAGTTCCAAAAGACCGGACACTTAGCCCTTTTCTCCTGAGGATGCTGTGGGCCTCCATGCTCCTGTTGACATTGCTCACGCACACCACAGCCACCCTGAGTGGGGAGGAGAGCATGATGGTGGCCACTGGGAACCAGAGAGACACAGGCACCTCAGTTGCTGCAGGGACTCGGAGCCGAGGAGACGACCACCTATACCCAGGTCTTCCAAATGAGCTAATGTGGAGGCACAGGAGGCAGGTTTATATTGAGTCACCTGAATTAGTGGGTGAAGATTTCATGACTTCTGGATTGATTAGGTTGTGATAATCGTCTCCTAACTCATCACAAGAACAATCCAGATGATTAAATTACCTAAAGCAGTAACTCTCAGCAAAGGTGACACCACCCAGTCTGGATTCACTTAAAATCTGGAGTTTGCTCTGGTGGTTCTCCTAGTGAATGGGGGCTGCTATGGACAATGGCCAAGACAATTAAGCTACCTGCAAGCATGTCATAGGACTCTCCAGTGACCTTCAGACATTAAATTGGATGATAAACATATTGACAATGTCCAAGGCTGCACCCTATTTAATTATAAATTACAAGTGATGTTGCTTGTTTTAATTTTCATAGTGTTCGAGAAATGCAATTGCATAAATCACAGGACCATTGTACATAGTTTTGTACAGAAATTCACAAAATTTTTCACCAATACAAAAAAAATCCCATTCTCAAAAACATATCTGCTTATGGTATTTTAAGAGTTATTCTACACAACATTTTCTGCATTTGATATTACTGGAATCATAATGATTCTCCAGAGAAGGCAGCAATTGCTGCAAGCCTCTGCCTACTTTAATATGCCTTCAGGTACAGTTGTGTCTTAGTTTTCGGTACTGAAATACAATGTTTAGAATTATTTTTCTTTAAAAGTTTGTAAAATTTATTAAGAAAATGAAGAGATTTTTAAATTATGAAAGGGGTTCCAAACATTAAGGATAATCCTGTCACTTTATAATCAGTCACCTTATGGTTGATTAGATTATGATAATGGGCTCCTAACTAATCGAAACAATCATCAAGATTATTAAATTCCTAAAGCTGCAACTCTCCACAAAGGGGGCCCCACCCAGTCGGGATTTATTTATAGGTTAGCTCTGTTTGCTGTCACTCACTGATTCACCAAAAATTGAGTAAATATTAACCTTGCTTTTTTTTATTAATTTTTCTTAATTGTATGTATAGCTCACATTTTTATCAATGTAAATCAGATCAGGGACATCACTTTTGTCCCTGGTGCAGTGACAAAATGTATCTATAAAGCAATATATTGTATTTTTCTATGTCCTTCTTAAGGTGATTCTTACATTGCAAATACAGCAGGTTCTCAAATAACATCCTTTTTTTTCTTTTTTCATTTTGACAAAGGGTCTCACTCTGTCACCCCGGTTGTAATGCAGTGGTGCCATCATGGCTCACTGCAACCTCAAACTCCTGGGCTCAATCATTCCTCTCATCTCGACCTCCTGAGTAGCTTGGACTACAGGTGTGTACCACCATACCTGAATAACTTCTGTATTTTTTGTAGAGGATGGAATTTTACCATGTTACCCAGGCTGGTCTCAAAAGGCCAGGGGCTCAAGTGATCCACCCGCTTCAGCCTCCCAAAGTGCTGGGATTACAGGCATGAGCCACTGTCCCCAGCCTCACTTAACGTCATTTTATTATAACATTAATGAGAAAAGAATTTGACTTCTGGCGGGGCCACTGTCTCTGTGGAGTTTGCGTATTCTCCCTATGTCTGTGTGGGTTGTCTCTGGATACTCTTGTTTCCTCCCACGTCCCAAAGATGTGCACATTAGGTGAACTGACATCTCTATGGTCCTAGTGTGAGGGTGTGCCCTGAATCCCGGATGGGGTCCTGTCCAGCGTTGGTTCCTTCCTCACACCTTGAGCTGCCGAGATTGGCTCCAGCCACCTGCCACTCCAAAGTGGAATCAGCGGATTGGAAAATGAATGAATGAATACAAATTATTGAAAAATAAAAATTCATAAAATATGTGGTAATCATACAAATGCAAGACAATAATGATCAGAGTACAAAATAGATCAGCCTGCCGTGTCTGTCATTGTTGGTTTTTAACTGTGTAGTAGTAGGAAGAGCTCCTTATAATTTTTTCTTTGCAAACATTTATTCCTTGATTTAACTTACCACAACTACAACCGCTGTCACTCACTGATTCACCGAAATTTGGGTAAATAATAATCTTACTTGGTTTTATTACGCTTTCTTAAATGTGTGTATAACTCACATTTATTTCAAGGTTTAATATTCAAAGTGTGTTGAATCTTTATTTAGAAATTTGGTGATGCTTTTGTGACTCTTGTTCATATCAATTAACCTATGATAAAATTGATTTTATTATACATCATTTCGCTTGAAGTCATTGTTTTGAAGAACCTATTGACCACAGTTAGTGAGTGCTTACTGTATTTTTTAAATCAGTAAACACCTTCAAGTTTCTCAAAGTGTGTGCTCAGCATTAGCCTCAATTGGGAGCTATTAAAAAAAAATGCAAATTTGGACCTCAAACCACTGAATCAGAAACTCGAGTGGTGAAGCCCAGAGATCTGTGTTTTTCAAAGTCTTCCTAATAATTCCAAAAGCCAAAGTTTTAGAAGAACTTCCCTAGAGATTTTTGAAACTTGACTATACATTAGAAGCATCTGAAGAATTGTTAAATGCACTGCTTCGGGCATAGAGAATGAACAGGATTTTCTTGAAAAACCAAATGAGAGGAAACATTCAACATAAATGAAAAGCTAGTCAGATCTTAAATATGTTGTGAAATGTCTTATCAGACTCAATGACTGAGACCTAAAGAAATCTAACAAATGAAAAGAAGAAAAATCTCAGAGACCAGCTATAAGTGTTACTGAAAAGGAAGATGTTTTGTGTGTTTTGAAAGAATTGAGAAACAGTGTTAAACCAAACCTTGAAGACTGATACACAAAGTGGTTGCATATAATTTCAACAGAAATAAAAGGATAATACCGGGAGGATCAGTATGAAATACTAAATGTATCATATAAGTGAATTTCTACTTGAAACACTTCTTAGAGGTAGTACTACGGGTACTGCCTATGTCCTCAGGGGAAATGACAAGGGCATTTACTATGTTCTGCCTCCAAGTGAAGGCACAAAGTGAGACAAACAAAAAAATCCAGGGAAACAGTATGTGGTTAATTGGATTAGATGTTGAGCTGATGGTAGAGTACCAACTCAGAGACATAAAAGTAGACATAATTTATTTAAACACTAATTGCTTTTCAAAGCACCAGACTTCTTGATTACATAAGTCCAAGTATAGGGGAACACACACAAGACAAAACGTGGAGAAGTGTATTAGAAAAACAATGTGATGAGACAGAGAAAAATGTTTCCGCTGCTATTGCGATATCACAAGTTACACAGGACCTAAACAGAAATAAATAAATCTCAAGATTCTGAGGGAGAACATGGCAAAGGTATTCTGGCTTTTAGGCACCTCGAGACACAGGCATCAATAACAGTTCCAGTTCTGGAATCTGCTAAGAGTGATTTTCCAGTTCAGTGATTGTTAACTGTGGCTGGATATTTCAAGACCTTTCTACCAAACTTTTATAAGATGCCAATGTCTGGGACCTACCCCAGATCAAATGAATCAAAATCTCTGGGCATGGATTATGTTCATCCTGATTTTATTTCTTATTCCTGTGATCCCTTCACCCACCCACATTTCAAAATTTATTTAATGCTAGAATTTAGTCTATACACATTTGGTGTAATGACTTTTTTACTGTACATTCCTCGCATCTTCTTTATTTTATATTGTTATTTCTGCCCTTGGTTTTTATCAAGTTGTTATATACTCCATTTTGTACCTAACTTGAATTTCTACTTGGATTACCCACCCCATTAAATGGTTACCTGCGCTTTCTCTGCCTTCCTGATCAGAACACGTTTCTCTAGTACTTATTTGAAAACAAGAGTTTTGCAATGCTCTTAATTCTTTTTCACTTTTCACTGATCCCCTATTCCTAACTTCCAGGTTTTGCCAGGATATTTTGTTAATTTTAGTTCAATAGCCTTAGTCAAATGTATCTCACAGATAGTTCCTTCAATTTCTGAGTCCTTATTTACAACTGAACTTTACCTGAAGTCTAAACTTCTTTTTCTGTTATACACATAAGAAATTATTGAAATATTTAGTCCCAGCCTCAGTACATGCCTCCATTTCCTTTCTTTTCTTCACATTCCCACCAATTGTTGTTCAGGTTCACATAAGTGATAATGTTTGGAAAGTCTTCTCTCAAATAGGTTTCTCTGTTGGGGAACACAGGAGATAAACTGTCTGAATTGCTGTGTATCTTTCCTTCAACCAAACAGAGGGGCCACATCTCAGCTGGGTCCAGGATTGTTGGGCTGTAGTCCTTTCTCTCAGTAGTCCTTAACTGCTATGCCACTGTCCGTTCCAGCGTTGGAGATAAAAAGTCTAATTACAGCATCATTCTTCTTCTGTAGATAATATGTTCTTTTTAACGGTATGTTTTTTTGTCAGATTTTTCTCTTTCTCTTTAGAGTTCAAAATTTGTACTGACAGATGCCTCAGTGTTTCTTTTTTCTCATCACTCTAGTCCAGTATTTCTCCATTGTTTTAATCAACCCCCACTTAAGGAGACTTCTCAGACATTTTTCCCTAATCGCTTCCCCATAAAATTTTAATAGCATAGATATATTGTGTATTTGTTTATGTACGGCATCTGTGCTCTGTACATAAAGGGAGTGAGATTTCTGTTCACTCCCCCGAGAACCAGATTCTGCCCCATTAGGGACATTATCACTCCTGTTGAGAAAGCATGGTTTAACCTGAAACAGTGAGCCTTTTATTACATTCAAGAAATAATATACTATTCTTTAATTATTGTCTTACTTCCACGAATACCTTTTACTCCTTGTGAAATTCTAGTAATTTACATTTTGTTATTCTTGATTTATCTGCCACATCCCTTCTTTTTTCTCGTGGTTTCTTATATTTCTGCTTTTTGTTTTGAAGTATTTGTCAAATCAAATTTGGATCTCAATTCACTCACTAAATTGTTGATAAGAGAAATCGTGTTTTGGTCTCAGAAAGTGTTGGCCCCTCACATTTTTTTTAATAGAATTTACTTTTCATCCAAGTTGTCATCTTTCTCCCCTCCCCTCTGCATGTCACTGGTAAGTGTTCAGTTTCTTCTGACTGATCATTGCTGACTGCTGGGCCTGCTAACACCGAATCTTTATCACTGACGCTCAAGTTGCTCCTGGACTCCAAATGGGAGTGTTACAGGTAGTTAGACAGACATGAACCAGGCAGGAGAGGGCTCTACCCCCAACCCACCAGGAAGGTCAGGCGACCAGCAAGTGATGGTTGGGCAGTTACCACACTGACTCTCTAAAAATGAGAACTTGGCAGCCAGTGAGGAAAGACAATCTCCTGAGGGTCCATAGCTGCCACACTAAAGTGTTCATTGAACTCGGGCACCAGGGAGAGACAACTTCCCAAACAGATAAAAACACTGGAGATTGGTAATCAGCTTCCCATAAAATCTCAGGATTTGGGCAAGTGAGTCCAGGCATGTGCCTTAAGAGAAAATGGCAGAGTATGACCTTCCGGAGGCATTCCACCAGAAAAGGGAAGAAAGCCTCAGATGGACATGAGTACAATTTCCTAAACACACTGCGCATGCTCACTTCCCAAGCATAAGGAGGGTGTTAGCAGGTGGGCAGCCTACCCTAAGGGAAGAATCATGGGAAAGGGGTGCAATATGCCAAAAATGGGCCACAATATAAAGTCCCAGGATCAAGGTTAAGCAGGGCACTTGTCCTTCAAGTCACCCACTGGAGTCTCTTCCAAGTGTACTTTACTTTCTGCTCTAAAGCTGTTTAATAAGCTTCCACTCCTGCTCTGAGACTTGCCTCGGTCTTTTTTTGCCTTATGCCTCTTAGTCGAATTCTTGCTGCTCTGAAGAGATAAGAACTGAGGTTGCTGCAGACCCGTATGGATTCACCTTAGGTAACTCAGATACCTTCTTCCCCTAACAGGAGCAGTCCCAGAGATGCTAGAAGACAAAGTGGTCTCTGTTGGCCCAAGTCTGGTAGTAAAGAACAAAGCAAGCAGCAGATCTCTTCAGATGCACCTAAATAAAGCCTTTGAGATTCCTGGTCCCCTTCAACCCACTTCAGGATTTCACTTTGGCTTCTTGGGTCCATGAAGAATCTCAGGATACCAAAATCAGCCTCTCTCCTCTTCCCTCCTCGGATCGCAAGCCCAGGGCCTAACTGACAACACTCATAAAGCACCCCCTACCAGTTCTCCCTTCAGGCCCTCAAGCAACCAGTTTCTCTTGGGTGAGTACCTAAGACTGAAATGTCTGGGCTATAGGATAAATATATGTTGAACTTCCTAAGAATTGCCAAGTTTTTTTTCCAAAGTGGTTTAATCAGTTTACATTCCCAGCATCAGCGTCCCCATTGTTCCACAACTTCACCAACATTCATTCTTTCTCACCTTTTCTATTTTAGCCATTTAGTGTTTCTGAGTGGAATTTTGGGATTTTGGTTTGCATTTCCCTGATGACTAAAGATGCTGAGCATCACCTCATGTGTTTATGGTACATTTGTACACCTTGTTTTGTGAAGTTTATTTATAATAATTCATAATAAAATCCATTTTCTATTTTGAAGATTGTTCTTCTTTTTCATTTTATGTATTTGTGCTATTCTTCTCAACTCTTTAAAAAAATAGATTTGCTCCTGTTTCTGTTTTGTTTGGCGTTGTTGTTTTGTTGTTGATGTGTTTCAAACAACCTGGTATGTTACTGTTTGGCAGGGTTGTCTCCTAATAGACTGCAAACCCCTTGAGGGCAAAAGGTAGACTTCTTTATCTGCCCTTCCAGATCAGCCAGAAAAGTTCCTAGAACATAGTAAATGCTCGGTAAATGTTCCTTGTGTCAGTATTGACAGACAATGACTTCCTATTACAGCTCATTGCTGACTCTAGCCCAGCAAGGGGATTGTACTAACTAGGCCCATGCCATTATCTAGGCTCCTGTAGTGTCAGGGGCATGATTACATCATAAAAATTACAACTTTGAGGTTATCTTTCATAGTTCTAGCATCCTCATTATACTAGACTCAATGACCAGAACTGTGCATATTCATCTTGGCTCACTGCTCATACAGTACCTGGATACTTTAGGAATTCAGTTCTTAATTGTGTTTTGTTTTTTAGAGACAAGGTCTTGCTCTGTCACCTACTCTGGAGTACAGTGGCACAATCAAAGCTCACTGCAGCCTTGAACTCCTGGAATCCAGTGATCCTCAGCCTCCTAAGTAGCTAGAACTATATGAGTGTACCACCATGCCAAGCTCATTTTTTTTTCTAGAGATGGGGTCTCACTATGTTGGCCAGGCAGGTCTCGAGCTCCTAACCTCAGGCAATCCTCCCACTTGGGCCTCCCAAAGCATGGCTTGCCAGTTCCTAATTTTTGAACCAAGTCTGCAGCACTGTAGGTAGAGAGGGGAAGCCAGAAGCCATAGTTTATTATCTGAGAAATGTATACTATAAGAAATTTTGGAAAAATACAACCGATGTATCATTTTCCTGAGTTAGCATGGATTGGAAAGGGTAAGCCTATAAGCAGAGACCAGTTAGAAGTCTGGTGTGATCATCCAGGTGACAGAGGATAAATCCTAAACCAGTCCCTTGGGGCTTTGGGACACTTGTGGATAAGCAGAAACTACATCCAACATCTGAGCAAAATGGAGGAGCTTGTACTAACCTTCCAATCAATAGTAAACATAGAAGCTAGGTAAAATACTTAAAGCAACCAAAGTTGTTAAAGAAAAAAACAATCCAAGTGGGACTTGAAGGGAAGATTGCTGGAAAGAATGTACACTAGTGCAGCTATGCAAGCTGCATTTGCCTCTGCTTTTGCCCTCAGAGCATTTGCTAAGTCCTGGCATGTGCAACAAAGACCAAGTTGAAAGGTAGTGGGAGCTTGTAGCATTCTCAGTGTCAGGCCTCTGAGCCCAAGCTAAGCCATCATATCCCCTGTGACCTGCATGTATACATCCAGAGGGCCTGAAGCAACTGAAGAATCACAAAAGAAGTGATATTTAAATGGCCTCTTCCTGCCTTAACTGATGACATTCCACCACAAAAGAAAACAAAATGGCCTGTCCTTGCCTTAACTGATGACATTACTTTGTGAAATTCCTTCTCCTGGCTCATCCTGGCTCAAAAACTCCCCCACTGAGCACCTTGTGAGCCCCCACTCCTGCCCACCAGAGAACAACCCCCTTTTTCCTTTACCTACCCAAATCTTATAAAACGGCCCCACCCCTATCTCCCTTCGCTGACACTCTTTTCGGACTCAGCCTGCCTGCACCCAGGTGAAATAACCAGCCTTGTTGCTCACGCAAAGCCTGTTTGGTGGTCTCTTCACACAGACGTGAATGAAATTTTGGTGCCATGACTCGGATCAGGGGACCTCCCTTGGGAGATCAATCCCGTGTCCTCCTGCCTTTCACTCTGTGAGAAAGATCCACTTACGACCTCATGTCCTCAGACCAACTAGCCCAAGGAACATCACACCAATTTTCAATCAGGTAAGTGGCCTCTTTTTACTCTCTTCTCCAACCTCTCTCACTATCCCTCAACTTCTTGCTCCTTTCAATCTTGGCACCACACTTCAATCTCTCCCTTCTCTTAATTTCAGTTTCTTTACTTTTCTCCTACAGACAGGAGATGAGTTTTATCCGTGGACCCAAAACTTCAGCGCCGGTCATGGACTCGGGAAGACAGTCTTCCCTTGGTGTTTAATCACACGGGGACACCTGATTATTCATCCACGTTTCAGAGGTGTCTGACCACACAGGGATGCCTGCCTTGGTCTTTCGCCCTTAGTGGCAAGTACCACTTTTCTGGGGGGCAAGAACCCCCCACCCCTTCTCTCCGTGTCTCTACCCCTTCTCCGCTTTTCTGGAGGGCAAGAACCCCCCACCCCTTCTCTCCGTGTCTCTACCCCTTCTCTGCTTTTCTGGGTGGCAAAAACCCCCCAACCCCTTCTCTCCATGTCTCTACCCCTTCTCCACTTTCCTGGGTGCAAGCACCCCCCACCCCTTCTCTCCATGTCTCTACTCTCTCTTTTCTCTGGGCTTGCCTCCTTCACTATGGGCAGCCTTTCACCCTCCATTCCTCCTTCTTCTCCCTTAGCCTGTGTTCTCAAGAACTTAAAACCTCTTCAACTCACACCTGACCTAAACCTAAATGCCTTATTTTATTCTACAATGCCGCCTGACCCCAATACAAACTCAACAGTGTTTCCAAATAGCCAGAAAACAGCACTTTCGATTTTTCCATCCTACAAGATCTACATAATTCTTACCGTAAAATAGGCAAATGATCTGAGGTGCCTGATGTCCAGGCATTCTTTTACACATTGTTCCTTCCCTAGTCTCTGTTCCCAGTGTGACTCATCCCAAATACTCCTTCTTTCCCTCCCTCCTGTCCTCTCAGTCCCAATCCCAAGCATAGTTGAGTCTTTCTAATCTTCCTTTTCTACAGACCCATCTGACTTCTCCCCTCCTCCCCAGGCTGCTCCTCGCCAGGCCAAGCCAGGTCCCCATTCTTCCTCAGCCTCCACTCCTCCACCCTGTAATCCTTCTATCACCTCCCCTCTTCACACCCAGTCCAGCTTACAGTTTAGTTCCGTGACTAGCTCTTCCCCACCTGCCCAACAATTTCCTCTTAGAGAAGTGGCTGCAGCTGAAGGCATAGTCAGGGTACATGTACCTTTTTCTCTATCAGACCTCTCTCAGATCAGTCAGCGTTTAGGCTCTTTCTCATCAGACCCCACTAAATACATACAGGAATTCCAATATCTTACTCTGTCCTACAATTTAACCTGGAGTGACTTAAATGTCATCCTGACTTCTACCCTCTCCCCAGGTGAACGAGAATGAGTTTTTTCTCTAGCCCAATCTCATGCTGATAACCACCGGCTTCATGAGCCAGACCTCCAGGAAGGTATTAGAGCAGTTCCTCGAGAGGATCCCCAATGGAACTATCAGGCAGATTCCCCAGGTATAGCTAGGTGAGATTACATGATTTCCCGCCTAATTGAACGGCTTTAAAAGGCAGCTTACAAAGCTGTTAATTATGACAAGCTGAAAGAAACTACCCAAGGTAAAGATGAAAACCCAGCCCAGTACATGGCCCACTTAGCAGTGACCCTTAGACGCTTTACTGCCCTAGACCCAGAAGGGCCAGAGGGCCGCCTTATTCTTAATATGCATTTTATCACCCAGTCCACTCCCAACATTAGGAAAAAACTTCAAAAATTAAATTCCGGCCCTCAAACCCCACAACAGGATCTAATTAACCTCGCCTTCCAGGTGTACAATAATAGAGTAGAGGCAGCCAAGTAGCAACATATTTCTGAGTTGCAATTCCTTGCCTCCACTGTGAGCGAAACCCCAGCCACATCTCCAGCACACAAGAACTCCAAATGCCTGAACTGCTGCTGCCGGGGGTTCCTCCAGAACCTCCTCCCCCAGGAGCTTGCTACAAGTGCTGGAAATCTGGCCACTAGGCCAAGGAATGCCCACATCCCAGGATTCCTCCTAAGCCGTGTCCCATCTGTGCGAGACCCCAGTGAAAATCAAACTGTTCAACTCACCTGGCAGCCACTTCCAGAACCCCTGGAACTCTGGCCCAAGGCTCTCTGACTCCTTCCCAGATCTTCTCGGCTTAGCAGCTGAAGACTGACATTGCCCGATCACCTCGGAAGCCTACAGGACCATCACAGATGCTCTGGGTAACTCTCACAATGGAAGGTAAGTCCATCCCCTTCTTAATCAATAAGGAGGCTACCCACTCCACATTACCTTCTTTTCAAGAGCCTGTCTCCCTTGCCTCCATAACTGTTGCAGGTATTGACTGCCAGGCCTCTAAACCTCTTAAAACTCCCCAACTCTGGTGCCAACTTAGACAATACTCTTTTAAGCACTCCTTTTTCATTATCCCCACCTGCCCAGCTCCCTTATTAGGCCGAGACATTTTAATTAAATTATCTGCTTCCCTGTCTATTCCTGGGCTACATCTCATTGCCGCCCTTCTTCCCAACCCAAAGCCTCCTTTGTATCTTCCTCTCGTATCCCCCCACCTTAACCCACAAGTATAAGACATCTCTACTCCCTTCCTGGCAACCGATCACATGACCATTACCATCCTATTAAAACCTAATCACCCTTACCCGCCTCAACGCCAATATCCTATCCCACAGCACGCTTTAAAAGGATTAAAGCCTGTTATCACACACCTGCTACAGCATGGACTTTTAAAGCCTATAAACTCCCCTTACAGTTCCCCCATTTCACCTGTCCTAGAACCAGACAAGTCTTTCTTACAGGTTAGTTCAGGATCTGTGCCTTATCAACCAAATTGTTTTGCCTCTCCACCCCGTGGTGCCAAACCCATATACTCTCCTATCCTCAATACCTCCCTCCACAACCCATTATTCTGTCTGGATCTCAAACATGCTTTCTTTACTATCCCTTTGCACCCTTCATCACTTAGACTGACCCTGACACCAATCAGGCTCAGCAAATTACCTGGGCTGTACTGCCACAAGCCTTCACAGACAGCTCCCATTGCTTCAGTCAAGCCCAAATTTCATCCTCATCTGTTACCTATCTCGGCATAATTCTCATAAAAACACACGTGCTCTCCCTGCTGATCATGTCCAACTAATCTCCCAAACCTCAATCCCTTCTACAAAACAACAACTCCTTTCCTTCCTAGGCATGGTTAGTGCAGTCAGAATTCTTACACAAGAGCCAGGACCGCACCCTGTAGCCTTTCTGTCCAAAAAACTTGACCTTACTGTTTTGCCTAGCCCTCATGTCTGCGTGCAGTGGCTGCCACTGCTTTAATAATTTTAGAGGCCCTCAAAACCACAAACTATGCTCAACTCACTCTCTATACTTCTTATAACTTCCAAAACCTATTTTCTTCCTCACACCTGATGCATATACTTTCTGCTTCCCGGCTCCTTCAGCGATACTCACTCTTTGTTGAGTCTCCCACAATTACCATTGTTCCCGGCCCAGACTTCAATCTGGCCTCCCGCATTATTCCGGATACCACACCTGACCCTCATGACTGTATCTCTCTGATCCACCTGACATTCACCCCATTTCCCCATATTTCCTTCTTTCCTGTTCCTCACCCTGATCACGCTTGATTTATTGATGGCAGTTCCACCAGGCCTAATCGCCACACACCAGCAAAGGCAGGCTATGCTATAGAACAAGCCAACAGCCCAACTCTTAGAACCTCTCATTTCCTTTCCATCGTGGAAATCTATCCTCAAGGAAATCACTTCTCAGTGTTCCATCTGCTATTCTACTACTCCTCAGGGATCATTCAGGCCCCCTCCCTTCCCTACACATCAAGCTCGGGGATTTGCCCCCGCCCAGGACTGGCAAATTGGCTTTACTCAACATGCCCCGAGTCAGGAAACTCAGATACCTCTTGGTCTAGGTAGATACTTTCACTGGATAGGTAGAGGCCTTTCTCACAGGGTCTAAGAAGGCCACCGCAGTCATTTCTTCCCTTCTGTCAGACATAATTCCTCAGTTTGGGCTTCCCACCTCTATACAGTCCGATAACGGACCGGCCTTTGTTAGTCAAATCACCCAAGCAGTTTCTCAGGCTCTTAGTGTTCAGTGAACTAATGGTCTTTTAAAAACTCACCTCACCAAGCTCAGTCACCAACTTAAAAAGGAATGGGCAATACTTTTACCACTTGCCCTTCTCAGAATTCAGGCCTGTCCTCAGAATGCTGCAGGGTACAGCCCATTTGAACTGCTCTATAGACGCTCCTTTTTTTTTTTTTTTTTTTTTTTTTTTTTTTTTTTTTTTGAGACGGAGTCTCGCTCTGTCGCCCAGGCCGGACTGCGGACTGCAGTGGCGCAATCTCGGCTCACTGCAAACTCCGCTTCCCGGGTTCACGCCATTCTCCTGCCTCAGCCTCCCGAGTAGCTGGGACTACAGGCGCCCGCCACCGCGCCCGGCTAATTTTTTTTTTTGTATTTTTAGTAGAGACGGGGTAGACGCTCCTTTTTATTAGGCCCCAGTCTCATTCCAGACACCAGACCAACTTGGACTGCGACCGCCCCCGAAAAAAAAAAAAAAAAAAGCTTGTCTTCCCTACTATCTTCTATCTAGTCATACTCCTATTCACCATTCTCAACTACTCATAAATGCCCTGCTCTTGTTTACACTGCCGGTTTACACTGTCTCTCCAAGCCATCACAGCTGATATCTCATGGTGCTATCCCCAAACTGCCATTATTAACTCCCTCCTAAAGTAAATAATCTTTGCTGGCAGGGCTATGCTGAACCTCCTTAGGCACTCTCTAGTTAAATGTCCTGGGTTCTCCCAATTCTTAGTCCTTTAATACCTGTTGTTCTCTCTGTCTTATTCTGCTCTTTTTTCAATTCATACAAAGCCATATCCAGGCCATCACCAATAATTCTATACGAAAAATGTTTCTTCTAACAACCCCACAATATCACCCCTTACCACAAAATCTTCCTTCAGCTTACTCTCTCCCACTCGAGGTTCCCACGCTGCCCCTAATCAAAGCATCCCTGAGAAACATCGCCCATTATCTATCCATACCACCCCCCAAAATTTTCACTGCCCAAACACTTCAACACTATTATATTTTATTTTTCTTATTAATATAAGAAGACAGGAATGTCAGGCCTCCGAGCCCAAGCTAAGCCATCATATCCCCTGTGACCTGCTTGTATACATCCAGAGGGCCTGAAGCTACTAAAGAATCACAAAAGAAGTGATATTTAAATGGCCTGTTCCTGCCTTAACTGATGACATTCCACCATAACAGAAGTGAAAATGGCTGGTCCTCACCTTAACTGATGACATTACTTTGTGAAATTCCTTCTCCTGCTTCATCCTGGCTCAAAAACTCCCCCACTGAGCGCCTTGTGACCCCCCACTCCTGCCCACCAGAGAACAACCCCCTTTTTCCTTTACCTACCCAAATCTTACAAAACGGCCCCACCCCTATCTCCCTTCGCTGACTCTCTTTCGGACTCAGCCCGCCTGCACCCAGGTGAAATAAACAGCCTTGCTGCTCACGGAAAGCCTGTTTGGTGGTCTCTTCACACGGACGCGAGTGAAACCCAGCAGGCTAGGAATAAAGAAGTTGCAGTTCAGGGATACCATGGAGTCTGAGACCTGAGATAGAAGAGGCAGCCTTAGAGAAAATTGGGCCAAAGTTCAGCGTGCCGATTCCCCTTGAGGAGTTTGCCAATTCCTAAGCTGTGCATGTTCAGGGCAAGATTCTCAGCACCTGAATTGAAAGCAGCAGCTGTGAAGCTAAACAGTTATGCAAAGACTAGCAGTCTGATGGTGCTGGGGAGTCAGAGGCTGGAGGTCAGGGCCTGAGGAGGTAGAGCAACCCTTGTAAATAAACACTGAAACACTAGGAAGCTTTGAAACACTAGAAGGGCTGTACTCTAGGAGTAAGGACAACCCAGAAAAAGATCAACGCTAGCACTAGCAAAAGTTAAGCGTCCTCTCAGATGGATCAAGATCTGCCAGTACCCTTATCTGCCTGAATTCTTTCTAGAGAAACGTAACAGTTTCAGAGAACAGAGTCTCTAGTTTTTTCATATAAAATCACTATCCATTCACACACACCAAGCATGCCAAGAAACTAACAAATAACTAAAAAAAAAAGTGGAAAAAAATAGCGACAGAACCACAGGTGATCTAAACATTGGAACTATGAGGGATTTTAAAATAAAATGATTCTCCAGGTCCTGTTAGAAAATATTGGTTGCATCTTCTGAAAAAGAGATGCCCGCATCTAAGAACTCCAGGAGCTCAAGTAGCTGCCTCTTACCTATTACCACCACAGGCTCAGCAAGAAGATACACAGAGATGTTCCTCCTGAGCAGAATTATTTTTTTTTCTTACATTAAGTTCTAGGGCACATGCGCAAAACGTGCAGGTTTGTTACATATGTATACCTGTGCCGTGTTTGTTTGTTGCACCCATTAACTCATCATTTACATTAGGTATTTCTCCTAATGCTATCGCTCCCCCATCTCCCCACCCCAAGACAGGCCCCAGTGTGTGATGTTCCCCACCCTGTGTCCAAGTGTTCTCATTGTTCAATTCCCACCTATGAGTGAGAACATGTGGTGTTTGGTTTTCTGTCCTTGCAACAGTTGTGAGCAAAGTCTTTAATACTAGCTGAATGTTGGTGCAAACTCTAGATAATGTCATGAACTGAGCTACCAACTGTGAGCTGGGAGGACTCATTTGTATCTCAGACCTGAAGTCTCTATTAAACAGGCCTCTGTGGCCCCTTTTCCTATGGCCTTCATCCAAATATTTATCCTCTAGAGCTTACCATTCTAAAAAGAAAGAAATGATTACCCCATACAAAAGTGGACAAAGGAAAAAAAAAACAGCATTTATTCTCAGTGTATTTTTGCTTAGCCTCTTTCAATAAGCACTACCCCTATAACTACAAGCCGATTGCTGTACATCCTGGGACAGCTCATATTTGAATTGTTTTTCCTCTGCAAATGGAGTGATGAGAGGGGTTCCTTGGACTTGAACTAGAAGTTAGAGTCTTCAACGTACTGATTTCATATATTTGGATATATACACAGTAGTGAGATTGCTGGATCATAGCTAGTTCTATTTTTAATTTTTTTATGACTGTCCATACTGTTTTCCATAATAGTTATACTATCTAACATTCCCACCAACAATGTGCAAGGGTTCCCCTTCTCCCCATTCTCTCCAACACTTTTTATCTTTTGTCTTTTCGTTAATAGTCATTCTAACATGTATGAGGTGATATCTCATTGTGGTTTTAATTTGCATTTCCCTGATGATTAATTTTGTTGACCTTTTTCTTTTCTTCATTTACCTATGGGCCATTTGTATGTCTTATTTGAGAATTGCCTATTTAGGTGCTTTGCCCATTTTTTAAGAAGTTTATTCCCTACTATTGGGTTGTTGGAATTATTTATATATTTTGGCTATTAACCCCTTATCAGATAAAGGTTTGCAAATATTTTCTCCCATTCCATAGATTGCCTTTTTCTTCTGTTATTTCCTGCCTATGCAGAAGTTTTTCTAGTTTCAAATAATTCTGCCAATTTTCATTTTTGTTGCCTATGCTTTTGGATTCTTATTCAAAAAATTGTTGCCCAGACCAATGTCATGAAGCTTTTCCCCCATTTTCTACTAGCTGTTTTAAAGTTTCTAGTCTTACAGTTAAGCCTTTAATCCATTTTGATGTAATTTTTGTATGTAGAGTGAGATAAGGATCTAATTTTATTCTTTTGTTTGTGGATATTGAGTTATCCCAATACCATTTATTAAAGACACTGATTGTCCCCCTTGTCTGTTCTTGCCACCTTTGGCAAAAGTCAATTGACAGTAAATGTGTGGAATTATACCTAGGCTCTTTAGTCTGCTCCATTGGTCTTTGTGTCCTTTTGTTAACGTTAGTACCTTGCTGTTTTAATTACTATAGCTTTATAATATATTTTGTAGTATATTTTGAAGTCAGGTGTTATTATACCTCCAGTTTTGGTTTTTGTATTTTATTTTTCATGTTTTACTTGAGAGTGCTTTGGCTATTCAAGGTCTTATATGGTTCCATAATAATTTTAAGGTTGTGTTTTCTACCTCTGTGAAGAATGTCATTGGTATTTTGATAGGGACTACACTGAATCTGTAGATTGCTTTGGGTAGTGTGGATGTTTTAACAATATTAATTCTCCCAATCCATGAACAGAGGCTATCTTCCCATTTATTTGTGTCTTCTTCAGTTTCCTTCATCAATGTTTTCTAGTTTTCAGTGTACAGGTTTTTCACTTCCTTGGCTAAATATATTCCTAAGTAACTTATTCTTATTAATGCTATCATAAATGAAATTGTGTTCTTGATTTCTTTTTTAGATAGTTTCTTGTTAGTGTATAGAAAAGCTACTAATTTTATGTGTTAATTTTATATCTTGCTAATTTACTGAATTTTTATCAGTGCTAACAGTTTTTTGGTGGAGTCTATAAAGTTTTCTTCATATACAATCATGTCATCTGCAAACCAGGGACAATTTAACTGCTTCCTTTTCGATCTAGAAACCTTTTATTTCTTTCTCCTGCTGAATTGCTCTGGCTAGGACTTCCAGTACTATGCTGACTAGAAGTGGTCAGAGTGCACATTTTTATTATGTTCCTGACCTTTGAGGAAAAGCTTTAAACTTTTCCTCACTGAGTATGATGTTAGCTGAGGGTATGTCTTATATGGCCTTTATTGTGTTGAGGTGCATTCCTTCTATATGTAATTTGTTGAGAACATTTTTCATGGAAAAAAATGTTGAATTTTGTTAAATACTTTCTCCATCTATTGAGATGACCATATGATTTCTGTTCGTCATTCTGTTAATATGGTATATCACGTGTATGTGGAACCATCTTTACCCTATGGATAAATCTCACTTGATCTTGATGAATGATCATTTTTATATGCTGTGGAATTCAGTTTACTAGTATTGTTGAGGATTTTTGCATCTATGTTTATATTTGTTGAGGATGTTTGTGTGTAATTTTTTTGAGACAGTATCTCGCTCTGCTGCCCAGGCTGGAATGCAGTGGTGTGATCATGGCTCACTTCAGCCTCAACTCCTGGGCTCCAGCAATCCTCTTACCTCAGCCTCCCAAGTAGCTGGGATTACAGGCATGCACCACCTTGTCTAGCTACCTTTTTCTATTTTTTGTAAAAACACGGTCTCACTATGTTGCCTAGGTTGGTCTCAAACTGCGGGGCTCAAGTGGTCCTCCTGCCTCAGCCTCTCAATGTACCGGGATTATAGGTGTGAGCCACTGCTCTCAGAGTAATTTTCTTTTATTGTATGGTCCTTGTCTGTCTTTCGTATCAGATAGTCCTAGCCTCATGAAATAAGTTTGGGATTTTGCCCTCTTCTTCAGTTTTTTGAAAGAGTTTGAGAAGGACTGGTTTTCTTTCTTCTTTAAGTGTTTTGTAGAATTCATGAGTGAAACCATCAAGTCCTGGGCTTTTCTTTTCTTTTAAACAGCTTTAAAGATATAATTTACATATCATACAATTCATCCATTTAAAGTGTATCATCCAGCCTAAATGCCCATCAACCAACAAGTGGATAAAGAAAATGTGGTATATACACCATGGAATACTACTCAGCTATAAAAAGAAATGAAATAATGGCATTTGCAGCAACCTGGATGGAGTTGGAGACCATTGTTCTAAGTGAAGTAACTCAAGAGTGGAAAATCAAATATTGTATGTTCTCACTTACAAGTGGGAGCTAAGCTAGGAGGATGCAAAGGTATGAAAATTATATAATGGACTTTGGGGATGTGGGAGGAAGGGTGGGAGGAGGTGAGGGATAAAAGACTACACATTGGGTATAGTATACGCAGCTCTGGTAACCAGTGCCCCAAAATCTCAGAAATCACCACTGCAGAACTTATCTATGTAACCAAAAACCATCTGTTCCCCAGAAACTATTGAAATGTAATAAAAAATAGAAATAACAAAAATCAATAAAGTCTATAATCCAATGGTCTTAGTATGTTCACAGAGTTACACAACCATCACCACAATCAATTTTAGAACAGTTTCATCACATAAAAAACTTCATAACCATTAGTAGTCATTCTTCCTTTTCCTCCCCACTCCCACCTATTCTCTTCCCCTCTTCCCCTAGCCCCAGGCAATTACTTATCTACTTTCTAACTCTATATAATTGCCTATTCTGGACACATGTTTAATGTATTATATACATTTCTCCTATATAACTGTAATTACATATCCTTTGACCACCATCTCCCTATCCCTACCTCTCCCTTAACCATCCACACCTCTGGTAACCAACATTCTACTCCCTACTTCTGTGAGATCAAGTTTTTTCTCACTCACATATGAGTGAGATCATCCAACATTTGTCATTTTATGCCTTATCTATTTAACTTAATGTTCTCCAGGTTCAAACATGTTGCAACTAACAGGATTGTGTTCTTTTTGATGGCTGAATAGTATTCCATTGTGTATATATACCACATTTTCTTTATCCATTTTTATCTGTAGATGGGACACTTAGGGTGATTCCATATCTTGGCCTTTGTGCATAGTGCTGCAATAAACCTGGAAGCACAGATATCTCTTTGATATACTGATTTTATTTCCTTTGGATATATACTCAATAGTGGTGTTACTGAATCATATGATAATTCTATTTTTAATATTTTAAGGACCCTACAGAGTGTTTTCCATAATGTCTGTACTAATTAACATTCCCACCAACAGTGTGTAAGAGTTCATTTTTCTCCACATCCTTACTATTTGTTCTTTTGTCTTTTTGATAATAGCCCTTAAGATAGGTGCAAAGTGATATCTCATTGTGGTTTTGATTTATATTTCCCTGATCATCAGTGATGTTTAACATTTTTTAATACACCTATTGACCTATTGGCCATTTGTATGTCTTCTTTTGAGAAATGTTTACTCAGGTGTTTTGCCCTTTTTAAAATACTGTTGTTTGTTTTCTTGTCATTAAGTTGTTTGGATTCCTTATAAATTTTAGATATTAATGCCATATCAGTTGTATAGACTGCAAAGATTTTCTCCCACTTTACAGGTTGTGTTTGCACTTTGTGGATTGTTTTCTCTGCCGTGCAGAATCTTTTTCTTTGAATGTAATCTCAGTTGTCTATTTTGCTTTTTGTCATCTTTGATTTTGAGGTCATATCCAAAAAAAAAATCCTTACCCACACCAATCTCTGAAGCCTTTCCCCTATATTTTCTTCTAGTAGTTTCATGGTTTCTGGTCTTATGTTTAGGTCTTTAATCTTCTTTGACCTTTTTTATACATAAGGTGAGATAAGGGTCTAATTTCATTGTGCATGTGACTATCTACTTCTTCCTATCCTACTTACTGAAGAGACTCCTTTTCCCAATATGTGTTCTTGGTGACTTACTTGATTGAAAATCTATTGTCTCTAAGTGCTTGGAATTATTTCTAGGCTCTCTATTTCTGTTTCATTGGTCAATGTATCTGTTTTTATGCTAGTGCCATGATGTTTTGGTTACTATAGCTTTATTGCATATTTTGCAGCCCCATAATATGATGCCTTCAACTTTGTTCTTTGTGGTGAAAATTACTTTGGTTATTTGGGGGTTTGTGTGGTTTTATAGGTCTTTTAGGATTGTTTTTCCTATTTCTGTAAAAAAGTATCATTAGTATTTTGATAGTCATTGCATTCAATCTGTATATAGTTTTGAGTAGTATGAATGTTTTAGCAATATTATTTTTACAATTTATTCATATGTAATATTCATTTCTTTGTGTCTTCTTCCATTTCTTTAATCAGTTTTTTTTTTTCATCATAGAGATATTTCACCTTCTTGGTTAAATTTATGTCTGGGTACTTTATTTTATTTTTGCAGCTATTGTAAATGGGATAGTTTTCTTGATTTCTTTTTCAGATAGTTTTCTATTAACATATAAAAAGACTACTAATATTTTTGTTGATTTTTTATCCTTCCACTTTACTGAATTTGCATATTAGTTCTAATAGTTATTGGTGGAGCCTTTAGAGTTTTCTACGTATAAGATAATGTTATTCGCAAACAGGGAAAAATTAACTTCTTCCTTTCCAGTGTGGATGCCTTCTATTTCTTTCTCTTGCCTAATTGCTCTGGCTAGGACTTCCATACTATGTTGAATACAAGTAGTGAAATTAGGCATCCTTGTCTTGTTGCCGATTTCAGTGAAAAAGCTTTCAACTTTTCCCCACTGAGTATAATGTTAGCTGAGGGTTTGTCATATATGACCTTTATTGTGTTGAGATGCATTCCTTCTACACCTAATTTGTTCAGAGTTTTTATCATGAAGAGTGTTGAATTTTGTCAAACACTTTTTCAGCATCTATTAAAATGATTATATTTTTCCTTCATTCTGTTAATTTAATGTATCACATTTATTGATATTCATATTTTGAACCATCCTTGCATTCCTAGGATGTATCTCACTTGATCATGGTGAACAATCTTTTCCACAGACTGTTGAAATCAGTTTGATAGCATTTTATTGAGGATTACTGTATCTATGTTCCTCAGGGATATTGGTCTGTAGTTTTTCTTCTTTTGTTTTTGGGACCTTGTCTGGTTTTGGTGTCCGGGTACAGCTGACCTTGTAGAATTAGTTGGGAATAATTCCCTCCTCTTTAGTTTTTTGGAATATTTTGTGAAGAATTGGTAGTAAATCTTCTGTAAATATTTGACAAAATTAAGCTGTGCGGTACTGAGCTTTTTTTGATGGCTTCCTTTTATTATTGATTCAATCTCCTTGCACATTATTGGTCTGTTCAGGTTTCCATTTATTCATAATGCAATTTTGGTAGCTCCTATGTTTCCAGGAATTTATCTATTTCTTCTCGATTTTCCAATTATTTGGTGTATAATTGTTCATAATAGTCTTCAGATCCTCTATGATTTCTGCGATATCAGTTGTAACGTCTCCTTTTTCATCTCTCATTTTATTTATTTGAGTTTTCTCTTTTTTTCTTAGTCTAATTACCGGTTTGTCAATTTTGTTTATCTTTTCAACAAATCAACTCTTTATGTCTCTCTTCTATTGTTTGTCTTTAAACAATATAAAGTAGTCTAGTTTTATAGGTAAAACAAGGAGTACTAATTTTGCGTTTGCTCTTGTTTTTCTATTTTCTTGAGGTAAAATGGTAGGTTGTATATTGGTGCTGTTTCTTCTTTTGTTTTTATTTTTAATTTTTGTGGATAAATAATAGGTGTATATATTTATGGGGTGCATTATATGTTTTGATACAGGCATGTAATGCATAATAATCACATCATGGAGAACGAGGTATACATCTCAAGCGTTTATCTTTTGTGTTACCAACAATTCACTTTTACTCTTTTAGTTGTTTCAAATGTACAATCAAATTATTGTCAGCTGTAATCATCCTTTTGTGCTATCAAAGAATAGGTCTTATTCATTCTACTTTTTGTATCCATTAACCAACCCCACCTCCTCCCCAACCCCCAATACACTTCCCAGCCTCTGGTAACCATCCTTCTACTCTCTATGTCCATGAGCTCGGTTGTTTTGATTTTTAGATCCAGCATAAATGAGAACATGCAATGTTTTTCTTTCTTTGCAAGCTTTATTTCAGTTAACATAGTGATCTGCAGTTATATTCATGTTGTCACAAACAACAGAATCTCATTCTTTGCATGCTGAATATTAGTACTGATTATTAGAATAATAGTAATCCATTGTGTACATTACCAGATTTTCTTTATTCATTCATCTGTTGATGGACACTTAGGTTGCTTCCAAATCTTGGCTATTGTGAATAGTGCTGCAATAAACATAGGAGTGCAAATATCTCTTCCATTTCCTTTTTTTGGGTGTATACCCAGCAATAGGATTGCTGGATCCCATGGTAGCTCTCTTTTCAGTATTTTGAGGAACCTCCAAACTGTTCTCCATAGTGGTTATACTAGTTTGCATTCCCACCAACAGTGTACAAGAGATTGCTTCTCTTCACATCCTCACCAGCATTTGTTATTGCCTGTCTCTTGGATAAAAGCCATTTTAACTGGGGTGAGGTGGTATCTCATTGTAGTTTTAATTTGCATTTCTCAGACGAGCAACGCTATTGCTTTCATAGGAGGCACCTTTTCATAAGCCCATTTGCCATTTGTATGTCTTCTTTTGAGAAACGTCTATTCAAATCTTTTGCCTATTTTTTAATCAGATTTTTAGACTTTTTTCCTATAGCATTGTCTGAACTCCTTGTATACTCTGGCTATGAACCCCTTTTCAGATAGGTAGTTTGTAAATATTTGCTACCATCTGTGGGTGTCTCTTCACTTAGTTGAATGTTTCTTTTGCTGTGCAGAAGTTTTTTAACTTGATGTGATCCTATTTGTCCATTTTGGCTGTGGTTGCCTGTGCTTGTGGGGTATTGCTCAAGAAATTTTTGCCCAGACCATTGCCTGGGAGAGTTTCCCCAATGTTTTCTTGTAGTACTTTCTTAGCTTGAAGTATTAGACTTAACGCTTTAGTCCATTTTGATTTGATTTTTGTATATGGTGAGAGATTCAGTGATACTGCCTAGTTTCTTTCTTTTTTTTTCTTTTTTTGCATGTGGATATCTAGTTTCCCTAGCACCATCTGTTAAAGAGACTGCCTTTTCCCCAGTGTATGTTCCTGGCACCTTTGTCAAAAATGAGTTTACTGTAGGTGTGTGGATTTGTTTCTGTGTTCTTCATTCTGTTCCATTGGTCTATGTGTCTGTTTTCATGACAATACCATGCTGTTTGGGTTACTATAGCTCTGTAGTATAATTTGAAGTCAGGTAACGTGGCTCTCCCAGTTTCGTTCATTTTGCTTAGGATGGCTTTGGCTATTCTGGGTCTTTTGTGGTTCTGTATACATTTTAGGATTTTTTTTATTTGTGTGAAGAATGCCATTGATATTTTGATAGTGATTGCATTGAATCTGTAGGTTGCTTCGGGTAGTATGGACATTTTAACAATATTGGCTCTTCCAATCCATGAACGTGGAATATCTCTCCATTTTTTTTGGTATCCTCTTCAATTTCTTTCATCAGTTATTTGTTTCCTTCCCCTGCCACTTTCAGAATCTTTATTTTTGAACTTTGACAGTGTGATTATAATTCATATTGGGGTAATCTTACTTGGATTTAATATGACATAGATAATGTATATTAAATACATTTCTACTTTAAATGTCTTCAACTTATGATTACTTTGTTGGGACGTAACCTCATCATACATCAAGGAACATTCATATGATAAAGCAAGTAGAGTTAAAATTTAATGAAAGAATCTTGGTGGTTGACTATATAATTGGTCATCATAATTTTTTTTTAATTTTCTGTATATTTGAAACTTTTTATAATAAAATAATAAAAAATTTATTTACTTGAATAAGTCATGGTGACTCTTTAAGAATAGCCAATACAGAATAATGGAAATAAAATGATTATAAAGGTTACCAATTCTTGATGTTCTTAGATATCCATTGTTAATAAATTTTAATGTATACTGTTATATGTTTTTCATGTGTATGAGCATTTGTGTGTGTGAATGTTTGTTGTTTCCCTAGTATCTATTGCATCTACTATCATTACTAACATAATAGTTACTAAATCAAGAAAATAATGTTTCATTTTAAAAAGCAAAAGTATGAAATTCTCATTGTAGACTATTTGGAAAATATTTAAATGTACAAAGAATTTCCTATTTTACTCTTGTGTTTATGGTACATTCTGTTTATCTCTTACTTGACCTTTTAAATGCATTTGGAAATCAAACATTTTTATTTCAATAATTTATACCCTATTATTTTACCCATATTTCTAACAAATATTTATCATACTTGAAACATATCTTAACTAGCTGCAAATTACAACAATTTAGTTACCAGTGTAACTTTTTCATACTTAACATCTACTGTATTTCACATTTTACAGTTTGTCCAAAAAGTAATCTTTTTTACAAGAATTTCCTTATTTTATCTGTTCCTTAATTCTAGTTATATAGGAGGACCTATATGTAGTCAAGTCACCAAACATTTTCTCTGGGTGTTTCCCTTCTCTTTTTAACTTCAGGAATTGTTCTGATTCTAATATAAGTCTATTACTTACTCTGTCTTTATTCCATTTATTTTAG
Organism: Homo sapiens; assembly: GCF_000001405.40. Lineage (NCBI taxonomy): Eukaryota > Metazoa > Chordata > Mammalia > Primates > Hominidae > Homo > Homo sapiens. The sequence goes on along the minus strand of NC_000011.10, from coordinate 4,305,092 downwards.
ATTTTAAATTGATATATGTAATATTTCAACAATATGTTATTTAAAAATATATTGTAATAATATTATAATTACCAACAATTGCACTCATAAAAATAATTATTAATATTGAAAACATTTCATTATTTAATCATACTTTCATGTATTTCTATGTTGTATAATGATTAGTTTATTATTACTTAATGTTACATGACAAGAATTTCCTTTGCTACAAAATGAACTTCACGTATTTATTTAACTTTAATTAATACTGCCTAACAGATTTTCACATAAACAATATATTACAAAATATATCATTTTAGCCAACCTATACATTCTTATTGAATATTTATTTCAGATGATTTGCCAGTATCAATAAACTTGTCATAAACATGATTATTCATAAATTTGTGTATGTGCTCTATGTTACTTTTTTATATGGGATAGATTCTTAAAGTTTTCTTATTTACATTTGACATGCTCTTGGCCAGGTAGAATATATACAAATTGTTAATACATCTTATGAAAACTAGGATCATTTTTGCTTGTCAACTATACTAAAAATAATTAAATAAAAAATTGTCAAATTAAAGATGCCAGTGCGAGTTATAATTTATATCATAAATTTTTGTATAATGAAAATTATAATTTCTTAATGGAGAAATTTCTTAATGAGGTGTTATTTCTGCAAAAATGATGGCCTTCTTCCAAGAGCTAGAAGTACATGATCAAAGTACCCAAGGCAATGTTTAGCTTTCAAAAAAAAATTCAGCATGAGTAGAATCCTGAATGGAGTAGGTTAGATATCAATGACACTCCCCCAACCCAATCAATCTATGACTTTAGACAGAAGCTTGTCATCCAACAAATTCAGGGTTGTCTTGGATTTTGTTTTTGTTTTTTAACTAATTGCAAAGAGGGAGACCAGAGGAACAATGGGGTGTCTCAACAAACAAATGAAAAGATTTAGTTATTATAGGATTTAGGGTACAGATTAGTTTTAGGCAAAATAATCAACATTTTAATAAGGTTAAAATAAAGCAGGGGTATCTCTAAAGAGATTAACATAAATACTGAAATCTTATTTTAGAACTCAGCTGCCTGATCTGAGAATGGGTGGCTAAACTCCCCCATTCATCAAAGGTTGGCCTGTGATGTCGTTCTTTTATGAATTTTGGCTTGAAAATCTTTCATTCCCTATTTACGTACATGTACTCAAAATTGGCTAGCCAGAGAACTTTTCACTGAGAACAGGATATGTGGACTGAAACTTACCTAATAAGCAGTAAGCCATAGAAAAATAGGCAGTGAGAGTATTTGGGGCACAGGAAAAAGAAATTTCAAAAAGCCGACTTCTAAAATTAGATGAAGGAGTTCAAAGAATAGAAATGGTTGTAGCAGAGTATTTGTGGAGGTGAAGCAGAAGATAAAGTAGATGAGGTGAATAGAAATCTAATCATGTAGGGTCAAGTATGCAAATGTTAAGATTTGAAGATAGGATTTATGGATTTTTTTCTGATTGAATCTTGGAAAATTGTTGGGGAGGTATAGGAGCAAGTTGATACTATAAAAGCTGAGAAGATAATTCAAGGACAGAACAGTAAAGTATCTTCAAATGCTCCTGAGAGGTTAAAACAAGAGGAGGAGAGAAAAATGATCATTGACAATATAAAACCACAACTTGCACTATTATTTCCCATGTAAAAAAAAGCTCTATGACATAAAATACATCACATACCACTATACTCTCTTCAGGAGAAGCAACGAAATTGTTGGTTGAAATTGTAGGCTGTTAAAAATCATAGAAATGACTAAATTCACTCTAACAGGATTGATAGAAATAAAAAACTCTGGAAATTTCTGATATTCTTTAAAATCATGTTTTAAACATGAAGTCCTTGCCCATGTCTATGTCCTGAATGGTATTGCCTAGGTTTTCTTCTAGGGATTATATGATTTTAGGTCAGAATAACCAATGCAGAGAAGTCTGTAAAGGACCTGATGGAGCTGAAAACCAAGGCACGAGAACTACATGACGAATGCACAAGCCTCAGTAGCTGATTCGATCAACTGGAAGAAAGGGTATCAGTGACGGAAGATCAAATGAAAGAAATGAGGTGAGAAGAGAAGTTTAGAGAAAAAAGAATAAAAAGAAATCAACAAAGCTTCCAAGAAATATGGGACTATGTGAAAAGACCAAATGTATGTCTATTTGGTGTACCTGAACGTGACGGGAAGAATGGAACCAAGTTGGAAAACACTCGACAGGATATTATCTAGGAGAACTTCCCCAATCTAGCAAGGCAGCCCAACATTCAAATTCAGGAAATACAGAGAATGGCACAAAGATACCCCTCGAGAAGAGTAACTCCAAGACACATAATTGTCAGATTCACGAAAGTTGAAATGAAGGAAAAAATGTTAAGGGCAGCTAGAGAGAAAGCTCGGGTTACCCACGAAGGGAAGCCCATCAGACTAACAGCTGATCTCTCGGCAGAAACTCTACAAGCCAGAAGAGAGTGGGGGCCAATATTCAACATTCTTAAAGAAAAGAATTTTCAAACCAGAATTTCATATCCAGCCAAACTAAGCTTCATAAGTGAAGGAGAAATAAAATACTTTACAGACAAGCAAACGCTGAGAGATTTTGTCACCACCAGGCCTGACCTAAAAGAGCTCCTGAAGGAAGCAC